>NC_000016.10:32899387-33214595 GCF_000001405.40 Homo sapiens
ATATTCATGCCAAAAAAGTTTTTTTTTTAATTTTTCAAATGAAACAATTTTATCTTTCCTGGTTTGAAAACTACAATCTAAATTTAACAAATAATGTAATACAATGTTTGTCTTATTAGTTATTCAATTTATTAAAAGCAGACTGATATTTAAAGTTAATACCATTGCACGTTTGAGTGACATATTTGGCAAGAACAGCATTTACATTCAGCTTTAACAAAACATGTATTTAAATATATTTGTCTTTTTAGTATTGGAATAGGCAGACATACACGTAGAAGAGCATTATTTTCTACTACAACCTCAAACTGCAAACACAGTTTAAATTCAATTAAGTAATTAAAAAATATGAAACAAATAGGTGTGCTATTTTGGTGTTTAGATATACATTCACTTTTGCATGGGCATATGTATGTGTCTTTGCTGGGCTGTTGTGTATGTATGTGTGTTTGTAGAACCATGAAGTTTTCAAATACATCATTAAATGACATATTAATCTTGGCCAGGCATGGTGGCTCAGGCCTGTAATCCCAGCACTTTGGGAGTCATAGGCAGGCAGATCACTTGAGGTCAAGGGTTCAAGACCAGCCTGGCCAACATGGTAAAACCCCGTCTCTACTAAAAATACAAAAAATAGCCAGGTATTGTGGCAAATGCCTTTAGTCCCAGTGTGACAGGGAAATGTGGGGTCAGAAATCCCACACAGAGTTTCTACTGGTGTACCACCTAGTGGAGCTGTAAGAAGAAAGCCACTGCCCTCCAGAACCCAGAATGGTAGATCCACTGACAGCTTGCACCATATTTCTGGAAAAACCACATACACTCAATGCCAGCTCGTGAAAGCAGCCAGGAGGGAGACTGTGCCCTGCAAAAGTTTTTTAAAACTTTTCATGTGAAAAGTTTTAAAAATGTTCTGCCACAGGGGCAGAACTGCCCAAGACCATGGGAACCCACCTGTTACATCAGGTAACCTGGATTTGAGACATGGAGTCAAAGAAGATTATTTTGGAACATGAAGATTTGACTGCTTAGCTGGATTTCAGACTTGCATGGGGCCTGTAGTTTGGACCAATTTCTCCATTTGGAATGGCTGTATTTACACAATGCCTGAACTCCCATTCTTTCTAGGAAGTAACTGACTTCGTTTTTATTTTACAGGCTCATATGGAAAAGACTTGCCTCATCTCAAATGAGACCTTGGACTGTGGACTTTTGAGTTAAGGCTCAAATGAGTTAAGACTTTGGCAGACTCTTGAACAGGCATGATTGGTTTTGAAATGCGACAGCAGTCATGACTCTAGAGGACCACATGTGAAATGCAACAAGCAGGAGCAGAAGACAAGTAATTCATGATTTCACTGTAGTGCATTAAAATGGTAGACTCACAGAAGTAGAACAGAATGTTGGTTACCAGGGGCTGGAGGGGTGGACTGGAAAAGGAGAGATTTTGGTCAAAGTGTAAAATGTTCCAGTTAGACAGAAGGAGTAAGTTGCAGTGTTCTAATGCACAAGATGGAAAATATGGCTATGAATGCATTGTATATTTCAAAATGGCTAAAAATGTAAATGTTAAAATTTTTCCCACTAAGAAATTATACAGGTCGGGAGTGGGGGCTCACACCTCTAATCCCAGCACTTTTGGAGGCCGAGGTGGGTGGATCACAAGGTCAGGAGTTCAAGACCAGACTGGCCAAAATGGTGAAACCCTGTCTCCACTAAAAACACAAAAGTTAGCCAGGCGTGGTGTTGGGCGCCTGTAATCCCAGCTACTTGGGAGGCTGAGGCAGGAGAATTGTTTGAACCTGGGAAGCAAAGGCTGCAGTGACCAAGATCGCACCACTGCACTCCAGCCTGGGCGACAGAGTGAGACTCAGTCTCAAAAAAAAAAAAAAGAAATTACACATTTGTGAGGTGATGGATATGTTAAATAGCTTGATTAACAATTCCATGGCCGGGCGCGGTGGCTCACGCCTGTAATCCCAGCACTTTGGGAGGCCGAGGCGGGCGGATCACGAGGTCAGGAGATCGAGACCATCCTGGCTAACACGGTGAAACCCCGTCTCTACTAAAAATACAAAAAAAAAATTAGCTGGGTGTGGTGGCGGGCGCCTGTAGTCCCAGCTACTAGGGAGGCTGAGGCAGGAGAATGGCGTGAACCCGGGAGGCGGAGCTTGCAGTGAGCCGAGATCGCGCCACTGCACTCCAGCCTGGGCGACAGAGCGAGACTCCGTCTCAAAAAAAAAAAAAAAAAAAACAATTCCATGATGTATACATGTATCATAGCATGTGTGAAGCGACCTACCTGTATGAAGGTGAGGTGACCTGGTCACGTGACAGTGAGGTGACCTGGGGGATGTGTGAGGTGACCTGGGGGATGTGTAAGGTTACCTGGGGGTATGTGTGAGGTGAACTTGGGCTCATGTGAGGTGACCCAGGGTGCATGTGTGGTGGCCTGGGTGCGTGTGAGGTTACCTGGACATGCATGAGGTGACACGGGGATCTCATGAGGTGACTTGGGCATGTATGATGTGACCTAAGGCATGTGTGAGGTGACCTGTGGGACGTGTGAGGTGACCTGTGGGACGTGTGAGGTGACCTGGGGGATGTGTGAGGTGACCTGGGGGATGTGTGAGGTGACCTGTGGGAATGTGTGAGGTGACCTGTGGGACGTGTGAGGTGACCTGTGGGACGTGTAAGGTGACGTGGGGGATGTGTGAGGTGACCTGGGGGACGTGTGAGGTGACCTGTGGGACGTGTGAGGTGACGTGGCGGATGTGTGAGGTGACGTGGGGAATGTGTGAGGTGACCTGGGGGACGTGTGACGTGACGTGGGGAATGTGTGAGGTGACCTGGGGAATGTGTGAGGTGACCTGGGGGATGTGTGAGGTGACCTGTGGGACATGTGAGGTGACCTGGGGAATGTGTGAGGTGATGTGGGTGCGTTTGAGGTGACGTGGGGGATGTGTGAGCTTAGCAGGAGTGTGTGTGAGGTGACATGGGGAATATGTGAGGTGACCTGCCTGATGTGTGAGGTGACCTGAGCACATGTAAGGTCACCTAAGGCGCATCTGAGGTGACATGGGGGACGTGTGAGGTGACCTGGGGAACGTGTGAGGTGACCTGTGGGACATGTGAAGTGACCTGGGGAATGTGTGAGGTGACCTGTGGGACATGTGAGGTGACCTGGGGAATGTGTGAGGTGATGTGGGTGCGTTTGAGGTGACGTGGGGGATGTGTGAGCTTAGCAGGAGTGTGTGTGAGGTAACATGGGGAATATGTGAGGTGACCTGCCTGATGTGTGAGGTGACCTGAGCACATGTGAGGTCACCTAAGGCGCATCTGAGGTGACATGGAGGATGTGTGAGGTAACCTTGGGTGAGTGTGAGGTTACCTGTGGGATGTGTGAGGTGAATTGGAACTTGTGTGAGGTTACCTGGGAAATGTTTGAGGTGACCTGCGGGATGTGTTAGGTGACATTGGGGATGTGTAAGGTGACTCAGGGCACATGTGAGGTGACCTTGGGGATGTGCAAGGTCACACTGTGTGAGTGTGAGGTCATGTGGGATATTTCAAACTTTGTAAGGAAAGCCTGCAACAATATATGGCTCTAGAAGCTTCACACTCCAACACTGTTAATGCGCACATCCTCAAGGAACTCTAAATGTTTCCAGGTTAGCTTAAATGCCATGGAGTGACACCTGCCCCAGGTACACTCATATATGCATCCTGGGTCTCCCTATCAACCCCTATCCTCAAATTTTCAGTTCATGTTTGCTCCATGATATCAACTCTGATATGCTGAGGTTTTTTTTTTTTTTTTTTTTTTTTATCTGTAGTTGTTCAGGTTTGCTGTTTCACTCTCATTACTCTGGGCTCAGTCCTCTCCTCAGGTGTCCCACTTCAGAGCTTGCTATGTAATAGGAGACATGCAAATAGGACCCTCCCTTTTCTGATGAAAAGCAGCCCAGCCCTGACCCTGCAGCCGTGGGAGAGAAGCCCCAGCCCTGGGATTCTCAGGTGTTTCTATTGGGTCAACAGCAATAAACAAATTACCATGGAATTTGGGCTGAGCTGGGTTTTTCTTGCTGCTATTTTAAAAGGTAATTCATGGAGAACTAAGGATATTGAGTGTGAGGGGACATGAGTGACAGAACAGTGGCTATGTGTGGCAGTTTCTGACCAGGATGTCTCTGTGTTTGCAGGTGTGCAGTGTGAAGTGCAGCTGGTGGAGTCTGGGGGAGGCTTGGTCCAGCCTGGGGGGTCCCTGAGACTCTCCTGTGCAGCCTCTGTATTCACCTTCAGTAACAGTGACATAAACTGGGTCCTCTAGGCTCCAGGAAAGGGGCTGGAGTGGGTCTCGGGTATTAGTTGGAATGGCGGTAAGACGCACTATGTGGACTCCGTGAAGGGCCAATTTTCCATCTCCAGAGACAATTCCAGCAAGTCCCTGTATCTGCAAAAGAACAGACAGAGAGCCAAGGACATGGCCGTGTATTACTGTGTGAGAAATCCTGTGAGGGGACACAAGTGTGAGCCCAGACACAAACCTCCTGCAGGAACGTTGGGGGAAATCACTGCAGGGGGCGCTCAGGACCCATTCATCAGAGTCAACCCCAGAGCAGGTTCACATGGAGGCTGGGGTTTGTTTCCTGTCAGGATTTGGGACTTCCTCTGCTTCTGACAGTTTCTGTAGGGAAACTCTTTAATTTTAGATTTCTGTGCCCACCAATGTCATCTCTACATATTTTTTTTAATCATTGTCATATGAGGACTCATTCTCACATGCACAGTATGTACGTTGCCACCTACAGGAATGAGAACTCCTCAACCATGCGCACCAGCATCAGAGTCATGAGGAAGCTCAGGGGTGCCCGGTGAGTCTTCTCCAGTCAGACTCAGGATAGGAACTTCAATGGGATTCCCTGACTAGAATGGCTTTTAGGGATTTTGATTACAGCCAAGAGAGAGGCTGGACCAGGTTCAGTGTCATGTAGGACCTCACAGGTTTTATGTATGACATTTCTCCTGAAAATATTCAAATGAGTATCAGCACTGATCTGGTGCTTTCTGACTTTCATTTTTAGTGGTTCTCGCTTTTCCATTTGCTTTTCCTGCTTTCTGGAAAAAAGGATGTTGTCCCTGTGGTCTAAATCCTGGGGCTCAAGCCCTTTCCCTGGAGCTTAGGTGGGGCTCAGGCTGTGACTCCTGCAGCCATTGGGAGAGGCTGCTGAGACTTTCTTCTCTCTCATTATTAAGCACACTCCACTCTGTTTTCTGGAGACGCATCTGGGAATGCATGTGGCCATTAGGAATGAGGGCATAAGCTTCTTTGGTCAAAGTGGGGTGAGGATGTGGAATTGATCCTGTGCTGTGTAAACTGTCACAGAGTCACCTTCTTCACCGGTAGTGTTAGAAGAGCCTGTAAAAGTTGTTGGAATCCAACTGGAGTCCCTTGTGTTCAAACCCTGACAAATGGAGCTGAGGAAGGCCATTTATGGAAGCTTCTCATGCACATACCCCTGAGAACAAGACCTAGCTTTATAACACTCCAAAAAACCACAAATTGAACAAAGGCAACCACAACAATAAAAGAATTACTTATATCCCTAAGAACAACAGCTAGCTTTATAACACTCAGAATAGCCACAACTGTGCACAAAGGCAACCACAACAACAAAATAATTACTTATATCCCTAACAACAAGAGCTAGTTTTATAACACTCAGAAAAGCCACAACCTTGCACAAAGGCAACCACAACAATAAAAGAATTACTTCTGTGAAAATATCTGCACAGCAACTGCCTGTCCAACCTTACACTGATGTCAACCTTGTTATTGATGCTTCTAGCCTGGGATCGTTCTCATCAAAATGTCATTCAGATGCTGCGTATGACAAAAATTGTGTTTTTCAGTGCAGTCATGTTCTAGTAAAGCCCTCAGAGACCCTCTCCTTCACCTGTGCTGCCTCTGGATTTCTGATCATAACCAGTACTTCCTCCTGGAGCTGGATCTGCCAGCCCCTAGGGAAGGAGCTGAAGTGGGTCAGGTGTGTAGGTCATGAGGAAGCACACAGTACCACCCGCTTCTCAAGAGTCCAGTCACCACCTCCAGATACACATTCAGAAAGCAGTTTTTCCTACAGCTGGGCTACATGTGCAATGAGTACACCACCATGGATTTTTATACAAAAGACACAGAGGGGGAAGTCATTGTGAGGCCAGACACAAACCTCCCTGCAGGGAAGCTCAGGACACCAGGGGGTGCTCAGGTCACCAAGGGGCGCTCAGGACACATTAAGGCAGGTGCAAGAGGGGAAAAAAGGTGCTGGAGATGGGGTTTTTCATCACTGACATATTTTACTCTCCACCATATGTATTCTAATGTATATTATTGTATTATTAGACAATGATATTTATATAAATATATAGCCACACGTAGGTGCACCAAGTTGTCCTCTCCATCTAATGTGGACCTTGTCCTTCAGGACTAAGTCCTTGTATATATTTGAGCACCTCATAAATTATGGTCAATTATGTAGGATCTCTCACTTGTTCTGTGTCCCTTCCTCCCTCCTCTCTCACACACAAACTGACACACACAAAGAGTTCTACAACTTTAATTACCTGATGTGTTGAAGAAAATGTATTGAAGTGCAGCTTTTTCAGTTTAACTGCTGTTCACGTTGATGTAGGAATAAGAACATTGTCTTTCTCAACTGTGTAGTTCTCTAAGCTGAGTAGCACCTTTCTTTATAATACCCAGATACTGAAAGCAATCCAAATATTGATCAGCAGGTTAAGCAGTAAACACTTTGTTCTAAATTCATTCACTTGAATAATACCCACTGTTCAAACAAGTACTGCTGGAAATGAGCAACAAGGGTAAATTCACAAGTACTTATGACGAGTAACATAAACCAAAGAAATACAAGTACATACATACAGTTCCACTTTTATAAATTCTATAAAATGAAAACTAATCTAAAGTTACATAATGAAAACCAGTAGTTGGCCGTGGTCATGGTATGAGAAGGGAAGGTGTAGGAAGCGGAAATTACAGGACAACAAGAGGAAATTTTGAGGATTATTTTTTCTGTATTGAGAAAAGTTACGGTTATGTCATTATTTGTTAAATTGTACACATTAAGGGAAGATTGTTACTTTCTAATTTCAACTTATTAAAATACTAAAAATTTAAACATATATAATTTGGTAGAAAAGAATTTAGAGATGGATAAAATATATGAGAAATAAAAAAGAAAATCTCAGAACGATGGCATAAGGACTTCAATCATCAAACTAAAGAAATTTTAAATTTCTCAACACAGAATTAAAGATTCATAAAACAAGCTCCTGGATCGTTGATTTTTTGAAGTTGATTTTCATGTCTTTATCTCCTTCAGTTCTGCTCTGATCTTAGTTATTTCTTCTCTTCTGCTAGCTTTTGAATTTGCTCTTGCTTCTCTAGTTCTTTTAATTTTGATGTTAGGGTGTCAGTTTTAGATCTTTCCTGCTTTCTCTTGTAGGCATCTAGTGCTATAAATTTCCCTCTACACACTGCTTTAAATGTGTCCCGGAGATTCTCATATGTTGTGTCTTTGTTCTCTTTGGTTTCAAAGATCATCTTTATTTCTGCCTTCATTTCTTTATTTACCCAGTAGACACTCAGGAACAGGTTTTTCAGTTTCCATGTAGTTGTGCAGTTTTGAGTGAATTTCTTCATCCTGAGTTCTAATTTGATTATTGCACTGTGGTCTGAGAGACTGTTTGTTATGATTTCTGTTCTTTTGCATTTGGCGAGGAGTGTATTACTTCCAATTATATGGTCAGTTTTAGAATATGTGCGATGAGGTGCTGAGAAGAATGTATATTCTGTTGACTTGGGGTGGAGAGTTCTGTAGATATCTATTAGGTCTGCTTGGTCCAGAGCTGACTTCAAGTCCTAAATATCCTTGTTAATTTTCTGTCTCATTGATCTGTCTAATATTGACAGCGGGGAGTTAAAGTCTCCCACTCTTGTTGTGTGGGAGTCTAAGTCTCTTTGTAGGTCTCTAAGGACTTCCTTTATGAATCTGGGTGCTCCTGTATTTGGTGCATATATATTTAGGATATTTAGCTCTTCTTGTTGCATTGATCCCTTTACCATTATGCAGTGCCTTTCTTTGTCTCTTTTGATCCTTTTTGGTTTAAAATGTTTTATCAGAGATTAGGATTGCAACTCCTGCTTTTGTTTTTTTTCTTTTTTTCTTTTTTTTGCTTTCCATTTGCTTGGTAAATATTCCTCCATCCCTTTATTTTGAGCCTATGTGTGTCTTTGCACATGAGATGGGTCTCCTGAATACAGCACATCAACAAAATAGATAGAAAGTTAGCCATATTAATAAAGAAGAAAAGAGAGAAGAATCAAATAGGTGCAATAAAATGTAATATAGGGGATATCACTACTGATCCCACCGAAATACAAACTACCATCAGAGAATACTATAAAAACCTCTATGCAAATACACTAGAAAATCTAGAAGAAGTGGATAAATGCCTGGACACATACACCGTCCCAAGTCTAAAGCAGGAAGAAGTCGAATCCCTGAATAGAACAATAACAAATTCTGAAATTGAGGCAGTAATTAATAGCATACCAACCAAAAAAAGTCCAGGACCAGATGGATTCACAGCCAAATTCTACCAGAGGTACAAAGAGGAACTGTTACCATTCCTTCTGAAACTATTTCAAACAATAGAAAAAGAGGGACTCCTCTCTAACTCTTTTTATGAAGCCAGCATCATCCTGATACCAAAACCTGGCAGAGACATAACAAAAAAAAAAAAAGTTCAGGCCAATATCCCTGATGAACATCAATGCACCAATTCTCAATAAAATACTGGCAAACCGAATCCAGCAGCACATCAAAAAGCTTATCCACCACGATCAAGTCGGCTTCATCCCTGGGATGCAAGGCTGTTTCAACATATGCAAATCAATAAGTGTAATCCATCACATAAACAGAACCAATGACAGAAACCACATGATTATCTCAATAGATGCAGAAAAGGACTTCAACAAAATTCAACACCCCTTCATGCTAAAAACTCAATACTCTAGGTATCCATGGAATGTATCTCAAAATAATAAAAGCTATTTATGGCAAACCCACAGCCAATATCATATGGAATGGGCAAAAACTGGAAGCATTTACTTTGAAAACCAGCAGAAGACAACGATGCCTCTCTCACCACTCCAATTCAACATAGTATTGAGAGATCTGGCCAGGGTAATCAGGCAAGAGAAAGAAATAAATTGTATAAAAATAGGAAAAGAGGAAGTCAGATTGTCTCTGTGTGCAGATGACACGATTGTATATTTAGAAAGCCCCATCGTCTCAGCCCAAAATCTCCTTAAGCTGATAAGCAACTTCAGCAAAGTCTCAGGATACAAAATCAATGTGCAAAAATCACAAGCATTTCTATAACCCAATAACAGAAAAACAGAGAGCCAAATCATGAGTGAACTCCCACTCAAAATTGCTACAAAGAAAATAAAATACCTAGGAATACAACTTACAAGGGATGTGAAGGATCTCTTCAGGGAGAACTACAAACCACTGCTCAAGGAAATAAGAGAGGACCGAAACAAATGGAAAAACATTCCATGCTCATGAATAAGAAGAATAAATATCATGAAAATGGCCATACTGCCCAAAGCAATTTATAGATTGAATGCTGTCCCCATCAAACTACCAATGACTTTCTTCACAGAATTGGAAAAAACTATTTTAAAGTTCATATGGAACCCAAAAAAATCCTGCATAGCCATGACAATCCTAAGCAAAAAAAAAAAAAAACAAAGCTGGAGGCATCATGCTACCTGACTTCAAACTATACTACAAGGCTACAGTAACTGAAACAGCATGGTACTGGTACCAAAACAGATATATACACCAATGGAACAGAGCAGAGGCCTCCCAAATAACAGCACACATCTACAACCATCTGATCTTTGACAATCTTGACACAAACAATGGGGAAAGAATTCCAGAACTATTTAATAAGTGGTGTTGGGAAAACTGGCAAGCCATATACAGAAAACTGAAACTGGACCCCCTTCCTTACAGCTTATACAAAAATTAACTCAAGATGGATGAAAGACTTATCAAGACCTGAAACCATAAAAATCCCGGAAGAAAATCTAGGCAATACCATTCAGGACATAGGCATGGGCAAAGACTTCAAGTCTAAAACACCAAAAGCAATGGCAACAAAAGCTAATACTGATAAATGAGATATAATTAAAGTAAAGTGCTTCTGCACAGCAAAAGAAACTATCATCAGAATGAACAGGCAACCTACAGAATGGGAGAAAATTTTTGCAATCTATCCATCTGACAAAGGGCTAATATCCAGAATCTACAACAAATTTACAAGAAAAACAAAAACCATCAAAAAGTAGGTGAAGGATACGAACAGACATTTCTCGAAAGAAGACATTTATGCAGCCAAAAAAACATGAAAAAATCCTCCTCATCACTGGTCATTAGAGAAATGCAAATCAAAACCACAGTGAGATACCATCTCACACCAGTTAGAATGGTGACAATTAAATAGGAAACAACAGATGCTGGAGAAGATGTGGAGAGATAGCAACATTTTTACACTGTTGGTGGGAGTGTAAATAAGTTCATCCATTGTGGAAGACAGTGTGGCGATTCCTCAAGGATCTAGAACTAGAAATACCATTTGACCCAGCAATCCCATTACTTGGTATGTACCCCAAGGATTATAAGTCATTCTACTACAAAGACACATGCACCCGTGTGTTTATTGCGGCACTATTCCCAATAGCAAAGACTTGAAACCAACCCAAATGTCCATCAATAATAGACTGGATAAAGAAAATGTGGCACATATACACCATGGAATACTATGCAGCCATAAAAAAGGATGAGTTCATGTCCTTTGCAGGGACATGGATGAAGCTGACAACCATCATTCTCAGCAAACTAACAGAAGAACAGAAAACCAGACACCGCTGTTTTCACTCGTAAGTGGTAGTTGAACCATGAGACCACATGGACACAGGGAGGGGAATATCACACACTGAGGCCTGTTAGGAGGTAAAGGGCTAGGGGAGGGATAGCATTAGGAGAAATACCTCAAGTAGATGGCAGGTTGATGGGTGCAGCAAACAACCATGGCGTGTGTATGTATACCTATGTAACAAAACTGCACATTCTGCACATGTACCCCAGAACGTAAAGTATAATTTAAAGAAAGGATTACATATTCCATTAAATATCTATGAGAAATCAGTGACTCCTGAATATACATATGAATACACGCTGGGTCTACCTGTATTTTTAGGGAAACACTAGAATACAGCAAAATAATGTCATGATTTTATTAAAAATGGGAGTTTATCAAACCACACCAGGCATGTCCAGCTCTATCCTGGAGTTGGTTCAGGGAACAGGTGGGTCCTGTGTTTAGCAGCCATGACAACAAGCTCACAGCGTCAGTTCTAGTTGACACCTCAAAAAGGCGAAGGGATCTCAACTAAAATGTCATGTGGATGTCACATCTGTGGGTGCTGCGTACTCCCTCGATGTGAATATGGAAAAGTTAATTACCTCTTGAGGGGTCTGTTGAGATTAGTGCTGGTCTCTAAGGAACACCCAAAATGGCTCGATAGAGCCAGAAAGCAGACTGGCTCAGGGCTTTTGTGATGGTTTCGTGGTGGGTCAGAGTGAGGCTTTCCACTCACAGGAAGGGGATTGCACAGTGTGAAACACCCACTGGTGTCAAATGAGGAAGCTCCTGCGATTCCTAACTAGATTCACATTGTGTGATAAAAGACACACAATAGACATAACTTCATGGTCGGATATCACAAAATGCTGTTAAAAGATGTGGTAAAAAGGCAACTTTAAATTTTTAGTCATTGGAGTGTGTATAACACAAAAATCATTTTCAATATTTTGTAACACATGCATGCAATAGGACAAAGGTATGTGATGAGGGTAAAATCTCGAAAGTGTGAATCTTCCAGCTACCAAGTCATAGGGTAATAACTGATGTGTGCTGAGGGAGGAAACCATCATGCCATAGTGCTAATGGTATAACCCTTGGTGAATAGAGTTCAATATTTTATTGAAGTTTTCACAATTTTTATTTGAAGGTGCCATTTTTCAATATATTCAGATGATTGTGAGTGCCATTGATTCTGTATCATATGAACAATGGCAATACCTTCCATGTTTACATAATATTAAAAACCATGTTAAGACTGAATATTTGGTGTAATGGTGCATCACATTATTCTAGCTTCCATACTAGTTGTTTTATTTGTTTGTTTTCTCCTTTGTTGGCATTTGGTTTCAAATTCATATGTCAGGTCTCTATAATGTAGGAATTTATTTAAAAGTGTCTTTTTTTGTCCATTTTGATGGGGCTTCTAGGAGACATAAGAACCTCCTCTGCTTGCAACACATTTCAAAATTACACACTAATGTAGAACATCTGTATTTAATCCTGGTTTTTAGTTAATTGACAAGCTCTAATAAGAGAATTAACTTCTCCATTCTGGGCTGATTTTACATCAGGTATAGGAATATACCCTAGGTGAAAGTTTGTACCAGTAATATGAATTATTAGGTAATAACCTCCACCTTTATGATTTAGGTGTTATTCATCAAGAAATAGTGTTAAATCAGGAGTCTCAATGAAAGTATTACTTAAGGGATATATAAAATATGTTGCTAATCTACATAAAACAGATGTGAACACACTCTTAGTATCCAGCCATGTTTCCTGTCAACCACACAGTAACTTTGACTTCACTTGGGACTTGTTCTAATTTTCAAATTAGTTACTTATTAATCTTAATGCTTCTAGATATTATGTGTGACTATTTTAGCAGAGAGTGAAGAAAGACAACCTAGGCTGACTACACAATGAGGAAAATCACAACCTGATGAAACAGGAAGCCTCTGGAAGTGAGTGGCTCCAGGATTGAATAATTTGACAGCTCATGTGCCCAAGAAGTTTCTTTTCTCAATTTTCCACACTGATGCATCCAGAAAGTCAGCTTCACCCCTCAGGTGACTCCCATCATGCAGTTACATGGTGACAATATTCCCATGGTCACATACATATTTTATATATTGGCTGGAAAAGGGGCAGAGACAGTTCTGCAATTCTCCTCTGAAGGACCAGGAACACCTGAACAGACCACCTCCCCTGCCCCCATGACTAGAACTGCACCACGTGCCCACATGGACACTCATCCCTGATGGGGATAATAAGACTCCATTGATGAGGCCAACTATTTTAGCATATAAATTAGTAAAGACTGATATAAAGGTTTCAACAATTAATTGAAGTCTGTTCTTCTATGTCCACCAGAGACTACAGATGCTCCAGTGATATCTTGTTTTTCTTTGCTGCGTGACTGGGTCTCTTCTCCTTGTTCCATCCTTCAGAGAATCTCTTTCAGCTCCCACAGGTGCATTCCTCCGTTATATGTAACTGACAATTGATAAATTAGTGGAAGCCCTTACACTGAAGGAAGAGTCTCTGACCTCATCTCGGTCCATATTCCTAGAAAGGCATTGTGCCCGTAAGTCTGGGTGTGACCTTCTGAGTGTTCCTGACCCTCCTCCAGATGAGATGCTCATCTGTGTGTTCTTGTCCCTTCCACTGGGGTACAGCCCCCCTGTTTCCCCCAGGTGTTCCCTCCCACAGCTCCAGTGTTCCCCGTCAGTGTCATCACCTCCCAGATCTGCTGCCCTGCCCTGCAGACTAAAGCTCTGATTCCATAAGAAAGAGAGTTATGTCTCAACAGAACTTCGTGGCAGTGACCTCTGTTCCCATCTCAATTCCTGAGGAGTTTCACCAGTGCCCGTAGGTTACTGGTTTTGGTGGTACCCCTGCAAAGTAATTTTTAGTTCTGTAGTGGATATAAGGGAGTCGAGTCTGAATGCCTTTCAAAAATGGGGGCTCTTGTTCTCTCCCAGACAGACACTTTGGGAAAGGAAGATTTTGTGACTGCCCCTTTTTTGGGGAAAGGGATTCAAGAGGATAGAAAAGCTCTTCAGTATGTGGTCCCTTAGAATTTCAAACTACAACAAGCTAACCATATTCAATTTCAAGCAATCCCATATATATTTGTATTTTTATCTTTAACAGCCTATATTTCATACGCCAGACTCTGCCTTAGGTAATCTCATATGCTGGCTTTGTTACTCTCTACAAGAACTTGCTTCTTGTTAAATTTAAGATTTTTTTTAACTTCAGTTATCCTAAGCATTCAGAAATTTGCAAAATTTCATCTTGACTGTTTATCTGTTATTGTTGATGTAGTTGTAAGAAAAAAAGAAAATATATTCCTCATTTATGTACATTTTCAAGTTGAGTAGTAGATTTTTAGTACTACCAGAGTAATAAAATAATTTGAACATTGTTAAGCTGCTTAACAGAAAATCAAATTATGGTAAATTAGTTCAATGGAATACTACACAACATTTATAATAAATAATTGTCTGATACATGCAACAAGAAGGTAAAATATCTAAGTATTTTTGCTGAGTAAAATAAACCAGACAAATGAGAAGATTTACCATATAATTTCATTTATATAAATTCTGGAAAATAAAAACTGAACTTAAGCAATATAACAACAAGGTAAAATATCTAAGTATTGATGTTCAGGAAAATAAAGCAAACAGGAATATGTACTATGTTATTCCATTTTAATAAATTCTGATAAATTAAATTGAATCTACAGCAATATAAAGAAGATCAGAATTTACCATTTGGGGAAATAGTAGAAGAAGGGAAGAGGAAAGGAGGAGGAATATGGAAGAATGAGAGGGAAATTTTGAGAATTTTCTGGTTCACCTTGATAACTAGGATGGTTACATCAGGTTTATCAATTGTACACTTTAAATATGTGAAGTTTATTATCAGTAAACTGAAATTTATAAAATTTATTACCAGCAAACAAATGAAAACTTGCACAAGAAGTAAGTGATATAAAGATAGAAAAAATACTAAATTTCAGAAACACCTAATAATTTATCTTCGTGAACCCTAGTTCTCACCATATTTTTAGGTGAATGCTAGAATGCAGCAAAATTACACATGTTCTCAATACAGAAAGTGGGTTTCACAAACCACACTAGGCATGCCCAGCTCTGTCCTGGAGTTGGGTTAGGGAGTAATATAGGGCCAGTGGATGAGGAGCACAGGCCCAGATACTGGGGCTCACTAACCTCAGGTATGAGCTCTTAGATACATACAAAGCCCCTCCACGTATGGGTTTACTTCGCCATCTGTAAATGGAGAAACCATTGACCCCTAAAAATATGATTTACACAAATATGTAAAAATGTAAGAGAGTGATTAGTGCAAAGTGTTTATCACAGCACAATTTCCTAATAAGACAGCAAGTTTTCCAAACACCATCATTGTCATCAGATTCTTGCAGGGCATCATTACCTTATCTGGGCACTGCCCTCTGCTCAGGCGTCCCACCCCAGAGCTTGCTATATAGTAGGTGACATGCAAATAGGGCCCTCCCTCTCCTGATGAAAACCAGCCCAGTCCTGACCCTGCAGCTCTGGGAGAGGAGCCCCAGCCTTGGGATTCCCAAGTATTTTCATTCAGTGATCAGGACTGAACACACCGGAATCACCATGGAGTTTGTGCTGAGTTGGGTTTTCCTTGCTGCTATTTTAAAAGGTGATTTATGGAGAGCTAGAGAGATTGAGTGTGAGTGGACATGAGTGAGAGAAACAGTGGATATGTGTGGCAGTTTCTGACCTTAGTGTCTCTGTGTTTGCAGGTGTCCAGTGTGAGGTGCAGCTGGTGGAGTCTGCGGGAGGCCTTGGTACAGCCTGGGGGGTCCCTTAGACTCTCCTGTGCAGCCTCTGGATTCACTTGCAGTAACGCCTGGATGAGCTGGGTCCGCCAGGCTCCAGGGAAGGGGCTGGAGTGGGTTGGCTGTATTAAAAGCAAAGCTAATGGTGGGACAACAGACTACGCTGCACCTGTGAAAGGCAGATTCACCATCTCAAGAGATGATTCAAAAAACACGCTGTATCTGCAAATGATCAGCCTGAAAACCGAGGACACGGCCGTGTATTACTGTACCACAGGCACAGTGAGGGGAGGTCAGTGTGAGCCCAGACACAAACCTCCCTGCAGGGGCGCGCGGGGCAACCAGGGGGCGCTCGGGACCCACTGAGGACGGGACAGGTCCCAGGAGCTGGTGCCGGGAGAGGTTTCCTTTCTCCTCAGCTGGAAAAGTCACGTTTATCTTCGCAGGACTCTGGAGTCTTCTAGGCTGTGATATTTTGTTACTTATATTTATTATGAATTTTATCATTAATGTTTAAATTTTAGTAATTATTAACATTCTACATATTATTATATTTTTAAGTATATACTTTCAAGAAATAAACATTCCTAATTGTTTGCACTGATTCTTCCAGAGTTTTATTAACATTTGTTGACATCAGCAACTACATAGCTATAGGGACAAAAATTTATACCCATAGAAAGATGTATAAATACACAGACCAATGCATATATATGTAGGCATTTGTATTAAACATTACAATGAAATGATAAAAAAAGTTTGAAAAAAATCAAACTTAATTAACTACATTATTAACTTTTAATTATTAAATTATTACAGTAATTCATAATTGATTTCCCAGATTTTCAATTGTTTACATAAATTGGTTTCTATGGTTCATTTAAAATAGTACATTGGTCATTTTAAAGAGCTAAGAGTAAATGTTAAATGTTGTCACAATAAAAGATAAAAATTTGAAACAATGAATGATAATTATATCAGTTATTTCTTAATTATCTTAGTTATTTCATATTGTATTCACAAATCATAACATTGCCCTTTACCATGTACATATAAACAACCATAATTTGTAAATTTGCAATAAAATTTTTATTGTAACTTTTTATATTTATCCCAGATTATAATCTTTTTCTTCACTTCCAGATCTCACTGGATTGTCTCAAGGGCCCCATCCACACCACTGACCCCTGATGAAAGGCTCTAGGCTGTGGCCAGGAGAGGCAGTCTCTTCTTCCAGAGCACACCCTGTTTGAGGGGGAGATGTCATCTCTGCCCTTGAGGAGCCCCAGCTGATGGGGGAGCTTTTGCCCTTAGGAAGCTCTCAGTCTGATGGGGAAGACGCTGTCCCTGCCCTCAGGAGGCTCTTGGTCTGAGAGGGGAGACATAATTCATTCTCTCTGAGTGCCCTCAGTCTGATGGGGGAGACACCGTCCCTGCCCTCAGGAGGCTCCCAGTCTGATGGGGGAATATTGGCTCTGTCCTCAGGAGTCCGGTCTAAGGAGGGTGTCTCAGCCCCACTCCTGAGGGTAAGGATTCCATGGCCACAGTCTGGACAGTGGGCCAGTCACGCTTGACAGTGGGCATGTTGCCAGCAGGACCCTTTGGGATGTGTCTGAGCCTGGAGGTGAGTGGCACGGGGGCTGGCAAGGCTAGGGTGGAGGCAAGCAGGTTCTGCTGTCTGCCGCCTTCACACCTTTCTCCTTCCACATGCATAGATGAGCCCACCAGCCCCAGCACTGACCTCCAAGCCAAGCATGTCCCTGCCTTTGCTGTGGTCTCCAGTGCCATGAACTCAGCCGCTGTCCTGGGCACCAGCCCATCTTCCCCGACCTTCACCTTCACCCTCGGACGGCATTACTCGCGGGACTGCAGTGAGCTCTCCCCACACCCCCAGCCCCACCCTTTCCCTCACTGCCCACTCCCAGGGGTCTCTGTTGGGTCTGCTGCTTGATGTCTGGCCTCTTCCTCTGGTTTCCGCTTCTCCTGGGGCACCTTGGGAGAGTCACCTCCGGCCCCTGCCTAGAAGGGAGGGCTCTGGGAAGCCCCTGACCTGCTGCCCCGCTGACCCTGAGGCCCGATGCGGGCGGCTTTGCAGGCAGCATCAAGGCTGGCCGCCGCTCCTCCTACCTGCTGGCCATCACCACGGAGCGCTCCAAGTCCTGCGATGATGGACTCAACACCTTCCGCGATGAGGGCCAGGTTCTGCGGTGAGGCCCTGTCTGGACATGGGGTGGGGTGGCCACAGCCACCCTGGCCAGCTGCTCTGGGGCAGGGCTTTTGGCCCTGGGGGTCCTCTATGCATGGGACAGTGTGTCTCCCCCGCTGGAAGGCTTCTGGGCTTGGGGTTTGGTGGGTGACGAGATAGTGAGGTCCCAGCTTTGCTGCCCACATCCCTCACCCTCCACCCTTGCTTCCCAGGCACCTGCCAAACCGCATACCCAGCCTGCCGTTGCTCCGGAGCTTCTTCACAGACGGGGTGAGTTGCAGGTCTGTGTGTGTGCGCAGGAGTGAGGGTGTGGGGAGAGAGGGTGTCAGGGAGGTGGGGCCACAGCCTCGGCATGGGGGTTCCTGCTCCAGCTCCTGCCTTCCCCCTCCTCCCTGCACCCCTCACCCTTGTGTCCACCGCGGGACCGGCCCTCTGCTGTGGGCCCCGACTTCCCTGAATGACACCATGCAGCCCCACCCAGGGGCCCCCGTCTGGACTGCCTCTTTCCAGACCCATCCCCCATAGCCACACGACTCACTTCTCCACTGTCTTTGCAGCTTTTTAGGTCTTCCCTGAAATTCCAGTCTCCACTCCTGACATTTCATGCCTCCCTTCGCTACTCTGTTTTCCTCCTCAGCACGCCTCATGCACAATTGGTGTTTCCCTTCCTCCCTGCCTGGCTCCCCAGCTAGAATAGAAGCTCCCCGAGCTTATATTTGGTGCTTCATTTGTTTCCTTCACTACCCTGAGTCAGTATTTGCATCGCGTCTTGTCTTCATGGGATGGGGTCGGGGTGGACACTGGAAAGGTGTGGCCTGGACACAGGGTTGAGATTGGTGGACAGGTGGAGTTCCCAGCCTCAGGACCTGGGGAGGCAGGATCAGGCCTGTGATAGCCCTGGCTGTTTGTTTGTTTTGAGACAGAGTCTCACTCTATTGCCCAGTCTGGAGTGCAGTGGCATGATCTTGGCTCACTGCAACATCCACCTCCTGGGTTCAAGCTATTGTCCTGCCTCAGCCTCCCGAGCAGCTGGGATTACAGGCGTGTGCCACCACACCTGGGTAATTTTTGTATTTTTAATAGAGACTGGGTTTCACCATGTTGGCCAGACTGGTCTTGAACTCCTGACCTCAGGTGATCCACCCACCTCGGCCTCCCAAAGTGCTGGGATTACAGGCCTGAGCCACCGCACCTGGCCTCAAGTGATCTTCTTGCTTCGGCCCCCCAAAATACTGGGATTACAGGCATAAGCCACCACACCTGGACATATTGTTGTTTTTAAAATCACATATATATTTTTCATGCACGATTTTTCTTTTTTTTTTGAGATGGAGTCTCACTCTATTGCCCAGGCTGGAGTGCAGTGGCACGATCTCAGCTCACTGCAACCTCCATCTCCTGGGTTCAACCAATTCTCGTGCCTCAGCCTCCCGAGTAGCTGGGATTATAGGCATGCGCCACCACACCTGACTAATTTTTGTGTTTTTAGTAGAGATGGGGTTTCACCATGTTGGCCAGGCTGATCTTGAACTCCTGACCTCAAGTGATCTGCCTGTCTCAGCCTCCCAAAGTGCTGGGATTACAGGCATGAGCCACCGTGCCCGCCCCATCTTTCCCTGGCTGTTTTTGATTCTAGATGGACTGGAAAAGCCATCTTGATGTCAAGCGCTCTGTCTCATTGGTTGGTTGAACACCCCGGTGATATTGGCACCTAGCTTATTTCTTATCACTTCTTCTGCTTACTTAACTCTCCCTTGACTTGCGCCCTCTGGCTGGAGTCCTGTTGACACTGTCACTTCCTCTGTTTAACGCCTCGTGGACATGACTACCTGCTCCACTCACTCAGCCTTTGTTGATGTTCCCACTTCCCCTGTTTATTTAACTCCTCGTTGACACGATCACTTCCTCCATTTCCTTAATTCTTCTAAGTCTATAAAGTTACAGGAGGCTCCGAATTGGCTCCTCTAGCATGGTGAGGCGTGTGGTCTGCTGACAGGTCATAGCCTTTCCTCCTTTCTGGCTTCTCCTTTACGTATGTCTCATGACCTCAACACAAGTGGTCCAGAGAGGACAAGCAATGCCCATGAGGTCGCACGGCACATCGGGGTGTAGCACAGACATATATCAGGACTGTGCGGCCACAAGTGGTCCATGGGGTTCCTGAGATGCTGGCATTGTGGGAGCCACCCTAAATTGTCCTCTGTTGTCTCCCTGCAGTCCTTGGATAGCTGGGGCACCTCTGAAGACGCTGACGCTCCTTCTAAGCGACACTCAACCTCTGACCTCTCAGATGCGACCTTCAGCAATATCAGGAGAGAAGGCTGGTTGTATTATAAGCAGATTCTCACCAAGAAGGGGAAGGTAAGATGGGTGGAGGAATGAGGTGAAAGCTGGCTCCAGCAGAACCCTCCAGCCTCTCCTAGGCCTACCCTGACAGCCTCTGGAGCCAGAGAGAACCAGTGTAGGTTGTTGCATGAAGGATGGAGGATAGATGTTAGGAAGAACTTCCTGGCAGGGGGATTTAAAGAACTTATGTAAAAGAAGTTAACAAGAGAGGTGGATTTTGCTGTGGGATGGATCTGATCGAGTCGTGCTTGGAATTCTGGCAAAACCATCCCACAGTGGCCCTGGCTTGACAGGCCATCCTGAAGATGGCCGCTGGGGCTCATGGAAAATAAGGAGCAAGGCTGGGGTGATTTCCGTAGGAGAGTTAAGGCCCAAGAAGATGCAGGCAAGCCAGCAAAGGGCTTAGTGTTCATCCTAAGGGCAACCAAAAGCTCTCGGGGGCTCTTGCCAAGGGAGTTACAGCTTTAAAATATTCATTTGGCTCCCTGGGAGTGAGTTAGGGAGGGGCCACGCTGGAGGCAAGAAGACCAGTTAGAGCCACCGTGGAGATCCAGGTGAGAGGCAAAGGGGGCTTTGGGGAGTACTTGGGGAGGGCCTGGGAGGGAACCAGCAGGACTCTGAGAGGAGAAGGGCAGAGCCCCTGGATCCATGGGGTGCAAATCCTGGCCCCAGGCTGTGCTGTGGGCTGGAGAAGTGGGAGGAGAGACCACTGCCTTCCCTCCCGGCAATTAGGATGAACCCGGGTTTGACTCTTGACTACATCGCCCATTGCTCTGAGAGCCTGGGTGACTCACCTGGCCGTGACTCAGTGTCCTCGTCTGTAAATGGAGCTAACAGTAATCCCTAGCTCATAAGCCTATTGCTAAGGATTAAATGAGATGATCTAAGTAAAGGGTTTACCCAGTGCCCGGCACTTGAAGCTGCTGTACTTCTGCTTACTGCTATTTGTTTTCTTTTTTTGAGATGGAGTCTCGCTCTGTTGCCCAGGCTGGAGGGCAGTGGCGCGATCTCGGCTCACTACAACCTCTACCTCCTGGGTTCAAGCAATTCTCCAGCCTCAGCCTCCTGGGTAGATGGGACTACAGGCACTCACCACCAAACCCAATTAAATTTTTTTTTTGTATTTTTTTAGTAGAGACGGAGTTTCACCATGTTGGTCAGGCTGGTCTCGAACTCCTGACCTCAAATGATCTGTCTGCCTTGGCCTCCCAAAGTGCTGGGATTACAGGCGTGAGCCACTGTGCCCAGCCCACTTACTGCTATTTGAATTTTTTGCCCTGCCTTCTGGGGTCTTGAGGGTCCCTGGAAAGAACATAAGCTTTGAAGCAGACAGACTTCGAGTTCCTATCCAGCCACATATCAAGCACATGGCTTTGGGCACCCCACTTACCTTCCCCGAGCCTCACTTTCTGATCTGTACGATGGGAACAATGTTATCCTACCCCAAGGGCTGCTGTGGATTAAGTGAGGGTGAAGTCGAGGCGGGACTGATGCGCCTCCGTGGAGAATGACTAAGGCCTCCCTGCTCGGGAGCCTCTGTGGAGGTTCTGGGGAGTTAGTGGTGAGGGAGCCAGGGCAGCCCTGCCCTCCTGGGGCTCCTGTTGCTCCTGTTGAGCGGAGAGAACGCATGTGGCATCATGGTTCCAAGTGCACAGACTGCCGTGATGCCCGGGTGCAGGGGCAGGTGGGCATGGGTAGGGAGGTATCCAGAGGCTGAGACATGAAAGGATGAGAAGCCACAAAACTGGGAGACAGTGGAGGGGCCTGACAGGGAGGATGTCTCCTT
Source organism: Homo sapiens (assembly GCF_000001405.40). Lineage (NCBI taxonomy): Eukaryota > Metazoa > Chordata > Mammalia > Primates > Hominidae > Homo > Homo sapiens. Next base: position 32,921,597 of record NC_000016.10, read on the forward strand.
AGAGGGTCCTGGGGAGAGGTGGGGAGAGGTGTGCTGGGAGCCAGGGCGAGAGGTGGAAGATGAGCTGGGGAATTGGGCGCCTGCCCAGAGTGTGGGGCCTTCATACCCAGAAAGAGCCTGTCCAGGGTTTTATTATTTTATTTTATTTTATTTTATTTTATTTTATTTTATTTTATTTTATCTATTTTTGAGACGGAGTTTCACTCTGTTGCCCAGGCTGGAGTGCAGTGGTACGATCTCAGCTCACTGCAACCTCCGCCCCCCGGGTTCAAGCAATTCTGGAGCCTCAGCCTCCTGGGTAGCTAGGACTACAGGCACCTGCTACCACACCCAGCTAATTTTTGTAGTTTTAGTAGAGACTGGGTTTCACTATGTTGGCCAGGCTGGTCTCGAACTCCTGACCTCAAGTGATCTGCCTGCCTCGGCCTCCCAAAGCGCTTGGATTACAGGCATGAGCCACCGTGCCCGGCTCTGTCCAGGGTTTTAAATGTGGGCTGGGGCTGGCAGGAGACTGGGGTTATGTCTGTGACAGGAGGAGCCAATCCCATTGCCCTTGTCCAGGTGAGTGAGGCTGGGGGCCCCAACCCAAGGCAGTGGTGTGGGGCTGGGTGGAGCGGACACTTTAGAGAGAGATTCCATGGGAAGGACGGCCAGGGCTTGCAGGCTGCTGGGAGGTATGGAAGGAGGAGGAGGCGATAAGGTTCCTGGATTCCTGGCTTGGGCTGAGGGAGGGTGGTGGGTGGTGAGACCCTCCCTGGGCCATGGCACACTGGAGGAGCAGGTTTGGGGAGAGGAAGCCAAGTGGCTCCACTTGGGCTATGTGAGTCTGAGGGCCCTGGGACAGACCCCAGTGGAGATGTCCTGGGGACAGAGGCTCTGAGGGCGTATTACTAGAGGGAGGCCCACCTGGGGACGGCCTTTGTCTGTCAGCACCCACGAGTTACATATGCCTCTGTGCAGGGGCTTGAAGGAAGAAGGCAAGAGACCTGGCTGAGCCTTGAGAGAAGTGGGGGGGCCGGGGAGGCCAACAGAGACCAAAAAGAGCCAGCAAGTTGGCAGCGACCCGTGGGGTGGGAGCCATGAGGCAAGGAGGGACCAGCCACGTGCACTGTGCGAGGAGAGCCGCAAGTGAGCCAGCCCTTCCAGTCTAACGTGTGAGCCACATGAAGGGTCCTTGTGAGGGTGGCTGGCTCCCCCTGCTGGGAAGCCTGACCCTCAGCTCCTGGGGACCCTGAGCCCAGTTCAGGGACAGGAGCTGTCCCCTTCCTGCTCACTGGCCAGTTCTGGAGGACCAGGCCTCCACTCCCTTGCTGGCCAAAACCCGATGTCACTTGTTCCTTTGGTGCTGTGGCCTGGACGTTAGAGGAGAGTCTTCAAGTCAGCCTCAGGCCCTTGGTCCACCCAGGCCATGGGCACCCTCTCTGTGCTCCCTCCCAGCCCCAGCCTCTTTCAGAGACACGGACTGTCAGGCAGAGGAGGGAAAGGGACAGTGACTTGTCCCCGCAGCCTCAGCCCCAGCATGGGAGCTGCATGCAGCCTTGGTGACCAACTCCCTCACTCATTTACCAGCCGGAGACACTGAGGCCTGGGAGTGCGGTTGACTTGTCCTAGGTCATGCCGCTGGTTTAGCCTCAGAGAGGTGCCCTTGTCACCACCTCACTGTCACATTAAAATTCTCCCTGGAGGGCTCTGCTGTCTCCTACTCTGAATGTCCCTGTCCCCCTCCAGCAGTTCTGTGATGAGCAGGGCTCACAGCTCAGGATCCACATGATGGGAGGCCAGATGTGGGCTGTGCCCATCTGCCAGCCACGGGACCTCTTTGTCTGGTTTGTTCTGAGAGCTGAGACCTGTGCTGGATGTGGAGCCACCAGCCAGCAGAGAGGAGCTCTTGGTCTGATGGGAGATGGAGCTCCTGCCCTCAGGGTGCTCCAAGGATCATTAATTCATTTATTCAACAAATATTGATGAGCGCTTGCATGCTGCTGTAGGCCCTGGGATATGGAAATGAGAGGACGGACAAGCTCCCTGTCCCCAGGACAGCCTGAGGCTGCAGTAAGTTCTTGGAAAGGATCAAGCTGATCAGAAGCGGGAGCTGCATTGAGGGAAAAATATGGCCAGAGAAGGCCTCGCTGAGGAGGTGACATTGGTGATGCTGGAGTTCAGATCTGAAGGGGAAGAAGGAAGCAGCCACATATAGAAGTGAGGGAGGGGGGCTTAGGCAGAAGGAACAGCAAGCAGAGAGGCCCTGAGAAAAGAAAGGCTTGGCTCGCTCACCTGCAAGGGCCCCCTGGCTTGACATAGTGAGAAAGGTGTGAAGATGAATTTGGAGAAAGGCAGGTACAGACCACAGGAGACTTTAGATTTGATTCTGAGGGCGATGGGATCTCTTGAGAGGATGCTGAGCATGGGAGAGATGTGATCTCCTTTTCATTCTAACATGATTGCTGCAGCTGCTGCTGGAGAATGGATGCAGGAGCAAGAGTAGAGACTGGGAAGGTCTGTGCATCCTCCAAGCAAGAGGCGTTGATGGCATGGAAAGATGTCTTTCCTCTGGCAGGAAAGACAGAGACAGGGGATGTTTTGGAGGCAGAACAGTTGTGACTTCCTGATGGATGGGATGTCAAGGGCGAGGAAAAGGGAGGAGTCAAGGGCAGCTCCCAGGTTTCTGGACAACTGGATGGATTGACTGAGCTGGAAAAGATGGGGGTAGAGAGTGGAGAAGAGGTTTGATGGTAAGAAATCACATGGCCTGGCAAGTATTGTGCAAAGTGCCCATGGGACCTGCAAATGAAGACACTGAGCAGGGTGGGGGTGCCGGGCTGTGGCTGGGGGAGATGCTGGGCTCGGGAATGGCCATCAGCAGGTGGACCTGGTTTAAAGGCATGGCACAGGTGACATCCTTGAGGGAGGTGTGCAGGGAGAGGAGAGGAGGGGAGAGTCAGGGCGAAGTTCTGGAGCTCCGCCTCCTTTAGGGCGGGGTCTGTTACCCTCTGCTCTGCTGACATTTTGAGCCAGATAATTCCTTGTTGGGGGAGGCTGTCCTGTGCATTGCGCAATGTTTAGCCGCATCCCTCAGATGCCATAGCACACCCTCCAGCTCCCTCCACACAAATGTCCCGTGGTGACGAGTCTCCTGGCTGTTTAACTACAGGTGTAGAGGGTGGGGGAGGGGAAGTAGAGAAGACTAGGAAGGAGCCAGTGGCATTAGGAAGAAAGCCGGGAACGTGGGGTCTCAGGTGCCGAGATGGGGTCTGGAGAGGGAAGGAGGGGCTGGCTGTGTCAGATGCCGCCAAGGGGTTAAGGCAAGTTGGGGAGAAGCAGCCATTGGCTTTGGCCACATGGCGGTTCTGGGTGTCCCTGAGAGGAGCTTCTGGGCAAGTGGAGTCTTGGGTGGGCGGCAGGAAAGTGGGGAGAACGACCCTCTAAGAGTGCGGACAGCTTCTGAGCAGGTTTGCTGGGGTGAGGGGCAGCCTGGGGAGGGGCGTGGGCTGGGAATGGCTTCCCGAGGATTTCATGTACGGAGGGCCATGCTGGGTGTCTGAGCATTGCCACCGCTCGGTGAGTGTTGATGCTGGTGTTTAGAGGGGGAGAGGGTTGGGGTCTGCTGGCGGGCTTTAGGGTGATGGGTAGGGGTGTCTAGGCAGGCGAGGGACTGAGAAAGCATTGGTGGGCTGTGGGCAGGAGGCTGCCCAGGTCTAGCCGGGTGGAGCAGGCGGCTCCTGGTAGGCAGCGTGGGGTCCATCCCCCGGCTGTCCGCTGTCTGCTACTGTGAGAGCAGTGGGCAGAACTGACCTCTCACCACTCCTGTTTCCCCCAACCCCGTGTCTCCCTGCAGAAAGCGGGCAGCGGCCTGCGCCAGTGGAAGCGGGTGTATGCCGCGCTGCTGGCGCGCTCGCTCTCGCTGAGCAAGGAGCAGCGGGAGCCCGGGCCGGCGGCGGCGGGGGCTGTGGGGGCCGGCGCAGGTGAGGACAAGGCGGCGCCCGTCTGCGTCGGCTCCTGCCTCGTGGACATCTACAGCGAGACCAAGAGGAGGCACGTGTTCCGGCTGACCACCGCTGACTTCTGTGAATATCTCTTTCAGGCTGAGGACCGGGATGACATGCTGGGGGGATCAGAGCGATCCGGGAGAACAGCAGGGCCGAGGGCGAGGTGAGGGCCCGGCCAGCCCGGCGGCCACAGAGGGCGGGCGGGGTGGCCTCTCACCGGCTGTGGACCTGGGATGTCCGCTCTGAGCCTCACTTCCCTCTGCTAGAAAGGGGGGCTGACAGGAGTGCACCTCGTGATTGTGTCCCCCTAGGTTTCGGTGTGACAAGGGTGCAAGGGCAGGGCTCATGGAGGACCTGGCGTCCTCGGGTGCGGGGACCAGCAGTCACCATCCTGACCCTAATGATGACAGGGATTATTGTGACTGTGTTAGGATCGCCATGAGCAGGCTCTGATGTGGAGTGGTCAGCTCCAGGCCAGTCTCAGCTTTTCTCAGCAGGCGAGGAAGGCAGGGGCCTCCTATGGAGTGTGTTAGGGCATGAGTGTCCCCACACCAGAACTGCACTGGGCTGGCCTGACTGCAGGAGGATGAACACATTGACCTTGTGAGGAGGCTGAGAGGCTTGGCCTTTGGCCACAGGTGGGCAGGGTTGGAGCCAAGGGCCTCGGCAGGGACTTTGGGAGAATTTTTTTTTTTTTTTGAGACAGAGTCTCGCTCTGCTGCCCAGGCTGGAGTGCAGTGGCGCAATCTCAGCTCACTGCAACCTCCGCCTCCCAGGTTCAAGTGATTCTCCTGCCTTAGCCTCCTGAGTAGCTGAGACTATAGGCACATGCCACCATGCCTGGCTAATTTTTTTTTAATAGAGACGGGGTTTCACTGTGTTAGCCAGGATGGTCTTGATCTCCTGACCTCATGATCCTCCCACCTCAGCCTCCCAAAGTGCTGGGATTACAGGTGTGAGCCACTGCGCCCAGCCGAAGAATTTTTTTTAATGGCGCCCATTGCGGTCAGCCGTAGCTACACTCCAGGGGCCTAGGTAGGGATTCCTCCCTGTTTACTTCTTTGGCCAGGAGCCTGCACAGAAGTGCCTTGAGACACCCACACAAAGTCATGTGGGCATCCCGGGCCTGGGGTCTCTGCCAAGAGGGCAGTGGGCCTGGGCCTGCTCTGGCCGTGGGAGGGGGCGCTAGTGCATGGCCTCTTGCTGAGGACACATCCTCTCGCTGACCAGGCTCTGCTCTCCCGGGAACAGCTTTCCCCACTGCAGGGAGGAAGGCACCTGGAATTTGGGCCTCCTCCTCTGGGGGCCTGGCTTGGCTGTCTCCAACAAGGCTTAGTCAGGGGGGTTCCAAGTCACATCACTATGGCAGTAGCAGTCCCTCCTGGGGCACCTCCTCCATGCCTGCTCAGCATCTGCCAGGAAAGTGGCGAGTGCTGCATGATTCTGCACCCAGCCCCGAGCCTTCCCTTTTAGCCCCCCATGTTTATTACCGAGGAGACTGAGGCTCAGAGAGCCTAAGAGGCTTCCCCAAGGCCTCAGCTGGTGAGAGGGTGCTGGGGAGTCCAGGCCTGGTCTTTCTCACTCCAGGGTCTGGGCTGTCCACCTGGCAGGTGGACAAGAGGGGAAGCAGGGCTAGGGATGAACCCAGGGGTGGGCTGGCTGTGGGCACTGACATGATCCGCTCTCTCCTCTCCTGCTTCAGGACCCCGGCTGTGCCAACCAAGCTCTGATCAGCAAGAAGCTTAATGATTATCGCAAAGTGAGGTGAGGCCTAGCCCTCATGGAGCAGTCTCCTCTGTGGGGGTGGTAGGGGGCTGAAGGCAGAGGATGTCTTCCTGGACCACCTCCAGGGCTGCCCTCTGCTGGGGAAAGGGGTATCCAGGGTATCCAGGGTCTCCAGGCTGCAGTTTGGCATGGAGGCATTGCCTCAGGGTGGAGGGGATGTCCCGAGGGGCAGGAGGCCAGGGTGGGTGGCCTGCTTGGCCACCCCAAGTGAAGACCTCTCCTCTCCCCCTTTTTCCTACACAGCCATAGCTCTGGGCCCAAAGCTGATTCCTCCCCCAAAGGCTCTCGCGGCCTGGGGGGCCTCAAGTCTGAGTTCCTCAAGCAGAGTGCGGCACGTGGCCTCAGGACTCAGGACCTGCCCGCAGGGAGCAAAGGTAGGAAGGTGGCCACTGAGACAGGGTGGTGTGTTGGGGAAGAGGGCATGGAGAGGGGAGAGCATGTGTGTGTGTGTTGGGCTGTGTCTGCTCGTGTGTGCCTGACTGTGTGCCAGGGTTACCGGTATGTCTGTCTGCATGTGCATGCCTGTGAGGGTCTGGGGGCTCTCAGGGTCTTGGGGTGGAAGGGCCTGGAGCCTGATTCCCCTCCCTGACATCCCTGCTGGGTGGTCCTCTAATCTTTGCTGGTGTCTCCGCAGGGATGAGAGGCCCACCCTTTCCAAGAGCAACCTTTCCCATTTCCCTCACCTTTGGCTATTAGAAAGTTCTTACCTGGCTGGGCAAGGTGGCTCACACCTGTAATCCCAGCACTTTGGGAGGCCAAGACAGGCAGATCACCTGAGGTCAGGAGTTCAAGACCAGCCTGACCAACATGGCGAAACCCCAACTCTACTAAAAATACAAAAGGCCGGGCACGGTGGCTCACGCCAGTAATCCCAGCACTTTGGGAGGCCGAGGCGGGTGGATCACAAGGTCAGGAGATCGAGACCATCCTGGCTAACACGGTGAAACCCCATCTCTACTAAAAAACACAAAAAATTAGCTGGGCGTGGTGGCAGGCACCTGTAGTCCCAGCTACTCAGGAGGCTGAGGCAGGAGAATGGCATGAACCTGGGAGGCAGAGCTTGCATTGAGCCAAGATTGCGCCACTGCACTCTAGCCTGGGTGACGGAGCAAGACTCCGTCTCAAAAAAAAAATACAATAAAAGTACCCGGGCGTGGTGGTGTGCACCTGTAATCCCAACTACTTGGGAGGTTGAGACACGAGAATCACTTGAGCCTGGGAGGTGGAGGTTGCAGTGAGCCGAGACCACACCACTGCACTTCAGCCTGGGTGACAGAGCAAGACCCTGTCTCAAAAAAAATAAATTAAATAAATAAATAAAAGAAAGTTGTTCCCTTGGGCCAGCAGGCATGGTGGCTGACACCTATAATCCCAGCATCATTTTGGGAGGCTGAGGCTGGAGGATTGCTTGAGGCCAGGAGTTTGAGACCAGCCTGGGTAACATAGCAAAGTCCTATCCCTACAAAATATTTTTTTATATATTATTTATTTATTTAGAGACAGAGTCTTGTTCTGTCACTCAGGCTGGAGTGCAATGGCATGATCTCAACTCATCGCAACCTCCACCTCTTGGGTTAAAGCGATTCTTGTGCCTCAGCCCCCTTAGTAACTGGGATTACAGGCATGCGCCACCCCGCCCGGCTAATTTTTTTTTTTTTTTGAGACGGAGTCTTGCTCTGTTGCCCAGGCTGGAGTGCAGTGGTGTGATCTCGGCTCACTGAAAGCTCTGCCTCCTGGGTTCACGCCGTTCTCCTGTCTCAGCCTCCTGAGTAGCTGGGACTACAGGTGCCCGACACCACATCTGGCTAATTTTTTTGTATTTTTAGCAGAGACGGGGTTTCACCGTGTTAGCCAGGATGGTCTCGATCTCCTGACCTTGTGATCCGCCCGCCTCGGCCTCCCATAGTGCTGGGATTACAGGCGTAAGCCACTGCACCCGGCCCACGCCCAGCTAATTTTTGTATGTTCAGTAGAGACAGGGTTTTGCCATGTTGGCCAGCTGGTCTCGAACTCCTGGCCTCATGTGGTCCTGCCAGCCTCAGCTTCCCAAAGTGCTGGGATTACAAGCATAAGCCACTGTGCCTGGCAGAAAAATTTTTTTTAATTAGCCAGGTGTGGTGGTATGAGCTTATAGTCCCAGCCACTCGGGAGGCTGGGGAGGGAAGATTGCTTGAGCCCAGGAATTTGAGGATGCATTGAGCTATGATCATACCACTGCACTACAGCCTGAGTGACAGAGACCCTGTTTCTAAAGAAACAAAGTTCTATGGCTTCCGCCTTGTAGTTTTGGCCCACGAGCCACACAGAAGTCCTTGCATTGCTCTGGGCCTCTCCTTTGGGGTAAGCATCCTCCCCTTCAGGCCTTCTCTCTTGCCATACAATGTCCCATCAGCCCTGGGCATCTGGTTTCTTCTCTGATGGAATCCCCATACATCCAAATGTGTGAATGTGGCAGTGAATGTGTGCGACCCTCCTGGATACTCCAGCTCACTCTGGCTCTGTCTCCCCCACTTCAGATGACAGTGCTGCAGCCCCCAAAACCCCCTGGGGCATCAACATCATCAAGAAAAATAAGAAGGCTGTCCCAAGGGCATTTGGGGTCAGGCTGGAGGACTGCCAGCCAGCCACGGAGAACCAGGTGGGTCTCTGCCACACGCCAGAGCAGGCCCGGCAGGGGGAGACCAAGGCACAGAGGGTCAGAGCAGCAAGGGACATGGAACAAGCTCTCCACCTCATTGTACAAACACAGCTGGGAAAACAGCCCAGAGAGGGGAGGCCTGCCCTGGGCCTCCCAGGGAGGGAGCAGCAGGGCTGAGGCTGAGCCCGGCTCCTTCTCAGACCATGGCGAGGCTTTGGTGTCATTTGTAGCTCCCAGACTGGAGGCAGCAAGGGCCTTTTGTTCCCCCCAAGGGTTCCTGGCAGCAGCTCTGGGCCTTGCATTGTCCCCTTCTTGGCCTCCCCAGCTCCTCTGGCCCCTGTCCCCCCTAACACCCCTCCCCTGTGTCCCCAGCATGTCCCCTTAATCGTGGCTGCATGCTGTCACATTGTGGAGGCACGAGGGCTGGAGTCCACAGGCTTTTACCGAGTGCCTGGCAACAATGCAGTGGTGTCCAGCCTACAGGAGCAGCTCAACCGTGGGCCTGGTGACATCAACCAGCAGGATGAGGTGGGTGAAGCTGGGGGGTCTGTGGAAGGGGGGCTGAGATGGTGTGTGGGTGGTGCTCTGCTTGGAGAGTTCTGTGTTCTATTGTGTTGCATGCATTGTGCCCTATGACATGCCCGGCATTGGTCCAGAACACCAAGATGGGCAAGATGGGAACTGCCTCTGCTGGCCAGCCTGGGGATGGGCATCACCCCAGGCTGAAGCTGACCAAGTAAATGCAGTCATGGCCTGGGGAGCTCTGAGGCAGAGGCTCACAAACAGCAGTTTTGTCCAAGTGTTTAGGATGAGTAGAGTTCACCAAAGGCCGGTGAAAGCTAGGTGAGGGCATTCCAGGCAGCAGAATGGCCTGCGCGATGGTGTAGACGCGAAAGTGTGCCAGGAGTCAACCAGCTTTCTCTGTAGAAGGCAGAGAGTAAATATTTTCTGCTGTAGTTTGCTCTGTTGCATTCCCCCCTTCTCTTCCTCCTCCTTCTCTTCCTAATCCTTTAACAACGTAAAAACCATACTTAGCTCAAGGGCCATCCAAAAGAAGGCTGTGGCTAGATATTGCCTACAGATCATGTTTTACAAACTGCCGTCTTAGAAAAAGGGGAATATATGATGTTTTCTAGAATGGCCAGCCATTTGGGTGGCTGCAACATGGAAAGAGAAGTGGCTGATCAGGCGAGATGAGACCAGCCTGTGAAGGAATCTGCAATCACACTTAAGTGTTTCCAGTAGGGCCGGCGATTCTCAAAGGGTGTTCTCCAGAGTCCTAGGGTTCCCCAGAGGGGCCTTGGGAGGCCAGGGTCAGGTCAGGACCCCGTGTCCTTGCTAGAGCAACCCTCCTTTGCCCTGTCTGTTGTACTGGGTTTTCACGTACAATTTTATTTGCCCAAAGGGGCTCTGATAAAAAAGATATTTTGGAAAACCATGAACATGGGCAGTGATGTCCCATGAGTCACACACGTGAAGGCTCATGGAATACACAAGTCTTCCTGTCCTTGGAGAATGAGGAGCTGAGACAAGTGTGTGTGAAATTGTGGACAGGAGAAAAAGATGATCTCTCATCAGGGACCACACTGTGATGAGGAAGGACAGGGTGCTCAGGCTGGAGCAGGTGGTGGCTGGAGGATTTGAGTATTGGAGGAATGAATAGGAGGGGGTAGGTGGACAGGAAGCCTTTCGGGGTGTGAGACGATGGCATTTTCCAAAACCCCAGCAAGGGCCAGGGAGGGCTTGAGGGTTAGGACAGAGAGTGGATCTACCTCCTGGGCATGAAGGTGGAGAGGGTGAGGCCCCAGGGGGACAGAGAGGGCATTTGATGGCTTCACTGAAGACTTCGACCTTGATCTGATGGACAGTAGGGAGCTTTTGATGGTTCTTAAGCTGGGGAGGCATCGTGAGTATAAAGTTCAAGAAAGAGTAATGCTCCTGCTCATGTCCATTGGATAGGAATGCGGAGGGCAGGGGTCTGGGGAGAAGTCACTGATCTATGGAAGCGCTAAGTGTCGGGAGGACTTGGTGGTCCCGGGGGAAGGGGGAGGATGGGAGCAACCCTAAGAGTTGGCTGCATGAGAGGGAGGAAGGAGGGGCGAGGAAGAGCCGCATGTTTGAGCTGGGGCTGGTGGTATCTTCCCCTGGCAGAAACCAGGGAGTAGGGCAGCGTGAGGAGAGGTAGAAGGGAAGGGCCGTCTCAGGGAGTGGCTCCATTGGATTTGGGGTATGGAAAGTCCCTTGCATGGGGCGAGGGCATAAACAGGCGCTAGATTGAGCGTGGACTAGAGAGTGGCATGGGTCCTGCTGCAGCTGGGGCATGGGATGACCAAGGGTGGGCCACAGAACAGCAGGGGCCATGTGCTGAGTGGGACAGAAGGAGAGGACCGCCGGTGAGGCTGGAGTGAGGGCAGACACTTCACTCTGGAGGAGCCAGGAAGCACTGGCCAGGGCATTGGGTTAGGCAGCTGGGAGTTGAGAGGAGCTCACACCTGAGGGCCAGGAGGTAACGGAGTCGGGTGGGCAGGAGCCGCACTGGGTGTGTGTGAGATGAGGGGGCCATGCTGGCAGGCAACTGGTCCAAGCCAGGGCCAGCTGGGGGCATACAAGGTATATTGAGTGTGTTGTTTTGTCTTGGATATCATTGTGTCATTTGTTGTGGGTCGTGCTGGGAGTAAGTGTAGTGGGGGATGAATCTAACCCCTGGTGAGCCTGTGGGGAGTGTATTGTTTATGGGATTGTCTGGCATTAAGCTGTGGATCCATTGTAATGAGTGTGTGTACTGCTGTGCTGTGTCTCTTTGTTGGGGGTATTAGGTCGCTTTCTGGGCCTGAGTTATTGTGAGCCATTCCCAGCGAGGCGGCTGTGCCCGACTTGGTTGCAATGTGGGGTGATGGTGCCCCCTGGAGGACAGAAGGGACAACGACCCGGCCGTTAGTTCTTGTACTCAACAACCATTTATTTTAGAGTAGGGTTTCTCAACCTCAGTGGACATTTTGGGAAGAACAATTATTTGTTGTGTGGGGTTGCCCTGTGCACTGGAGGAAATTTGGAATCATCCCTGGCCTCGATCCACTAGATGCAAGTGTCACCTCCCAGTTGGGAAAATCAAAATGGCTCCAGACATTGTCAAATGTCCTCTGGGGGTGGAGTGGGAGTTTGGGTGACAAAATTGCCTCCTTCTGTTAGAACTACTGATTTAGGGCCATGTAAGTATCAGGCTAACTGTCCTAGCTAGGTGATAGGAGCACAGTGGGAAATGAGACAGACGGGATCCTGGCTCCTCCTGGAGCTTACAGTCCTGCAGGGAGACAGGCATGAACATAGAAACAAAAGCAGAAAATAATGACAAATTGGGTTAAGCGCCATGAAGGAAACAAAGTCAGGGCTGGGGTGCAGGTGACAGGGCAGTGGTGAAGGTGGCTGCTTTAGCTATGAGGGTCAGAGAAGGCCTCTTTGAAGAGCGACTTTTAGGCGGGGATGAGGAGCCAGTTGTGTGGAGGCGGGGAGGAAAGTTCTGGTTGAGGGAACCAGCACATGCAGAGGACCTGAGACAGGAAGGAGCTGGCATGAATGACTGCTGTGTCACGGATGCTTAAACTGTGCCCAGTGGAGGCAGCAGCTGCCACTCACTGTGTCCCCACAGTGCCTGGGACTTTGTGTGAATGGGGAGGTGTTGGAGCCCACGTGCTGGCAGGAGCAGGGAGGGGCTGGGGCCAAGTGTGAGTGTGGGCACAGGACCTCTCTGGGGACTCAGTTCTGCTGCCACCATCCTGATGAGTAGAGAGCTTAGTCTAAGTGGGTCCCAGGGAGGGCCTGGTGGGCTTGATTGGGCTCTGGGGTGAATGATCATGGAGGCATGGGCATTGGGCTAGGCCTGCCTGTGGCCTGACATCTGACTCCTCCCCCAGCGCTGGCAAGACCTCAATGTGATCAACAGCCTGCTCAAGTCCTTCTTCCAAAAGCTGCCCGAGCCTCTTTTCACTGATGGTGAGTAGGAGGTGGAAGTGGGGGTGGGGAGGGGACACCAGTCTGTGCCGCACCCCTGACCACTACTTTTGCATTTGGTTTTACTATTTTTTTTTTTTTTTTTTTTTTTTTTTTGGAGACAGTCTTGCTCTGTCGCCCAGGCTGGAGTGCAGTGGCGCAATCACGGCTCATTGCAGCCTCAAGCTACTGGGCTCAAGCGATCCTCCCACCTCAGCCTCCTGAGTAGCTGAGACAGCAGGTGAACACCACCACACCCAGCTAATTTAAAAGTTTTTTTCAGAGATGGGGGGAGTTTCTCACTATGTTGCTCAGACTGGTGTTGCACTCTTGGGCTCAAGCAATCCTCCTGCCTGCCCCAGCCCCACAAAATGCTAGGATTACAGGCATGAGCCACCATGCTGGCTTTTTTTTTTTTTTTAACACAAAAGCTTATTAAAAAAAACATAGATTGTGCAGATGTGAATAAAAACAGCACAGGACCCTGTGAATCTCCTCCTCCCTTTCACGGGAGGTTGTGGCTAACACTTTCTGAGCATTAGTGTGTGCCAAGCACAACTCCCTACAGCAACTCCATGAGGAAGGTGCTATTGTCTTCCCTCTACAGATGAGGAAACCAAGGCTCAGAGAGGTTTAATGCCTTGCCCAAGGTCACACAGGTTGTAAATGGCAGAGCCAGGATTCCACCCCAGGCGTCGGGCTCCGATGGGCTTTGGCCGTTTGCTGAACTGCTTATTCACAATCTGTTGTGTTTCTCTCCTGGCCCTCTTATATGCATGGCAGAGATACACACGTGCCTGCGTGGGGTTTGGAGTTGGGTGGGTTCAGGGGTGTGCTGGCAGATGTTTAACATCTGTTTCTGGGAGAAAAAAGCCCTAATGCCTAGCGTTTTCCAGCTTCCATGGTGTAAATACTCCTACCATGGTTTATTTCAAGCCACCAACATGATGTCACCAACATGGAATTGGGAAGAGAGGCACACAGTCGCTCTCAGGAGCTGGTGTGAGTGGACTCCAGCACACCGCTGGTTGAGTTGTTTTTAACAAAAGCAGAGTTGTAATTCTGAGATTCATTCATGTCAGTGCAGAGAGCTCTACCTCATTCTTCTTTTAAATCAGCCACATAGAATTTCATGGTTTGAATAGACTATAATTTCTTTAAGTACTCCTCTATTGATGGATATTTAGCTTGTCTTCAAATGTTTGCTATCACACAACCTGTTGCAATGGCTTTCCTTGAATAAGTCCTTGCACGCCTGGATCTGTGCTCTCTAAGGGGATTCTTAGATGTAGAATTGCTGGGTCAAAGTCCTGGTGAACCTTTCTGAGACCAGTGTCAATTGCACTCTGAGAAAGAGGCCCTGATTTAGACTCCCACTAACAATGTAGGAGTCTGTCTCTCCACATACCCAACAGCATTGGATATTACAACTATTATTGTTATTTGAAGGCCAGGCATGGTGGCTTATGCCTGTGATCTCAGCACTTTGGAAGACTGAGGCGGGTGGATCACCTGAGGTCAGGAGTTCAAGACCAGCCTGACTGTGGTGAAACCCCATCTCTACTAAAAATACAAAAAGTAGCTGGGTGTGGTGGCAGGTGCCTGTAGTCCCAGCTGCTAGGGAGGCTGAGACAGGAGAATTGCTTGATCCCAGGAGGCAGAGGTTGCAGTGAGCCGAGATCGCACCACTGCACTTCAGCCTGGGTGACAGAGCAAGACTCCATCTCAAAATAAATAAATAAATAAATAATACAATAAAATAAAAATAAAAATACTATTATTTGACACAGGATCTTGCTCTGTTGCCCAGACTGGAATGCAGTGGTACAATCATGGCTCACTGCAGCCTCAACCTCCTGGGCTCAAGTGATCCTCCCATCTCAGCCTCCTGAGTAGCTGGGACTACAGGTTTGTGCCACTATACCCATCTAATTAAAAAAAAAATTTTTTTTTGGTAGAGGCAGGGTCTCACTACGTTGCTCAGGCTGGTCTTCAACTCCTGGTCTAAAGTGATCATCGCTCCTCGGCCTTTCAAAGTGCTGGGATTTTAGGCTTGAGCCACCTCACCCAGACAGCATTAAATATTATTAATATTTTAAACTTTTGCTAATCAGATAAGAGAAATGGCATCTCATTATTGTTTTTATTTTCATTGCCCTCATTACTAGGGAGATTAAATCTTTTTTCATTAGCATATTGGCTGTTTCTATTTTCTCTGTAATTACTTGATCAGACCATGTGCCCATTTTTCCGTTGGGTTGTTTATCTTTTTCTTATGTTGATTTGTGGGAGAAAAGCTCTTTGTGTTTTACACATATTAACCCTTTGTTAGTTTTTGCAAATATTTGCTTTGGCCTGCCATTTGCCTTTTCACTTTGCAGTATAGAAACTGAAAACAAATTTTTTGTTGTTGTTGTTTTGTTTTGTTTTTTGAGACAGAGTTTCACTCTTGTCGCCCAGGCTGGAGTGCAATGGTGCGATCTCGGCTCACTGCAACTTCTGCCTCCTGGGTTCAAGCGATTCTTCTGCCTCAGTCTCCCGAACAGCTGGGATTACAGGTGCCCACCATCATGCCCAGCTAATTTTTGTATTTTTGGTAGAGACGGGGTTTCACCATGTTGGCCAGGCTGGTCTCAAATTCCTGACCTCAGATGATCCACCCTCCTTGGCCTCCCAAAGTGCTGGGATTACAGGCGTGAGCCACCGCGCCCTGCCTAACAATTTTTAATTTTATTTTTATTTAATTTTATTTATTTTTTTGAGACTGAGTCTCACTCTGTCACCCAGGCTGGAGTGCAGTGGTACGATCTCGGCTCATTGCAACCTCGGCCTCCCGGGTTCAAGCCATTCTCCTGTCTCAGACTCCCAAGTAGCTGGGATTACAGGCACCTGCCACCATGCCCAGTTAATTTTTATATTTTTAGTAAAGATGAGGTTTTGCCACATTGGCCAGGCTGGTCTTGAACTCCTGACCTCAATTGATCAGCTGATGCACCTCAGCCTTCCAACGTGCTGGGATGACAGACGTGAGCCACCGTGCCTGGCCGAAAACAATTGTTTAAAATGTGACCAAAGCTGTTCATCTTTTCTTCATGGATTCTGCATCTCATGTTTAGGATGGCCTTAGGATTATAAAAATATTTTCTTATTTTTTCCCCAGTGCTTTTATAATTTTCACAATTGGCTCTGCCGTGTGATTGCATTTGTGTATTGTGAGCTAGAAATGATCCCCCCCGCCCCCGATGGTAGCCATTTGTCCCGGGGACATCTGTTGAGGCCCCCATCCCTCCCCCCGATTGGAAGTGCTGCCTTTATCATATAATAAATATCCACATGGACCGCTTCCCCCCTTTCTAGCCTTAACATTGCTCTGCCTTTTCTGCCATGCCAGCCGGCTTCAGCTGTGCCATCCATTCAGGATGTTTCAGTCCCTGGTAGGGCAGATCCTCCCGCGTTACTCTTTCTTTAAAAACTATTCCTGGCTGTCTTTGTGCATTAGCTCATCCAGATGAATTTCAGAATAGGCTTATCATGTTCCATTCTTTAAAGGTCCCCATGGAATTGTTCTGAAGGGAGTTGGGGGAATCCTTGGTCGAGGCTGTCTGAAGCCCCTCCTCCTCTCCAGGTGCCCTTCTCTTCTGACCTGCTGAACCTTGGTGTCCATGTCCTGGAGACGGGGGCATGGACCCCTTTTCTGCGATCAGCATGCACCTCAGGTCATATTGCCTCCCAAATGAACACAGCTGGGCTACCCCAGGTCAGGTGCACACCCGAGTGTAGCTGTGGTGAGTGCAGCTGTGGTGAGTGCAGCTGTGGTAAGTGCAGCTGTGGTGGGTGTGTTCACATACACAAGAGGCTGTCGCCCATGCTGGAGCCCCCGAACTGGAGGAGTTCAAAACACAGCCCTCCCAGCAGGGCCCTCGGCCTGGAGAACAGGGTAAGGTGCTGCCCCTACCTCTCTAAAGAGTCTCTGCTGTGTTCTAGACAAATACAACGACTTCATTGAGGCCAACTGCATTGAGGACGCGCGGGAGTGGATGAGGACGCTGCGGAAGCTGGTAAGGAGAGAGAGGTGCTGCCAGGCACGAGGTGGGGCAGCTGCCTGAGCACCTCTGTCCCAGGAGGCAGGGAGTCCGGTGTTGCCCACGACACCTGTGGCCTTGCCCTGCTCCACTCAGGGCATCAGTTTCCCCATCCACACAAGAGAACGGGGGTTAGAGGATAGGTTCCAGACTCCCTGAGGCATGGTAGTGGGAGATCTTTGGGGCATGGTGGTGACAGGGGACAGGGGCAGGCCCTTACAGCCTGTCCCCATGCCCCTCCTCTCTCCTGCTCAGATCCGGGATCTCCCAGGACACTACTATGAAACACTCAAATTCCTTGTGGGCCATCTCAAGACCATCGCTGACCACTCTGAGAAAAACAAGGTGGGTAGGAGTCCCGCATGGAGTCTGGGGGAGGCAAGCACGGACTTACTGTGTGGGGGCCCTCAGCACGCACTGAGCTCCTGCAGGTCCAATAACTCAGGCCCCTCTAGGCACGCCCTCCTCCTATGACTGCTCCGTCCCCATCCCGCTCCTACATGCTGGTCAGTGCTTTCCCCCAGAGAGCCATCTCCTGAGTTTCTGAGGGCTTTCCAGAGGCAGGGAACCCCGGCTCCCCGTATCCGATGCATTGCCATCCTCCGACTTAGCTCAAGTCCCTCGTATTGCATTTTCCTCATCAAACCCCTTATGCCTTCTGGTTCTGCAGTGGGGAAAATGAGGGGAGTGATAGGATTTTTTGTGTTTTTTGTTTGTTTTTTTGAGACGAAGTCTCACTCTGCCACTCAGTCTGCAGTGCCTTGGCACGATCTCGGCTCACTGCAACCTTCACCTCCCAGGTTCAAGCAATTCTCCTGCCTCAGCCTCCCAAGTAGCTGGGATTACAGGCACCTGGAAGTGATCAGATTTTTTCCCAGGCCTAAAATAACCCCTGGGACCTCCAACATGTTTTCTACTGAAGGGTCTCCCACTGCTGGCACTGACCACTCAGGGCTGCCCTGTATAGGTGTGCAGGTTGGGCACTGCTCATGGCTGCTGGGCCTGGGGATGAAAGGGGCTGAAATCTGGCCTGTGCTCTACTCATCAAGCATCTCCATGCCCCTACAAGGGGGTGTCCACCCTCTAAGCTGGGGACTGGTGAGGATGTAGTTGGGGATAGAGGCCTTAGGGGCCAGAGTGAGGGAGGACTGAGTTCAGGATGTTGACAGTGACCTGCTTTCCCTGCTGCCCAGATGGAACCCCGGAACCTGGCCCTGGTCTTTGGGCGGACACTGGTGAGGACGTCTGAGGACAACATGACAGACATGGTGACCCACATGCCTGACCTCTACAAGATCGTGGAGACACTGATCCAGCACGTAAGCCCCTGTTCCGGGGGTCACCCGGCAGCCCCTGGGGCCCAGGCCATGTTCCTCTGAGCCCCTCACTCTTGCTCAGCCTGGCGGGGTGTGCCCCAGGAAGGGCTCGGCAGCTTTAGAGCATGCTGCTAGGGTGGTATATATTCCTCCAAAGCCATGGGCTGCATTTCAAGGCAAGGCAGGAATGGATCCTGGAATCCTTGCTGCCCTGGGATGTTGTGTCCCCAGCAGGAGAGTCAAGAGGCCCCCGAGCGTCCAAGATGCCTGGGAAAGGCAGAAGAGGAGGAAGGGCAGGGAAGGTGCTACAGGTGGAGGGCAGAAGGGGCAGCTTCAGAAGGTGGCCCCTGGAGAGGTGTCCTGGCAGACACGAGCAGACGGGGGCCAAGGTCTGGCCTGACATCAGGAGGCCCCGGCTCTAGTGACTTTCCCTGCTGGCCCCACTGAGGTTTTGGGGAGGTAGAGGTGATGTCCATGGTAACAAGGGGTGGATGGGGCAAGGCACAGGGCCTTGGCCTGAGGCAGGATCCTGCACCAGTGCTTGGCATGTACTGGGCTGGCCACCTCCCTTCTCATGGCTTCCTGGATGCCAACAGCCGTGGTCCTGTAGGTTCTTGTTACCGTGCATGGGCGGAGGAGAGCCCAGAGTGGCCAGCAGAGGGCTCAGGAGGCCTTGGTCTTCCAGAGCCCAACCCTAAGGCAGCACTGCCGCCTTCTGGGGCACACACAGATGTCATTATGAATCATAGATTTTCCATTTCCAATTCTTGTTACAGCCCACAGAGGATGAGAACAGAGCCCCTCCTGCCAGGGGAAATAAGACTGGCAGCTGGTCAGAGGAAGGGAAGCCTCAGTCCCAAGCCCCCTAGACACTTTAGGGAAGGAAAGCTGGGCCCTATCACCCCCATTTTACAGAGGAGGAAACAGGCTCAGAGAGGCAAAGCAACTTGCTCATGGTCACACAGCTAATAAGTGGCAGCCCAAGATTTCAAGCCAGATCTGACTGACCAAAGCCTGTGTTTTCCTCCTGCTATCAACCCAAAGGCCAGACTCCTAGGTCCCTCCTTGAGCTGGCTTGGGACGGAGGGAGGGGGCCAGGGTAAGGATGCGAGGTTGTGGGCAGCTGAGCCATGTTAACAGCCTTGCTTGCCCATCTCCTCCTTCACTGCATGCTCAGGGCTCCGAGCCACAGGAGGGAGCATCACAGCCTGCTGCATCCGGACACTGGGAACACCACTCCAGAGCTGTCTGGGAGGCCAGGGCTGCCCTGCAGCGTCTGGGATCCTGGTGAGGCCTTGGGAAAGCTTAGCTCTCCAGGGCACCAGGGAGCCCCGGAACCTCCCAGGAGGTTGTGTTTTGGGGGCAGCAGCAGGGAAGAGTGGGTGTCTGGCCCTGTGCTCCTGGAGAAGCCCCTGGAAGCCCAAGGTCTGAGGTCAGCTGAGGTGTCAGGAACTGCAGCCTTCAGGGAGGAAGGAGGCCAAAGCCCCAAGGGGGAGTCCCTGCTCTGGGCAGGGTGGAGAAGGTGGAGTTTGTCTCATTTAGCACTGACACTAGCGCCTGGCACACAGTGGATACTCAGTGTTTGTGGAGTATAAATGAATGAGTAAATTGCTAATTGAGGTTATATCAGGCTGGGCTTTTCTTTCTCTTTCTTTCTCTCTCTCTCTTTCTTTTCGCTTTCTGGGTTTTTTTTTTTTTTTTTTTTTTTTGATAGAGTCAGTCTGTCACCCACACTGGAGTGCAGTGGGCAAATATGGCCCACTTCCAGGCTCAGGCGATCCTGCCATCTCAGCCTCCTGAGTAGCTGGGACTAGAGATGCCACCACCACACCAACTGGCTAATTTTTGTATTCTTTTGTAGAGATGAGGTCTTACTATGTTGCCAGGGCTAGTCTTGAACTCCTGGACTCAAGCGATCCTCCCATCTCGGCCTTCCAAAGTGCTGGGATTACAGGTTTGAGCCATCACGCCCGGCCAGGCTGGGCTTTTCTACTCAGAGATTCATTCCCGAGAGCTAACTGGCTAACTGAGCTAGTGTCCTTCCCTTCTCTGCCTCCTTGGCATTTGAACGTAACCAGCCCTGGATGATTGTCAAGGGAATGAGCCACCCACTCTGCAAGCCCTGAAAGCCTGCCCACCCAAGCGTGCCAGCTCTGTCTAGCCCAGAGACTCCATAGCCAGGGCAGTGCTGCTGTCACTTGGGGCACCCAGACCAGTCTTCAGGTTGGAAAGAGGGTGGCAACTGAGGGGTAAAGAGGAACAGCGACTTGCCCAGGGCCACGCAGCAAGATAATGGCATAGCAGAGAGGAGAGCAAACCTGGATGTCTGATCTTGCAGCGGGCAAGTTGCCAGGAGCCTCTACCTATGTTTACGAAGTCAAGTGGAACCCAAACAAAGATCACCCAGGGCATTTGCTCAGGGACTCACTCAGCAAAGGCAGTGATACCTAATGTTTCTCAGCTTCAGCACTAGTGACCACTGAGGTCCAGATAAGTCTTTATTGTGGGAGGCTGTTCTGTGTGTTATAGGACATTTAGCAGAATCGCTGGCTTCTACCTGCTGGATGCTGGGAATATCACTCTAGTTGTCACAATCAAAAATGTCTCCAGACATTGCCAAGTGCCCCCTGGGGTGGGAGATTGATGGCAGTGGCTCTAGGGCCAGCCTGCTCCTATGTGCTATGTGGCCTTGGACAAGTTCCTTACCTGCTGTGCCTCAGTATCCACACCTATAAAGTAGAGATGACAATACTGTTTACCTCACATTGTTGTGAATGTCTGCTAAAGCACTCACGGCGGTGCCTGGCAGGTCCTAAGTGTTGTGTGAGAACTGACTGTCAACCTCTTCCTCATGGTCATTATTCCACGCCAGAGACAGATCCCCATGCTGGGAACACGGAGGTGCATGGGAGCCTGCTCAGAAGGAATATTGCCAGCGGGTGTGGTGGTGCGTGTCTGTGGTCTCAACTACTTGGGGGGGCTGAGGTGGGAGGCTGCAGTGAGCCGAGATTGTGACACTGCACTCCAGCCTGGGTGACAGAGTGAGACCCTGCCACACACAAAAAAAAAATCCATAAAGTGATGTTTCTCATTCATTTATTCATTTAATAATGTTTATCAGAGTAAGAGCTGCATCTCTTTTTGCTCTGGGCTATGTCCAAGGAAGCCCCACAGAAGGACCCACCCTGGCCCTGGGTGCAGGGCTAGGGTCGTAGTCATGGAGTTCTTGAACTGCCTTAGAGGACCATGATGAGAACTTAGCCAGGCAGAGCAGGGAGAAAGGGCATCCCAGGCGGAAAGAACAGCATGTGCAGAAACAGGGTGGCAGGAACTAGTGTGGATTCCTCTTGAGAGCCGTGGCCACCCGGGCACTTCCTGTAGACGCTGTGGCTTGCAGAGTACTTCTGGGCACCTTCCAACCCGAGTTAACAGCTGGCTTCTTTGGGCCGATCCTCAGGCTCCCCCTGGTCAGCCTGTCTCTGGAAGCCGCACTTTTGAATAACGGTAGCTGACATCTATTATACATTAACAACGTGCTTCACTAAACGTTTTCCATACAGTATTTCATCTCAATCCTCCTCAGGCCTAGAAGGAGGTACTCACATCATGCCCGTTTTAGAGATA
The DNA here is from genome assembly GCF_000001405.40 of Homo sapiens. Lineage (NCBI taxonomy): Eukaryota > Metazoa > Chordata > Mammalia > Primates > Hominidae > Homo > Homo sapiens. The sequence continues at coordinate 32,943,015 of NC_000016.10, forward strand.
AGTAAATAGACTTACAGAGGGAAAGTAACTTGGCTAAGGTGAACTCGAACCAAGATAACTGACTCCAGAGCTTCCATTTTTCTTTTTCTTTTCTTTTTTTTTTTTTTTTTGAGACAGAGTCTCACTCTGTCGCCCAGGCTGGAGTGCAATGGCGCAGTCTCCACTCACTGCAGCCTCCAGCTCCTGGGTTCACGTGATCCACCTCAGCACCCCCAAGTAGCTGGGATTATGGGCGCACGCCACCATGCCGGGCTAATTTTTGTATTTTTAGTAGAGCTGGGGTTTCACCCTGTTGGCCAGGCTGGTATTGAACTCCTGACCTCAGCTGATGCACCTGCCTCAGCCTCCCAAAGTGCTGGGACTACAGGTGTGAGCCACTGTGCCCAGCCAGAGCTTGCATTTTTCTTATCTTCCTTTGCTCTCTTCTCTTCTATCCCTTTCTTGTTTCCCTTCTGGCCTTCCTGTGCTGTTTGATTTAATCACATGTCAGATCATGAGCAATAATAACTGAGGCTCATGGCGCATGCTCAGGCAAGTCCCCTTGTTTCCCCTCTTCATTCCCCTAGGTGCCCACTCTTAATAGGCTAATATGTGTCCTTCCAGGACACCTTCCACTTATTGTAAATGCATGGCTATCCTTAAATATATATAATATTCTTTGTGTGTTTTAAGTCTACATAATGAGATTATAAATTGCCTGTTCCTGTTCTTTCATAGGTGTTGAGGGGGGTAAAGGGTAATTGCCTTAATTTTTATTCATTTATTTTTTTTTGAAATGGAGTTTCACTCTTGTTGTCCAGGCTGGAGTACAGTGGTGCGACCTCAGCTCACTGCAACCTCTGCCTCCCGGGTTCAAGTGATTCCCCCACCTCACCCTCCCGAGTAGCTGGGATTACAGGTGTGCACAACCATGCCCAGCTAATTTCTATATTTTTAGTAGAGATCGTGTTTCACCATGTTGGCCAGGTTGGTCTCAAACTCCTGACCTCAGGTGATCCACCCAACTCAGCCTCCCAAAGTGCTGGGATTACAGGTGTGAGTCACTGAACCCAGCCTGTCACTGTCAATTTCTAATGCTTATCAGTTTCTGTGTCTTCCTTCCACCACATCTAAAAGCCAAAAGTGGTGGGTGCGGTGGCTCATGCTTGTAATCCCAAAATCTACAATTTTTTTTTTAATTAGCTGTGCAAGGTGGCACATGCCTGTAGTCCCAGCTATTCAGGAGGCTGAGGTGGGATAATCTCTTGAGCCCAGGAGTTCAAGGGTACAGTGAGCTAGGATCATGCCACAGCATTCCAACCTGGATAACAGCAAGAGACCCTATCTCAAAAATAAATTAATAAATACAATAAAAGCCAAAAGTGCCTTAGTTATTTCTTGGAGCTTGCCGAAGTCCATCTCTTTACTTGCTCAAGTATTCAATTAAGAGAGTCTTTGTGTAATAAATTTTCTGCTGTCTCAGGATAGCTTTATTTCAAGGCCAGGTGTGGTGGCTCCAGAGAGCAGGAGGTTCACTTAAGGGGTGATTAAAACAATCTGTGGTATGCCTGTAATCCCAGCACTTTGGGAGGTGGAGGTGGGTGGATCACTTGAGGTCAGGAGTTGAGACCAGTCTGGCCAACATGATGAAACCCCATCTCTACTAAAAATACAAAAATTTTCCAGGCGTGAGGGCATGCACCTGTAATCCCAGCTACTTGGGAGGCTGAAGCCAGAGAATCACTTGCACACAAGAGGCAGAGGTTGCAGTGAGCCAAGATTGCACCACTGCACTCCAGCCTGGGTGACAGAGTGAGATTCTGTTGGAAAAAAAAAAAAAAAAAGAATAGCTTTATTTTACATTCTCATTTTTTTAAATGAGAGTTTAGCAGGGTATAAAATTCTAGGTTCCTTCAACACATCAAAACTTACTTTCTTGTCTTGTCTTCTTGTGTCTTGCTGCTGAAAGTTCCAAGTACCTGTGATACGTGTTCATTTATAAGCAATCTGGATTTTTTTTTCAGAAAACTTAGAATTTTATCTTCAAGATTCTCAAATTTTACAAAATATATTAAACTGTGGGGGTCTTTATTTTGTCTCTTGTTTGGCCTTTATGAGAAAGCTCTCGCCTCCTGCCCATCAGGAAACCTCCAACACCTTTCTCCTGTCATTTTCCTTTTCTGGGCTGAGTATGTGACACCCCTGTTGTCAGTGTGGCACCCATGGGTGGCAGGTGGCCTGGGGCATGCTCGGCTGTCACAGCCATGGACCTGGCCAACACTAACGGCACTGGTGCCTCCCTGCCCCCCGGCTCGCTGTGGGGAGTATACCATAGGGGTGTGCCCAGGACAGTGTTTAGAGAAAAGCAAGTAAAAGCGAAGCTCTCCCTAAGCCTATCTCCCGTCTGAGGTGGCCGCTCCCACTCACTGCCCTGTCTCCTCCCACACTGGGGTCCCACCTTTTCTCTCCCCCAGGGTTTTTCATAGTCTGTGGAGTCAGGTTTTAGCGTCCATCAAGCTCCCTCTGAGCCCTCTTTTGCAGCCCCGCCAGCCTGGGGTTTGTTGAGAGAGAGGCACCCCTTGCCGCCTGAGTGGGTCCTCTGGAATGAGCAGGTGGAAGAGACTCTTCTTTCCCATGCTGATTTCATCCCTTCCTTTTGTCTTCTCTGCAGTCAGACTGGTTCTTCAGTGACGAAGAGGACAAGGGAGAGAGAGAGTAAGTGATGCCGTGGGCTGGGCTGGCATGGGGGCTGGTCTGGGGTGAGCCCCAGTCCTTGGGGGTGGGGCAGGCAGCGAGACTTAAGCTGGGGAAGGTGTCTGTCCTTGAGGCTTCCCTCAAGTCTGATGGAGGAAACACAGACCCTCTCCTCAGGAGCCCCTAGTCTGATAGAGAAGCACAAAGCTTGCCTTCAGGAATCCCCAGTCTAAATGGGGGAGATACAGGCCTTGCTCAGAGGGAACCCAATTCAGAAGTAAAGGCAGCTCCTGCCCTCCAGGCTACTGAGAAGGACTTAGGTTGGAGGAGTTCCAGTCTAGTGCGGGAGACACAGCTCCTGCCCCTAGCTGAAGGGGCCGCTCTGGCCTTCGTGGTTCTGAGATGTTGAGGAAGGCACAAAGCTGTCTAACAGGGGACATGTAGGAATCATCCTCAAGAGCACCTGGCTGATGAGGGAGACGGTCCCTGCCCCAGTGAGCCCGGTCTGATGGAGGAGACACCGGCTCTGTCATCAGGGCACCCCCCTCTGGGGGGTCGGCAGCCCAGCATCCGAGGGCATGCCAGCTGACCCCTCCTCCTGTTCGCAGGCCCCTGTGGGCAGCAAGGAGCCTCAGGCAGTGCCCAACATTGAGTACCTCCTGCCCAACATTGGCAGGACAGTGCCCCCTGGTGACCCGGGGTCAGGTGAGCACAGGGGCCTGGGAGTGGGGAGGCAGGAGAGTGGACACTGCATTCCTGATGGTCCCAGATACCTGGCCAGATGCCCAGCTTCCCTGTGCCACCCCAGCGGGGCCCTCCCCTGCCAGCCACCATGGAGATGGGGCTGTTGGGGGCCTTCTCCCTCCCTGGGGAAGTCCAGCTTGCCCTGTGCCCACCTCCTGTCTGTGCAGCTGCCCCGCCCCAGGCAGGGTTGGAGCTTTGTTCCCCCTCTCTCACTGGTTTCTTTCCTCAGCCTTTAATTTCTCATGGGGTGGCTGTGTCCCTCTGGGCATGTTCCTCTTTTTAATTTTTCTTCCTTTTCTCCTTGCACCCCCACCTCTCCCTCCTCCTCTCCCCGTGCTCTCCTCCCACCCCTTTCTCTTCTCCTCCCCCTCCCCTCCTCCAGCGGACCTGTTGGAGATTTAAAGGGTACAGTGCAGTGTCGTGGCCTCGGTCACTAACAGTGGCGGGTGATTATAAGAAGGCTGGGTGGGCACAGAGGCAGGCAGAATGTCCCGGACTGTGAGGACCCCACACTGACATGCCAGTTACCCCTGCTTGTTATCCACTTACCCCAGCAGTCCATGCCCCTCCCATCCTAGAGCCCCTTCTCAGGAGGAAGGAGGCACTCACTGGGCCCAGGGCCCTCCCCGTTGCCTGGACACCGGGGCATCGAATTGCTGCCCTTCTGCAGTGCCACAGACCTTGTGGCCTCTCTTTGCCGAGTCTCACCACTGCTAGTCATCCGGGCTGGGGACTGACACTCTCTGGAGACCAGCGATGCCACGCCCAGAAGCTTCTCTTTATCTCTAACTCCTGCCTCAGTCACCCCAATGGGCCGCCTCCTCCTGCTTAAGAAACCTGGGCCCTAAGTCCTGTTTGCAGGGCCTGTGGCCCTCTCATGGCAGAGGACAGATGATTTACATGCTCAGAGACAGATGAGGGCCACTCCCTTTGTGGCTGCAGCCACTGACTCCTCCCCCCGCCATTGTTGTCCCTCCCTTTAGTTTTAGCATTTCTGTTTGTCTCTGACAGAGGCACACAGGAGCTCCCTAGTCACCAGAGGCAGGCTCAGGAGGGGCCAGAAGACATGGGGGTGGGACGGCAGAGAGTGACCCCATGTCTCTTCTAATCACCTGCCGCCCCCCACGCCCCGTGTGTCATGTGTGATCGCCCATCTTGCTTTTCTCACCTTGTGCAGGGGGAGGGGTCCGGAGAGGGGGGCATCTAACTTGCCTGCCAGAGAGTGTGGATTAACCACACCTGCCCACTACCCTGTGGGACCCCAGGAGGCCCTTGGACCAACCTGCTCCCTCTCTAGCCTTGGAGAGGACCCACCAGGACGTGTTTCTGGTTCCTTCTCCACCCCAGTGATATTAAGGGAGTGGGACCCAAGTCCCATAGAAATCATGCTTTTAGTCTCCTTCACAACTGGGTGATAACTGGGGACACTGCCCATGAGGCAGGGTGACCCCAGGTCTGGAGGTGGAACCTATCAAGGCTCTAATCACCAGCCCACTCCACCTCCTGCATCCCACCCATTTCATTTCTCCCTTTTATCCATTATTCATGTGGTCCCTCTTCTTTGTTGTGTGCTCGGGGGTGGATGTAGGGCACCCACCTCTCTGTGCACTGTGTGGTCTCCATTTCTCCAGAGCATCTGTGATTTGCTGTGTTTCACTGTGGTGGTTTCCATGGACTGCACCTGATATTTGGCATTTTCTCTCCAGTGCTTCAGAGTAACAGGGACAGGCGGGGAAGGGGAGAGGAACTAGGCTCAAAGACAATGCCCCCTTGCCCTTAGCCATCGGTAAATGAGGGGCCAGTGGCTGGCAGCCTGATGTCACTTCCTGCCTCTAGAGGAAGTGGCAATTAACATCATTTTCTGCTCCATCCCTTTCCCATAGATGGACATCAGAGGTCCATCATACTCCTAGGGCCTGGGGAGATCTCATGTTTCAGAATTCCCTGGTTTCTGAAGCCTTTGAGGAGAGGAATTGTGTGCATAAGACTCAACTTTCTTTTTCCCTGATGCAACTTTCATTTTTTTTTCTGTCTTTCACCAACAGATTCTACCACCTGTAGTTCAGTCAAGTCCAAGGTACGTATGAAGGCAATTCTGAAGGCTTGATCCCTGTACAAGCCAGCCCACTTTGGTTTTTGTTCAAGAGAATTGAGGGAATGGCAATTGGACTGTGGGGAAAGTTGATGGTCCCTGGGAGGGAAGTCAGGAGGTACCGAGTGCCCAAGGTAAGCTGAGAAGTTGCTTACCTTGGCAGTGTTTGGTGAGGCATCTGCTGTAGTAGAAGGACCTGGCCTGGGAGTTATGTGGCTAGGAGGCAATGTCACTCAGTAGTTAGAAGCACAGACTCTGGAGTCAGACAGTCCTGGGTTTGAGTTCTGGCTCCACCATTTAGTAGTTTGGGATATTGGGCAAGTTACTTAACCACTTTCTGATCCTTAGCTTCCTCATCTATAAAATGGGAATATCAGTAAATCTGTGGGGTGCTATAATAAATAAAACAGATATCCTTTAAGGTCTTTGGAGAGCCTAAAGCAAGCAGAAGGAAATAAAGAGAGGAGCAGAAATCCATGAAATTGAAAACAGTTGAAGAAAAGCAATGAAACCAAAAGCTGGTTCTTTGAAAAAAAATCAATGAAATTGATAAACCTCTAGCCAGACTAACAGAATAAAAAGAAAGATGGCACAGATTATCAGTATCAGGGATGAAAGAGGGACATCACTACAGACCCCTAAGTTATTTTTTATTTTTTATTTATTTATTTTTTTGAGACGGAGTCTTGCTGTGTCACCCAGGCTGGAGTGCAGTGGCACCATCTCGGCTCACTGCAAGCTCCGCCTCCTGGGTTCACACCATTCTCCTGCCTCAGCCTCCCGAGTAGCTGGGACTACAGGTGCCCACCATCACGTCCAGCTAATTTTTTGTATTTTTAGTGGAGACGGGGTTTCACCAGGTTAGCCAGGATGGTCTTGATCTCCTGACCTCGTGATCCGCCCCTCTTGGCCTCCCAAAGTGCTGGGATTACAGGCGTGAGTCACCACGCCTGGCTATAGACCCCTAAGTTATTGAATTTATGGGCATAAAGTTGCCCATAAATTCAATAACTTAGATGAAATAGACCAATTCTTTGAAAGATTCAGACTGCCAAAACTCACTTAAGAAAAAATAGATAACCTGAATAGTCCTATACCTCCTAAAGAAATTGAATATGTAATTTAAAACCCCCCAACAATGAAAACTTCAGGATCAGATGGTTTCACTGTTAAATTCTACCAAATATTTAAGGAATTTTTTAAATGTTTAAACAATTTACTTTAATAATTTTAAAATATTCTAAATAGAAAATAGTATAATTTTAAATATTGATATATTTAAATAGTTATTTAAATATTTGAATTATTTAAATGTTATTTAAATAGTTATTTAAGAAATAATACCAATTCTCCACTATCTCTTTTGGAAGATAAAAGAGGATGGCTGGGCACCATGGCTCACACCTGTAATCCTAGCACTTTGGGAGGCTGAGGTCGGATCTTGAGATCAAGAGTTAAAGACCAGCCTGGCCAACGTGGTGAAACCCCATCTCTACTAAAAATACAAAAAAATTAGCTGGGTGTGGTGGCATGCACCTGTAATCCCAGCTACTCAGGAGGCTGAGGCAGGATAATTGCTTGAGCCTGGGAAGAGGAGGTTGCAGTGAGCTGAGGTCGTGCCACTGTACTCCAGCCTGGGCAACAGAGCGAGACTCCATCTCAAAAGAAAGAAAGGAAAATAGAAGAGGAAGAAACACTTTCCAACTCATTTATGAGGCCAGCATTACCCTGATACCAAAACCTAACAATGCTTTTGAAAAAGATAGGGCTAATTCATATGATAATACCACAAATACTTGTTGAATGTCTACTTTATATCAGTACTGTGCTGGGTACTGAAAATATAAATAATGAGCCAAACAGATAGGTTCCTGCCCTCACAAAGCTTATCTTCTACTGAGAGACAGACACTAAGCTAATGAAGAAATAGACTATCTGTCTGGCAGGTTTGGAGGCACAGTGGAGGCAGAAACCAGATGGAATGAGCTAATAAAGTGAGGGAGGGAAGAGCGCATACATAGACCACTCTTGTGAGAAGTCCGATTGTGAAGAGATATTTACAGAACAAAAATGGGAAAATATGTGGCTTGAGGGAAACTTTCATTAAAAGATGAAAGCAGCCAGGCATGGTGGCTCATGCCTGTAATCCCAACACATTTGGAGGCCGAGGCAGGAGGATCCCTTGAGCCCAGGAGTCCGAGACCAGCCTGGACAACATAGTGAGACCTCAACTCTACAAAAAATGCAAAAATAACCAGGCATGGTGGGGCATGCCTGTAGTCCCAGCTACTTGGGAGGCTGAGGCAGGAAGATCATTTGAGCCTGGGAGGTTGAGGCTGCAGTGATGAGCCATGATCATGCCACTGCAGTCCAGCCTGGGCAACAGAGCAAGACCCTGTCTCAAAAACAAACAAACAAACAAAAAAAGATGAAAGCACATATTTACTTGCCAATGGGAATGATCCAGGTGAGAGACAGAGAGAGAGGAAGAGCTGGGCCCAGAGCCCATGAAGCAGCAGTAGCCTGTGCTCCTAGCAGATGCATCCCCAGGTGTAGTAGGAAGAGAGGGAGGTGGCAGGGGCACACTAGCAGGCAGTGTTGGCAGCAGGTCATTGGGGTTGCTCCCAGCTGATGGCTCTTTCCTCAGCGAAGTGGAAGGTGAGGACCTCTGCTGGGCATGAAGGTGGCAGGGAACGTCTGAGCAGAGTGAAGGAAGTCTGAAATAGGTCCCATAAAGCAAGGCAGATTTCCTGAAGGGGCCGAGGAGCATCATGGGCAGGCTGAGGCCTCTGAAGGCTGCGGCCCCTTCTCGAGAGCCAGCACTTTGCCCAGCAGCCGTGCCCTGCCCCTTTGGGCCTGGCTTCTCCACACTCCCCGGAGAGCCCCTTCTGAGTCCCTTCTGGCCAGAAGATGTCCTCATTTGCTTCCTGTGACCCCACCGTGTCTCCAGTGGACTCAAAACTGACCTCCCCAGAGCTCACAGGCCACTGCCTCCCTGAAGCCTCCTGGCTTGAAATTCCTTCCTCCTGAGACCCTAGCAGTTACCGCTTCCCAGTCTGGGCCTGCCTGACTCCTGCAGGAGGCCTTCTCAATTATAGGGGCTTGAACAATAGAACGTGCTTTTCAGAGAGTACGTCTTTACTGTAAACTGACTCAGAGACCTCACTGTGACCCAGTGAGTTCATCACAATCACTAGCATGAGATGAAAGAGGAGGGAATGCACATTTACTGAGCACCTACTAGGTGCCAGCCAGTATGCAGATAACTTTTCACAAACATCGGTTTCATTTCATTTTTACGGAAAACCTTGAATTTTGTACCATCCCCATTTTACAGATGGGGGAACCAAGGCTCAGAGAACTTAAGTAACTAGAAGGTTGGGCATATTCTTGGGCCTCAGGCAGGGGAGCTGGTTAGGTGGCCTCCTTCCTTGGTGGTGCTCTGGTATCTGAGTTCTGATCCTCTGTTCTCAGGCTCTGAGTGTTTCTTGATTTTCTGGCACACGGACTGGCTCTGTCCTGAGCCTGAGCTGAAACCAGCTGGCCAAGCCTCTAAGAAACGGAGGCATGGATGAGACTGCCAGTCTATTAAGTACAGCGATAGGAATAACTGTTGCAGGGACAGGGACGTTGAGTTGTGTTTGCCGCAGTGGTCTCAGTCTCATCTACTGGGGAGACCAGGAATCAGAGTCAGGGAAGCAGGAGGCACCAGGTGTCTGAGAACCTGTGGCCTCCTGTCCCAGCTGTAGGGAAGGGGCTGCCTTGGGCACCAGGGCCTGGCCTCCCACCAGGCTGTGAGTGCTGAGGGTGGGCACAAATCCTGCAAGTGCCGGACACTCACGACTGCCAGCCTCTGTCTCTCTTGCCTGACTCTAAAACCCAGGTCCGTGATGGTCAAACTGTGTTCCCTGGAGCCACCATGGGGTTGTGACCACCAACAGGTATATGAGAGGACCAAGTGTGCAGGCATCCAAGCTCCCACGGCCTCCATCTGAGCCACTCTTGGTTCTGTCTCACATTGCTGGGTTTCTCGGGAGGATTCAATTTGGACAGGGTGCTCCCAAGCTCATCAGAAACCATTGTTCTAGATGTGACAGCCCTGTCTCTAGACTTTCTCCAGGCTGTGTCCAGGACACCCAGGCGGCGTCGGTGCCCCAAGTTACAGCCACATTCTGATCCTGCCTCCCTGTGTGGATGGTTTAGGCTGTCCTGGGTAGGAGTGTGGGCAGGCACACATGGCGGTCTCTCAGCTCCACGGCAGGTGGAGTAGAGCTGTTCTTTGCTCAGAAGCCTCCCTTATCATCTTTTTTTTTTTTTTTTTGAGACAGGTCTCGCTCTGTCACCCAAGCTGGAGTGCAGTGGCCTGAACACAGCTCACTGCAGCCTCTAACTGCTGTGCTCAAGTGATCCTCCTGCTTCAGCCTCCTGAGTTAGCTGGACTACAGGCACACACCACCACTCCTGCCTAATGTTTTTGTATCTTTTTGTAGAAATGGGGTCTTGCTTCTTTGTGCAGGATGTTCTTGAACTCCTGGCTTCAATGGATCCTGCTGCCTCAGCCTCCCAAAGTGCTGAGATTACAGGCATGAGCCACGGCACCCACTCTCCTTATCATCTTAATTCTAAGTTCTTGAGGAAGGGGACCACTTTTGTCTTCTCTGGTGGTCCCTCGCCTAATGCTTAGCTTTCTTTACGGCCTGCAATAATCCCCGAGCACCCCCACTGGTACAGGGAGAAGTCTAGCTCCTGACCAGGCTCTGATTTCCTCGGCCCTGCCCTATTCAAGTTCCTCAAATTCCTTGACCCCAACCCTTGCCCCATAAGAAACCTCCCCATGACCCTGACCCTGACAGAGAACTGGCCGTGAAAATTTTTGCATTGACAACAGATATTGGAATGCAGGGTTTCCCTATCTACTTCAGGCCCCTTCAAGAATCAGAGAAGGCCAAGCATGGTGGCTCATGCCTGTAATCCCAGCACTTTGGGAGGCCAGGGTGGGGAGATCACTTGAGGCCAGGAATTTGAGACCAGCCTGGCCAATATGGTGAAACCCCGTCTCTACTAAATATACAAAATTAGCTGGGGGTGGTGGTGCATGCCTGTAATCCCAGCTACTCGGGTGGCTGAGGCAGGAGAATTGCTTGAACTGGGGAGGCGGAGGTTGCAGTGAGCCAAGATGGCACCACTGCACTCCAGCCTGGGCAACAGAGTGAAACTGTGTCTCCAAAAAAAAAAGAAAGAAAGAGAGAGAGAGGGAGAGAGGGAGGGAGGGAGGGAGGGAGGAAGGAAGGAAGGAAGGAAGGAAGGAAGGAAGGAAGGAAGGAGGAAAGAAAGAAGGCAGAATCAAGGAGTAGAGGAACAAAAAAGGCAAGACATATGAAAACAATTAGCAAAATGGCAGACATAAATCCTAGCTTATTAGTGATACATTGAATGTAAATGAATTTAACACCCCAATCAAAAGGCAGAAATTGGCAGAATGGATTATTATTTTTTTCTTTTTATAAGACTGGGACTTGCTCAATTGCCCAGGCTGGAATGCAGGGGTGTGATCCTAGATCACTGCAGCCTTGACATCCTGGGCTCAAGCAATCCTCCCACCTCAGCCTCCCAAATAGCTGGGACTACAGGGCCATGCCACCACGCTTGGCTAATTTTAAAAACAAAATTTTTGTAGAGACGAGGTCATGCTATCTTAACCAGGTTGGTCTCAACCTCCTGGGCTCAAGTGATGCTCCCACCTGGGCCTCCCAAAGGGCTGGGATTACAGGTGTGAGCCACCGGGCCCAGCCCAGAATGGATAAAATAAAATAAAATGATCTGTGAGAGATTTACTTTAGAGTCAAAGACACAAGAGTTGAAAGTAGAAAGATGCAAAAAGAAACCATGTGAGGAGTTATTAAAAGAGAGGGTGGCTACATAAGCATGAGACAAATTAGACTTTAAGACAAAAATTCTTACTGAAGCCTGGGCGAGGTGGCTCACGCCTGTAATCCCAGCACTTTGGGAGGCTAAGATGTGTGGATCACCTGACGTCAGGAGTTCAAGACTAGCCTGACCAACATGGTGAAACCCCCATCTCTACTAAAACTACAAAAATTAGCTGGGCGTGGTGGCATGCACTATAGTCCCAGCTACTCCGGAGGCTGAGACAGGAGATCCTAATTGCTTGAACCTGGGAGGCGGAGGTTGCAGTGAGCCGAGATAGCACCACTGCACTCCAGCCTAGGCGACAGAACAAGACTCTGTCTCCAAAAAAAAAAAAAATTGTTACTAAAGATACAATATCTTTTATAATGATAAAAGAGGCAGTTTATGAGGAAGATAAAATGATTGTAAACATATATACTCCTAACAACAGAGCCCAAAATACATGAAGCAAAAACTAATAAAACTGGAGGGAACTGAACTGAATTAGACCATTCAATATAGTAGTTGGAGACTTCAATACCCCGCTTTCTTTTCCTTTTTTTTTTTTTTTTTTTTGAGGCAGAGTCTCACTCTGTTGCCCAGTCTGGAGTGCAGTGGCACGATCTCTGCTCACTGCAAGCTCCGCCTCCCGGGTTCACGCCATTCTGCTGCCTCAGCCTCCCGAGTAGCTGGGACTACAGGTGCCCGCCACCATGCCCGGTTAATTTTTTGTATTTTTAGTAGAGACGAGGTTTCACCGTGTTAGCCAGGATGGTCTCGATCTCCTGACCTGGTGATCCACCCACCTCGTCCTCCCAAACTGCTGGGACTACAAGCGTGAGCCACTGCTCCCGGCCCCCACTTTCAATAACGGATAAAACAACAAGGCTGAAGATCAACAAGGAATAGAAGCCTTGAACAACACTGTAAGCCAAGACCTGAAAGACATCGAAACACTCCACACAGCAGCAGAACACACATTGTTCTCAGCTACGCATGACACACTCTTCAGGATAGACTTATACTAGGCCTTAAAAGAAGCCTCAATAAATGGAAAATGATTGAAATTATATAAAGTCTGTTCCCCAGCTGCAATGGAATTAAATTAGAAAATGACAACCGAGGAAATTAACAAATATGTAGAATTTATTTTTTTTTCGAGGTGGGTCTTGCTCTGTCCTCCAGGCTGGAGTGCAGTGGCGCTATCTCGGCTCACTGCAGCCTCCGCCTCCTGGGTTCAAGTGATTCTCCTGCCTCAGCCTCTCAAGTAGTTGGGACCACAGGAGTGTATCACCACACCCGGCTAATTTGTGTATTTTTAATAGAGACGGGGTTTCACCATGTTGGCCAGGCTGGTCTCGAACTCCTGACCTCCAGTGATCTGCCTGCCTTGGCCTCCTAAAGTGCTGGGATTACAGGCGTGAGGCACCATGCCCGGCTAGAAATATGTAGAAATTTTAAAACACTCCTAAATAATCAATGAGTGAAAGATGAAATCACAGGGAAATTAGAAAATATCTTGAGATGAATGGAAACTAACACACAACATAACATAACTTACTGGATGCAGCTAAAGCAGTGCTTAGAGAGACATTTGTAACTATGTGAGTATTAGAAAAGAAGAAAGATTTCTAATTAATAACCTAAACTTCTGCCTTAAGAAACTAGAAAAAGAAGAGCAAACTCAACCAAAAGAAAGCCAAAGGAAGGAAATAATAAAGGTATGAGTAAAAATAAATGAAATAGAAAATAGAAAAAATAGAGAAAGTCAGTAAAACCAAAAGTTTTTTCTTAGAAAAGAGCAACAAAATGACAACTGTTTAGCTAGACTGACCAAGAAAAAAAAAAAAAAAAAAAGAGAAGACTCAGATTAATACCTCAGGCATGAAAAGGGAGCTATCAATACTTATAAAAAGTAAAGGGGGGCTGGGTGCAGTGGTTCTCGCCTGTAATTCCAGCACTGTGGGAGGCCGAGGCAGGTGGATCATTTGAGGTCAAGAGTTCAAGACCAGCCTGGCCAACATGTGAAACCCTGTCTCTACTAAAAATACAAAAATTAGCCAGGTGTGGTGGCGGGCGCCTGTAATCTCACCTACTCAGGAGGCTGAGGCAGGAGAATCACTTGAACTTGGGAGGCAGGGGTTGCAGTGAGCTGGGATCGTGTAACTGCACTCTGCCTAGAAGACAGAACAAGAGTCCATCTCCACACACACACACACACACACACACACACACAAAAGTAAAGGGATAATAAGGGAACACTGTGAACAACTGCATGCCAGCAAGTTAGATAAATAGAAGAAATGAAAAAATTCCTAGAAAGACATAAATTACCAAAACTGACATAAGAAGGAGAACCCATAAATAATCTGAACAGACTTACAACATGGAAAAAGATTTAATTAGTCATTTAAAAACTTTCAACAAAGAAAATTCCAGACCCAGATGGCTTCACTGGTGATTTCTATCGAATATTTAAAGAAAAATTAATACAAATCCCTCACAAACTCTTTCAAAAAAAGAAGAGGAAGGAACCGTGAGGCCAGTATTACCCTGATACCAAAGCTAGAAAAAGATATCACAAGAAAACTTCAGACTAATATCCCTTGTGACTATAGAAACAAAAGTCCTCCACAAGCTACAAGCAAACCGGTTGGGTGTGATGACTCACACCTGTAATCCCAGCACTTTGGGAGGCCGAGGCAGGCGGATCACTTGTGGCCAGGAGTTGGAGACCAGCCTGGCCAACATAGCAAAACCCTATCTCTACTATTAATAAAAATACAAAAATTAGCTGGGTGTGGTGGCACACACCTGTAATCCCAGCTACTCTGGTGGCTAAGGCACAAGAATTGCCTGAACCCAGGAGGTGGAGGTTGCAGTGAGCTGAGATCACGCCACTGCACTCCAGCATGGAAGAGAGAGCGAGACTCTGTCTCAAAACAACAACAACAAAAAGACACCAGCAAAACAAATCAAGAAACGTATACAAAGGATTATACACCATGACCAAGTGGGATTTACCCAGGAATACAAGGTTGGTTTAATATTTGAAAATCAATCAATGAAACGCACAAAATTGAGAGAATAAAGAATAAAAATTACATGATCATCTCAATAGATGCTGAAAAAGCAAGACAAAATTCAACACTCTTTTATGATTATAAAATTCAATAAACTAGGAATAGAAGGAACCTTCTTCAACCTGATAAACATACCTATGAAAAATCTGTAGCTAGGCCAGGCAGGGTGGCTCATGCCTATAATCCTGGCACTTTGGGAGGTTGAAGTGTGTGGCTTGCTTGAGCCCAGGAGTTTAAGACCAGCCTGGGCAACATGGTGAAAGCCCGTCTCTACAAAAAATACAAAAACTAGCCAGGCATGGTGGTTCATACCTGTAGTCCCAGCTACTTGGGAGGCTGAAGTAGGAGGATTGCTTGAGCACAGGAGATCGAGGCTGCAGTGAGCCATGATTGAGCTACTGCACTCCAGCCAGGGTGACAGAGGGAGACACTGTCTTAAAAAAAAAAAAAAAAAAAACTACAGCTAATATCGTATTTCATGCTATTAAATTAATAGACTGAGAGCTTTCCCTCTAAGATCAGGAAACAGAAAAGATGTCCACTCTTACCACTTCTAGTCAACATTCTACTGGGAGTTTTAGCCCAGGCAATTAGGCAAGAAAAAGAAATAAAAGCCATCCACAAATAGAGATGTAAAACTGTCTCTATTTGCAGATGACATGAGATTGTATGTAGAAAATTCTAAGGAATCCACTAAATAGGAAACTCCAAGGGGCCTCAAATAGTGAAAACAAAATTTAAAACAAAGTAGCAGTACTTACATTTCCCAATATCAAAACTTACTACAAAGCTGCAGTAGTCTAAACAGTGTGGTACTGGCATAAGGCTAGATAAATAGACCTATGGAAAAGAATTAAGAATCCAGAAATAAACCCAAATATTTATGGTCAACTGATACATATATTTTTTACATCCATGATACACACTGGATGTCAATTTGATATTTGACAATGTTACCAAGACCATTCGATGGGGCAAATGATAATCTTTTCTAAAACAATGGTGCTGGAGGCCGGGTGCAGTGGCTCACACCTGTAATCCCAACACGCTGGGAGGCCGAGGTGGGCGGATCACAAGGTCAGGAGATCGAGACCATCCTGGCTAACATGGTGAAACCCCGTCTCTACTAAAAATATAAAAACTTAGCCGGGCGTGGTGGCGGGTGCCTGTAGTCCCAGATACTCGGGAGGCTGAGGCAGGAGAATGGTGTGAACCCGGGAGACGGAGGTTAGTGAGCCGAGATTGCACCACTGCACTCCAGCCTGGGCGATAGAGCAAGACTCCATCTCAAAAAAAAAAAAAATGGTGCTGGGACAACTGGATAACCACATGCACAGGAATGAAATTGGACCACTATTTCACTCTGTCTACAAAAATTAACTCAAAATAGATCATAGACTCTAAAATAAAATCTAAAACTCTTAGAAAAAAAACATAAGGTAAATCTTCATGTCCTTGAATATGACAATGGATTCTTAGATTTGGCACCAAAAGCTTGAACAATGGAAGAAAAAACAGAAAAATTTAAAACTTCTGTACGTCATGAGACATCATCAAGAATGTGAGAAGAGGCCAGGCCGGTGGCTCACGCCTGTAATCCCAGCACTTTGGGAGGCTGAGTTAGGCGGATCCCTTGAGCCCGGGGGGTTCGAGACCAGCCTGGCCAACGTGGTGAAACCCCATCTCTACTAAAAATACAAAAATTAGCCTGGTGTGGTGGCAGGTCCTGTAATCCCAGCACTTTTGGACACCGAGTTCAAGACCACCCTGGGCAATATAGCAGGACCCCCTCTCTACCAAAAAAATTTTTTTCCTCTTTTTTTTTTTTCTTTTTTGAGATGGAGTCTCACCCTGTTGCCTAGGCTGGAGTGCAGTGGCACAATCTCAGTTCCTTGAAACCTTCACCTCTTGGGCTAGAGTGATTCTCCTGCCCCAGCCTCCCGAGTAGCTGGAATTACAGGCTCCCACCACCACGCCTTGCTAATTTTTGTATTTTTAGTAGAGACGGGGTTTCACCATGTTGGCCAGGCTGGTCTCAAACTCCTGACCTCAAGTGGTCTGCCCACCTCAGCCTCCCAAAGTGCTAGGATTATAGGCATGAGCCACCATGCACAGGCAAAAAAAAAATTTTAATTAGTGAGGTATGGTGGTGTATGCCTGTAGTCCCAGCTACTTGGGAGGCTGAGGTGTGAGGATCTTCTAGCTGCGACACCAAAAGCACAACCTATAAAAGAAAAAAAATTGATAGATTGGACTTCATAAAAATTAAAAACTGTGTGTGTCAAAGGATACTATTAGGAAAGTGAAAAGACAACCAATCATTGGATGGAAGAAAAAGTGTGTGTGTGCTTGTGTGTGTGTGTGTGTGTGTGTGTGTGTGTGTGGTTTTTTTTTTTTCTGAGACAGGGACTCACTCTGTGGCTCCAGTTGGAATGCAGTGATATGATCATGGCTCACTGTAACCTTGACCTCCTGGGCTCAAGTGATCCTCCTGAGCTGGGATTATAGGCATGCACCACCACACCTGGCGGGAAAAAACATTTTCAAATCACATATTTGACAAGGGACTCATATCTAGAATATATAAAGAACAATAAAACTTCAACAATAAAAAGACAACCCAATTTAAATAAAAATAAGCAAAGGATCTGAAGACATTTATCCAAAGAAGATATGCCAATAGCTATTATATACATGAAAATATTTTCTTTTTTTTTTTTTTTTTTGAGATGGAGTCTCGCTCTGTCACCCAGGCTGGAGTGCAGTGGTGCGATCTCGGTTCACTGCAAGCTCTGCCTCCCGGGTTCATGCCATTCTCCTGCCTCAGCCTCCCGAGTAGCTGGGACTACAGGTGCCCACCAACATGCCCGGCTAATTTTTTTGTATTTTTGGTAGAAATGGGGTTTCACCATTAGCCAGGATGGTCTCGATCTCCTGACCTTGTGATCCGCCCGCCTCAGCCTCCCAAAGTGCTAGGATTACAGACATAAGCCACCGCTCCTGGCCAAGATTTTCAACATCAGTAGTCATCAGGGGAATACAAATCAAAACCATGAGCTACGTCTTCATACATATTAGGGTGGCTGCAGTAAAAAGACAGACAATAACAAGTGTTGACAAGAATGTGGAGAAATTAGAATGCTTATTACATGGCTGGTGGGGCAGCCACTTTGGAAAACAGTTTGGCAGTTCCTCAAAATGTTAAACCTAGAGTTATTGTAAAATCCAGCAATTCTATTCCTTAGGATATACTCAAGAGAGCTGAAACATATGTCAACACACAAAAAAAACTTGTACACAAATGTTCATGTACTGACAACCTAAATATCCATCAACCGATGAATGGATAAGTAAAATATGATATATCCGTACAAGAAAAAATTATTCAGTCTGGGCGCAGTGACTCATGTCTGTAATCCCAGCACTTTGGAAGGCCAAAGTGGGTGGATCACTTGAGGTCAAAAGTTCAAGACCAGCCTGACCAACATGGTGAAACCCCTTCTCCACTAAAAATACAAAACTTAGCCGGGCATGCTGGCACACACTTGTAGTCCCAGCTACTCGGGAGGGTGAGATAGGAGACTCGCTTGAGCCTGGGAGGCAGAGGTTGCAGTGAGCCGAGATCACGCCATTGCACTCCAGCCTAGGCAACAGAGAGAGACTCTTGTCTCAAAAAAATAAATAAATAAATAAATAAAAAAAGAAAAAAAAAAGAATGAAATACTGAGGTAGGAGGTGGGACTTGACTCCAGAGTCAGCTCTTGGACACTGGACCAAATTGAGAACTAGCTAAAACAAAGATGGAGTGGAAGCAGTTCTCCATAAGACATGCCTACCAGTGCAGCATTTCAGTTTACCATTGCCACGGCAATAGCCAGAAATTACCACCCCTTTCCATGGCAACGACCCAATGACCCAAAAGTTACCAAAATTTTCCTACAAATTTCTGCATAATCTACCCCTTAATTTGCATACAATTAAAAGTGGGTGTAACTATGAGTGCAGACCCACCTCTGAGCTGCTACTCTGAGCACACGGCCTGCGGGGTAGCCCCGCTCCACAAGGAACAGCACCTCTGCTGCTGTGCACTGTCGCTTCAATAAAAGCTGCTGTCTAACACCACCGGCTCACCCTTGAATTATTTCCCAGACAAAACCAAGAATCCTCCTCTGCTAAACCCCAATTTGGGGGCTTGCCTGCCCTGCATCAGTACTGATACATGCTACAACATAGATGAATTTTGGAAACATGTAGAAAGAAGATTATCACAAAAGATGACATGTTGCATAATTCCATTTGTGGGAAGTGTCTGCAATGGGAAATCCATACAGATAGAAAGTAAATTACTAATTCCCTAGGGCTGTGGGTCGGGGTGAGGAGGTAGGTGGCAGGGAGGAGGGTGCAGGAATGGGGAATGACTGTCAAGTGGTCAGGGTTCAGGGAGTTGAAATAATCTAAAGTTAGATTGTGGTGATGGTCACACATATCTGTGAATATGCTAAAAATCACTGAACTGTAGCCTTTAAAAGGGTGCATTTTGTGGTACGTGAAATAAATCTCAATAAAGTCGTAACAGGCCAAGCATGGTGACTCACGTCTGTAATCCCAGCACTTTGGAAGGTGGAAGTGGAAGGATCACTTGAGCCCAGTAGTTTGAGACCAGCCTGGGCAATATACTGAGACCTTGGCTGTACAAAAAACTAAAATTGACCAGGCATGGTTGCACATACCTGTAGTCCTAGCTACTCTGGAGGCTGAAGTGGGAAGTCTGCTTGAATCCAGGAGGTCGAGGCTGCAGTGAGCCAAGATAGTACCACTGCATTCTAACCGTGGTGACAGAACAAGACCCTGTCTTGAAAAAATAAAATAAAATAAAATAAATAAATAAATAAATAAATAAATAAATAATTTAAAAAAGCCATAACAGGTCGGTCGTGGTAGCTCATGCCTGTAATCCCAGCACTTTGGGAGGCTGAGGTGGGCAGATCACTTGAGGTCAGGAGTTCAAGACCAGCCTGGCCGACATAGTGAAACCTCGTCTCTACTAAAAATACAAAAATTAGCTGGGCATGGTGGTACGTGCCTCTAGTGCCAGCTACTCAGGAGTCTAAGGTGGGAAAATTGCTTGAATCCAGGAGGTGGAGGTTGCAGTGAGCTGAGATTGTGCCATTGCACTCCAGCCTGGGCAACAGAGTGAGACTCTGTGAAAAAAAAAAAAAAAAGAAAGAAAGAAAGAAAAAAAAAGCAGCCATACAAACAATAACAAACTGTACTCTAAAACTTGCTCTAGGCCAGGCTTGCTGGCTCACGCCTGTAATCCCAACACTCTGGGAGACCAAGGCAGGAGGATCACTTGAGTCTAGGAGTTCAAAATAAGCCTTGGTAACTCTGTCTCTGCAAAAATTGAAAAATTAGCCAGGGGTTGTGACTTGCAGCTGTAGTCCCAGCTACTCAAAAGGCTGAGGCCAGAGGATCGCTTGTGCCCAGGAGTTTGAGGTTGCAGTGAGTTATGATGGCGCCACTGCACTCCAGTGTGGGTGACAAAGCAAGACCTTGTCTCAAACAAATAAAATAGGGTAAATAAAATACAGTAAAACTTGCTCTGCCTATCCAGTGGGTTTTTTTTTTTTTTGAGATGGAGTTTCACTTTTGTTGCCCAGATTGGAGTGCAGTTGCGCGATCTCAGCTCACTGCAACCTCCGCCTTCCAGTTTCAAGCGATTCTCCTGCCTCAGCCTCCCGAGTAGCTGGTACTACAGGCATTTGCCACCACACCCAGCTAATTTTTTGTATTTGTAGTAGAGACAGGGTTTCACCATGTCGGCCAGGATAGTCTCGATCTCTTGACCTCGTGATCCACCCGCCTTGGCCTCCCAAAGTGCTGGGATTACAGGCATGAGGCACTGCGCCCGGCCTCCAGTGGGGTTTGATATATTTCATAGGAAACATTTCTTTTTTTTAGACAGAGTCTTGCTCTGTCACCCAGGCTGGAGTGCAGTGGTGCAATCTCGGCTCACTGCAACCACCGCCTCCCGGGTTCAAGCAATTCTCCTGCCTCAGCCTCCTGAGTAGCTGGGATTACAGATGACTGCCACCACGCCCGGCTAATTTTTGTATTATTAGTAGAGACGGGGTTTCACCATGTTGGTCAGGCTGGTCTCGAACCCCTGACCTCGTGATCCACCTGCCTCGGCCTCCCAAAGTGCTGGGATTACAGGCGTGAGCCACCACGCCCGGCAGGAAACATTTCTTTGGGAAAACTCCAAATCTATGAGGGCTTAGGTGAAAGGAATAGAGATTTTTTCCTGCCCTT
This sequence comes from Homo sapiens, assembly GCF_000001405.40. Taxonomy (NCBI): domain Eukaryota; kingdom Metazoa; phylum Chordata; class Mammalia; order Primates; family Hominidae; genus Homo; species Homo sapiens. The sequence goes on from NC_000016.10 coordinate 32,963,829, forward strand.
CTAGTATGGACACAGAGAGGCAGCATGATTGTCACCCTGAACTAAAGCAGAGGCTGAGATTTTGAGTGAAGATTTCTGGAACAATGACAAAGGGGAGGGGATGGAGGGATCCCCCTGCCAGGTGTGCCATTATGAGTGGTATCAGCCAGTCAGCACCAGTGAGCTTCGAGGAAGCCTGTTCTCAGTTAAGGGGCACAGATGCCACTAGCCCCAGGTCCCCATCCTGTGGATGGTGCTCTGTCACTCTGAGCTCAGGGACCACTTAAGCCACTCAATGATCAAACAGTCTGAAAATGCCCAGGGGGGCCCAGAGAGGATGTGCATACAGTGAAGGAGAGAAGCTGAGGGCTTCCCCGACCACTACACGTCAAGTAGCGCCTGCCTCCTCTCCATCAGGAACCTGAGCTCTGAAGGCAGTCAGATCGCACTCAAATCTTGGCCAGAGTCAGCCTTCCCCACTGATAGCACAGAGGTAATAATATCTATTGTCTGGGTTGTTAGAAGATTAACGGACTCTTCATAAATTGTAGCAATTAGTATCATAAAACATTAATAAAGCATGGCTATTGGGAGGGATAAGTTCCGGTTTTTCTTTTTTTCTTTTTTTTTTTTTTTTGAGACGGAGTCTCACTCTGTCACCCAGGCTGGAGTGCAGTGGCGCGATCTCGGCTCACTGCAAGCTCCGCCTCCCGGGTTCACGCCATTCTCCTGCCTCAGCCTCCCGAGTAGCTGGGACTACAGGCGCCCGCCACCATGCCCAGATAATTTTTTTTGTATTTTCAGTAGAGACGGGGTTTCACTGTGATAGCCAGGATGGTCTCGATCTCCTGACCTCGTGATCCGCCCGCCTCTGCCTCCCAAAGTGCTGGGATTACAGGTGTGAGCCACCGCGCCAGGCCTATTTTTCATTTTTGAGACAGGGCTGGGGACTGGCTTTCTGAAAGTCTCAAGGTTTGCTAGGCTTTGGTGGGTGGGTGACTCATGGAGGGGCCTTCCCTGCAGACAGTAGGCAGTATTGTATTTGAGACAGGGTGTCCCTCGGTCACCCACACTGGAGTGCAGTGATGCCATCATAGCTCACTGAAACTTCGAACTCCTGGCCTCAAGCAATCCTCCCACCTCAGCCTCCCCAGTAGCTGGAACTGCAGGTGCATGCCACTCTGATTAACTTCTTTTTTTTTTTTTTTTGAGACGGAGTCTCATTCTTGTCACCCAGGCTGGAGTGAAATGCCATGATCTTGGCTCACTGCAACCTCTGCCTCCCAGGTTCAAGTGATTCTCCTGCCTCAGCCTCCCCAGTAGCTGGGATTACAGGTGCCTGCCACCACGCCCAGCTAATCTTTGTATTTTTAGTAGAGACCGGGTTTCACCATGTTGGCCAGGCTGGTCTCGAACTCCTGACCTTGTGATCTGCCCACCTCGGCCTCCCTAAGTGCTGGGATTACAGGCGTGAGCCACCACGCCCAGCCCACTCTGAGACAACTTCTGAAACAACATGTCAGTTCATGACACTTTCTTACTTTAAACCCTCCTATTGTTTTCCATGGCACCTTCCTTACCACAGCCCATAAGGCCTCACATGAGGTGTCTTCTGCCCACCACACTGCACTTTCCCCTCCTCACTCTTCTTGGATTTCCTTCATTTTCCAGAACCCACTGGTTACGTCCCACCCAGGGCCTTGTGCCTGGGACCCTCAGCCACCAGCACCCCCAAAGCCCACTCCTCACCCACCCACAAGGTCTCCTCTCAAATGTGACCAACCCTGCTACTCCCCACCACACCTGTCACTGGCCTTTTCCCTGTGTGCTCCCAGCACCTGCCTTGGTTGAGCTCGGGTGTCTGTGTTCTGTCTGCTGGCTGTCCTGGCAGCTCCCCTGCCAGACAGAGCCCCAGCCCCAAGGAGTGGATGAGCAGTGCCTCACAGGGAGTGCATCCTGGATAGGCATCTGGCGGCTGAATGAGTGCTGGCCTCCTTCCAGGTGTGCAGCGGATGGTTCCGTTTGTTACTTGATCTTGAACTGTCATGAGTGCAGTGATTCTGGGAGAGGGTTTTTTTTGGCTCCTCTCCCAGTTTTTGGGGAATAGGATGGCAGAGAGAAGGCAAGATCTGCTGACATTCTAAAAAGGACATAGGGATGGGCTACGGGCAGGCTGGGGACTGGCTTTCTGTGAGTCTCAAGGGTTGCTGGGCTTTGGTGGGTGGGTGACTCATGGAGGGGCATTCCCTGCAGACAGTAGGCAGGTTGCTGCCCTCTGTCTCCAAAGAGGTCTTTAGGAGAAGAAACTGCAACTGGGGCCCCTGTGATGACTGGAAGATTGTGGCTCCAGGACACGGTCACTACCTTCAGGGATGGAAGTGAAGTGATGCTGAGGGGGGAGAAGAGATTCGGTAACATGCCAGCCCTCAGTCATGCAGAACAGCTGGAAGGCAGACTCGGGGACTCTTAGAACAGGCTGGAACAGTGGCACAGCCTTCAGAATTCCGGGAAAGCCTGTAAAACCCAATCAGGACCCGTGGCATACACCATGGTGCTCTGTGTAGCAGGTGCTGCTTTGCTGTGGCTGTTTGTGCACATGTCTGTACATACCTAAAGCACAGAGGTGTCAAATGCATTTTGTATTGTTACCACTTTACGGGTTTGAAAGCTGCTGCATCTAGAAAAGATGGGTGTGGCCGGGCTCGGTGGTTCACGCCTGTAATCCCAGCACTTTGGAAGGCCGAGGTGGGCAGATCACTTGAGCTCAGGAGTTCGAGACCAGCCTGGGTAACATGGCGAAACCTCGTCTCTACAAAAAATACAAAAAAATGTAGCCAGGTGTGGTGGCAGGCACCTGTAGTCCCAGCTACTTGGGAGGCTGAGATGGGACGATTACCTGAGCCCAGGGAAGTTGAGGCTATAGTGAGCTGTACTCATGCACTCCAGCCTGGGTGACAGAGGGAGACCCCGTCTAAAAAAAAGAAAAAAAAGAAAAGAAAGAAAAGATTGGTGGACCCCCACCAAGGGTCATCTCACTCAAAGGGCAGGAGGCTGAGACCCAATTCAGGGGACTGCTGGAGGTCATCAGCCCTGCTTGGTTTTAGGGTAACCATGGGCTTTGGTGTCAGGCAGAGCTGGATTCAAACTTACTGGTTTGTCTACAACCTACCAATTGTATGACTCTGGGTAAGATGCCCAACATCTCTGAGCTTTGTCACTTGCCTGAGTAGGTAGTACCGGTAGCTACCTCACCGATGGTTGTGAGGGTTAGGTAGGACACCTCCTGGAATGCCAAGCTGAGAACTGTTTTTTGTTTGTTTGTTTGTTTTTGTTTTTTGAGACAGGGTCTCGCTCTGTCACCCAGGCTGGAGCTCAGTGGTGCAATCTCGGCTCACTGCAACCTCCACCTCCTGGGTTCAAGCGATTCTCATGCCTCAGCCACCCGAGTAGCTGGGATTACTGGTGTTACACCAGCCCACCTGGCTAATCCCAGGGGCCCTGTTCTGTCCTTCCCTTCATGCTCTGCCAGCTGAAGGCCAGTGGCTGCCAGGGATTCCCCACCTGCCACCCCACCCATCCCAGCACCTTCCAGATCCTCCAGAGTGAAGCAGAGAAATAATGAGACATCAGCCTATAGGAAGGAGATCCAGGAGAGGAAAAAGAAACAAGTTTTATTAAAGCCCCAAACACTTGGCTAGAAAAACTGAAAAGGAAAGAGAGCAGGGAGGTGGGGAGAAGAAAAAAGGACATTAAAAAAAGAGACAGAGAAAACGCAGCAACCCTTTTCCATTTAGAAATTGTCAAGTTACACCGACAGAGGTCATAGAATATCCACAGAAGCCATCACCGCTACACCAACATGGGCCCTACAGGGTGGATGGGGCAGGGTGTGGAGCCGGGGCTCACCCCAGGGGGCCCTCTGGGGACCCCACTCCGAGCCTCAGGCCTGAGGCTCCTGGGGGAAACAGCATATTGTGGAAGGGGCAGGAAATCCCCCATGCAAGTAACACAGCACAGTGGGCGGGGGCTGAGAGGACCAGGTACAGGGGCCCCCCGAGACGTCTTAGTTTTCTCTTGGTCAAGCACACACTGATGGACAGAGCAGCGAGGCGCATGCAGCTGGGGGCACTGATGTGTTGCAGGCTGTGAGAGGGCCAGTGGGGACGGGGGCTCAGGAAGAGATCTGGAGCCAGTGGTGCAGGGATGATGGAACACACGCACACAGAGGCACACCCACACACCTGGGTCTGCACCAGCACACATACGTGCACACACACGGAGACACAGATTACATGCACCTCCATGTATGCGTCTCTGTCCACATGTACGTGGCCCACACACAAGTCTCTGGCGCTCGGCATGTCTGCACACACATTACACATGTTCTCACACACAAAGCTCCTCTCACGCTCACATGCAGGTAGGCACGTGCCAATGCGCAAACAGGTTACATGCACCTATGTGCCCACACCTTCCCCCACACATGTGCTCGGCCATGCCTGTGGGTGCAGGCGCCATGCGTCTGCACACACAGTGCATGGGCTTGTGCCAGCACACACACAGGCTGCACGCAATTCCACACGGATGCCTCCCAGCCCATAAATGTGCAGGAACCAAAGGGAAAGAAAGATGCAAATCCCACTGGGCTTCCCCCGAGCGGTTGGGGCAGGGCCCGTGGCTCCCTCCTTCTGCTCCTTCGTGGATGGACACTACCCCCCCACCTCCCCCACAAAGGGACATTCAACTCAGGACAATGACGGTGGGGCACACATTCCAGTCACAGGGCTGAGGGTGGGAGCTGGGGGCAAGCGAAGTAGCAAGCAGAGAGTAATGGAGTGGAGGGAGGAGGGGGCACCACTCCCCCCTCCCCTCCCAAGTCAGGGGATCTCTGTACAGCCAAATCAAACCAGACCATTTCACTGGGACCACAGAAGCCAGGCAGACGTGCCCGCCCCCCCCAGCCCCCCTCCCCCACCAAAACAGTGGCCAGGAAGAGTGCCGTGGTTTACTTTTTTCTTTTTTAAATATTTATATATATTTATATTACGTATATTATATATAGAATATGTAAATATATTTTTAAAACCGTATAAAATGTTAAGACACTTCACTTAAATGTAAAGAGTTGCCTGCAATTAAAAGTAATTGCATCATTTATGAGGTCCTTTTTTTTTTTCTATTTTCCAGGGTTTTTTTTTTTTTCCAGGAGGGATTTTTTTTTTCCTCTTTTGTTATTTTTCAAAAAGGCTTGCTCGCCTTGGTACAAAAATGATCCAAAGCTAGAAAATAAGGATGAACCAACAAAGTCAAAAACAAAAAAAGAAATGAAGAAACACAACCCGTTTCCCCTCCCCCCAAACCTTCAACAGCTCCCAGCTCTCCCTAAGTGCGGACCTTCCCCAGCCAGGCCCCAGGGGCTGGGGGGCTCTGCCTTCTGCGCAGCTCCTCCTTTCTGTGCTTGCTGTGGGGGACTGATTCTAGTCCCCCTCCCCTGTGCTTGCTTCACTTTGTGCTCCAAGTGGGAATCCTGCTGCCGGGGACACCGCTCCTCCTCCTCTTCTCCTATCCTCTCCCTACTGGCTCCTCACTGTGCCCTCTGGGGGGCCAGGAGTGAGAACCAAAATTGGCCTCTCTCTGCCTCCCCAGGACCCGGCCAAAAGCCAGGTGGCACTGCCAACCGCCTCTGCAGGGCAGGCAGGGCGTCCAGAGGCCAGGGGCGCTGGCTGGATGGTCAGGCCTCGGGGACCTTCAGACATCTCACCAGGGTCACCAGAGCCCCATTGAAAAACTATGTCTCATCGTTTCCTGGGAAAACCCTCAAATCACCAAGAGGATGACTGAAGGTCAAGTCACCCCACCTGTGGGTCCCAGGTGTCTTTGGTGTGTTCATTAATTTTTTTATTTTCAGATGTTACATTTATCTTTCTTATTTCTGTGATTTTATTCTAGTAGATATAGCTGAATGCACATTAATAATTATTGTAACAATCACATTCTCATTTTGTATTTGAATTTTCATATTTATTTTAAGATTTTAATTTTAATATAAAATATTTTTCTACAATTGTCTATTTTCCATTTTTGTGAGATAAAATTAGCATATACAAAATGCACAGATTTTCCAGGTACAGTTAGAGGGTTCCAGGCAAATGTGCACATACTTGTCTACAGCAGCTAAGTGAGGGTGAGGAACAGGTCCATCTCCCCACAAAGTGTCCTCTTCAGTGCTTCAAGTTAGTTCTCCCATAAGGATTTTTTTTATTTCAACTTTATAATTTAGAAACAGAGGGTTCATGTGTGGATTTGTTACATGGGATTATTGGGTGATGCTGAGGTTTGGAATACAGATTTCATCACCCTCTCCCTCCACTGTCTAGCAGTCCACAGTGTCTGTTGCTCCCATATTTATCCATGTGTGCTCAATGCTGAGGTGCCACTTAGGAGAATATGTGGTGTTCAGTTTTCTTTTCCTGAATTAATTTGTTTAGGATTAAGAACTCCAGCTCCATTTGTTTTGCTGCAAAGGACATGATTTCATTCTTTTTTATGGCTGTGTAGTATTATACATTTTACATATACCACATTTTATATATCCACTCTACCATCGATGTGCATCTGGGCTGATCTTTGTCTTTGCCACTGTGAATAACACAGCAATAAACATACACACACATGTGTCTCTTTGGTAGAATTATTTGTTTACCTTGTAGTGTATACCATGTAGAAGGATAGCTGGTTCATATAATATCTCTGTTTTAAGTTCTTTGAGAAATCTCCAGTCTGCTTTCCAAAGTGGGTGGACTAATTTATATTCCCATTAACAGCGTGTAAGTGTTTTCTTTTCACCACAGCCCCATCAGTATCCACTGGTTTTTGACTTTTTAGTGATAAAAATTTGAGTGGTGTGAGGCTGCACACCTACAACCATATGATATTTGATAAGGCTGACAAAAAAGCAAGAAATGAGAAAGGAATTCCCTGTTCCATAAATGGTACTGGGACAACTAGCTAGCCATATGACAAAGATTCAAACTGGATGTCTGCTTTCAACATATATAAAAATTAACTCAAAATTGATAAAAGATTTAAATGTAAGACATCAAACTATAAAAATCCTTGAAGACAACATGAAAATACTCTTCTCAACACCAGCTTTGACAAATACTTTTTGGCTAAGTATCCAAAAGCAATTGCAACAAAAACAAAAATAGATAAGGAGAGACTAATTTGCTAAAGAGTTACTATGCAGCAAACCAACCAGCTAACCAACCAACCAAACAAACAAACAAACAAAACTATCAGCATAGTGAGCAGACAACCTACAGATTGTGGGAAGTTATTCACAAATGTTGCATCCAACAATGCCCTAATATCCAGAATTGTATTAGTTGGTTTTCATGCTGCTAATAAAGACATACCCGATATTAGGCAATTTATCATAAAAGAAGAAGAAGAGGTTTGATCCACAGTTCCACAAGGCTAGAGAGGCCTCACAGTCATGGTGGAATGTGAAAGGCACGTCCCATATGGCAGCAGACAAGAAAAGAGAACTTGTGCAGGAAAATCCCCCTTTATAAAACTATCAGATATTATGAGACATTCACTCTCAAGAGAATAGCATGGGAAAGACCCGCCCCCACGATTTAATTATCTCACAGGGGGTTTATTCCACAATATTAGGAAATTACTGAAGCTCCAATTAAGATGAGAATTGGGTGGGGACACAGTCAAATCATATCATTCTGCCCCTGGCTCCTCCTAAATCTCATGTACACACATTTCAAAATGGATCATGCCTTCCCAACAGTCCCAAATTCTTAACTTATTTCAGCATTAACTGAAATGTCCACATTCCAAGGCCTCATCTGAGACAAGGCAAGTCCCTTCTGCCTATGAGCCTGTAAAATCAAAAGTAAGTTAGTTACTTCCTAGACACAATGGGAGTACAGGTATTGGGTAAATAGAGCAATTCCAAATGGCAGAAATTGGCCAAAGCAAAGGGGCTAAAGGCCCTGTACAAGTCCAAAATCCAGTGGGACAGTCAAATCTTAAAGCTCAAAAAAGATCTATTTTGACTCCATGTCTCACATCCAGGTCATGCTGATGTAAGTGTTGGGTTCCCATGGTCTTGGGCAGCTATATGCCTCTGGCTTTGCAGGGTACAGTCTTTCACCCAGCTGCTTTCACTGGCTTGCTCTGAGTGTCCATGGCTTTTCTAGGTGCATGGTGCAAGCTGTTGGTGGATCTACTATTCTGGGGTCTGAATAACTGTGGCCTTCTAATCATAGCTTCACTAGGCAATGCACCAGTGGGGACTCTGTGTGAAAGCACACACCCCACATTTTCTTTCCTCGCTGCCCCTAACAGAGTTTCCCATGTGGGCCCCTCCCTGCAGCCACCTTCTGTCTGGACATCCAGGCATTTACATACATCCTCCGAAATCTGGGCAGAGGTTATTAAACCTCAATTCTTGACTTGTGTGCACCTGCAGGCTCAACACCAAATGGAAGATGCTAAGGCTTGGGGCTTTCACCCCTTGAAGCCACAGCCTGAGTTGTATGTACCTTGGCCCCTTTTAATCATGGCTGGAGCAGCTCCGATGCAAGGAACCGGGTCCCTAGACTGCACATAGCAGAGGGACCCTGAGCCCAGCCCATGAAACCATTTTTTCCTCCTAGGTCTCTGGCTTACGATGGGAGAACCTTCCACAAAAGTCTCTGACATGCCCTGGAACATTTTCTGCATTGTCTTGGTGACCAACATTTGGGTCCTCATTACTTATGTAAATTTACGCAGCTGGCTTGAATTTATCCTAAGAAAATGGGATTTTATTTTCTATTGCATTGTCGGGCTGCAAATTTTCTGAACTTTTATGTTCTACCTCCTTTAAAACTGAGTGTGTTTAACAGCACCCAAGTCACACCTTGAATACTTTGTTGCTTAGAATTTTTTACTGCCAGATACCTGGTATCATCTCTCTCAAGCTCAAAGTTCCACAAATCTCTAAGGCAGAGGCAAAATGCCACCAGTATCTTTGCTAAAGCCTAACTAGAGTCAACTTTGCTCCAGTTCCCAACAAGTTCCTCGTCTCCATCTGAGGCCACCTCAGCCTGGATTTTATTGTTCACATCATTATCAGCATTTTGGCCAAAGCCATTCAACAAATCTCTAGAGAGTTTCAAACTTTCACACATTTTTTTCTGTCTTCTTCTGAGCCCTCCAAACTGTTTCATCCTCAGCGTGTTTTCCAGTTCCAAATTCGCTTTTATGTTTTTGAGTATCTTATCAGTAGCACTTCACTCAACTGATACCAATTTACTGTATTAGTTGCTTTTCATGCTGCTGATAAAGACGTACCTGAGACTGGGCATTTACAAGAGAAAGAGGTTTAATAGACTCACACTTCCACGTTGCTGGGGAAGCCTCGAAATCATGGCAGAATGTGAAAGGCACATATCACATGGTGGCATACAAGAGAAGAGAGGACATGCAGGGAAACTCCCCTTTATAAAATCATCAGCAAGAGAGGAGAACTCATGCAGGGAAACTCCCCTTTATCAAATCACCAGATCTCATGAGACTAATTCACTATCATGAGAATAGCATGGGAAAGACCCCCCCACCATGATTCAATTATCTCCCACGGGGTCCCTCCCACAACACATGGTAATTATGGGAGCAACAATTCATGATAAGATTTGTGTGGGGACACAATCAAACCATATCAAGAATGTATAGGAAACTTAAACAAATCAAGAATCCAAAGACAAATAACCCCATTAATAAATGGGCAAATAACAAGAACAGACACTTCTGAAAAGAAGACTTACAGGTGGCCAGCAATATTTTAAAAGATTCTCATCATCACTAACCATCAGAAAAATGCAAATAGAAAAATGTTCTAATTTTTGTCACTATAGGTTAATTTTTTCTGTTTTGAACTTATTTTTGCTATTTTTTAGGTTTATTTATGTAATTTCATGTCTCAAGGTTTTGTCATCATATATATACATATGTACGTACTAATACACATATGAATATTTCATATCTGAATCAATCCATAACATCAGTAAATGACAGTTTATTAAGTAAATAAATCAGTTTATTATGTGAAATAATGACAATATGTATATTTGTTTTCCTGTTGATGAAATTTAAATTTCTTTCCAACATAAATATTATAAACAAACTGTTATAACTATTTTCGTACAAGTTTTTCTGTTTATATTCTCACATATTGATAAAATACATAGAAATATAAGTATGCATTTTTTTATTATAAGACTGAGTTACATTTTCAGCTTTATGGAGCTAAAGTTGACAAATAAAATTGTATGTATTTAAGGTACACCAGTTGATGTATTGATATACATGGGAAAATGCTGGATGATAAATAAGTAAACAATGCTAAACAGCACTAATTATCAGGGAGATGCAAATTAAAACTGCAATGATATTTCTTAAACCAGTCAGAATGGCTACTATTAAAGAGCCAAAAATAACAGGTATTGGTGAGGATTGAAGGCAAAAGGAACGCTCGGACACTTGTGGTGAGGATGTAGATTAGCACAGCCTCTATGGAAAACAGTATGGAGATTTTTCAAAGAAGTAAAAGTAGAACTACTTTGATTCGATAACCACAAATAACTACCTAAAGGAAAAATAAATCATTATATCAGAATGATAAGCCGACTTTTGTTTTCTTGCAGAACTATTCATAATAGCCCAGTCATCAAACTTAGGAATTAACCTATGCCTAACAACAGATAATTTTATAAAGAAAATGTTACATATATATACATTTAAATACTATCCAGCCATATGAAGGAATGCAATCATATCTTTTGCAGCTACATGGATGGAATTCATCATTATTTTAAGTATAATAATTGAGAAACAGAACATCACACACCACATGTTCTCACTTATAAATGAGAGCTAACTCATATGTGCACAGGGACATAGAGAAAGGAATGATGGACACTGGAGACTCAGAAAGATGGGAGAGCAGAAGGTGGGAGAATGGTGAGAAATTACTTAATGGGTACAATGTACATTATTTGGATCATGGATACATTAAAGCCAAGACTACTATGCAATATATATATGTAACAAAATTGCAGTCACTCCCCACAAATTTATACATATAAAATAAAAACAAATATAATTAAAACATGATTAGTAACAGTTGATCAACAATACTGAAAATTAAAATTGTGACCAATAAATGAAAATAACGTTAGTTGAACTTCAAATTTTAAAACATTTTCTACTCAAGTGACTATCAAGAAAATTAAGGACAAGCTGCAAAGGAGAAAATATTTGCAAGTCATATATCTACCAATGTAATTATAATATGAACCGGCAAACCTCGAAGATGTACAGATGACACACCAGCATATGAATGTGATTTTCCACTAGAGAACTGCAAATCAAGACCAAAAGGAGACACTACCATAGACTTCCTAGAAAGACAAAAAATAAAGAAGAAATACTGACAATATCAGCGTCGGTGAAGAAGTCAGTCACCCTAGAGACTAATATATTGCTAGTGGGAATGCAAAATGAAACAGTTTCTGGGAAAATCATTTACAGTTTCCTATACAATTAAACATGTCCTTAATCCATGACCTAGAACTCTCACTCCTAAGTATGTCCTACAAAGGATTAAAATCATATGTTCACACACATGTATTCAGATGTTTAACATTGTGTGTGTGTGTGTGTGTGTGTGTGTGGTGTGTGTATGTTAGAAACTAAAAACAACATGAATGTCTTTGAAAATTTGACATAAAGCATTACAGGTGAACTCCAGACTTTCTTCTGAGTGACAGAAGGCCTGCCTGAAAGATCCCCAGAGACACAGTTGTGGATTTCACTGTCACCCTCGCATGTCATTGGTTTGGGCTGGGCTCTCTCTGTCTCTTCCCTGACCAGGACCAGATGTTGAGCTCCACTACTTGCAGTTGGAAGTTTATATTTTCAACAATGCACTGAGGTCTAAGTTGCTCTACAGATGGAACCAAACAAACATGGGCGCCTTTGAACAAACAGTGCCTGACATTTGTACTGATCCCAGGAGAACTCTTCCCAGCTCTCTTTCTTCTTGGTTCTCTCCTGCAGGCCAGCAGCCCTGCAGTTTAGCCTGGATCTCCCATGCATTCACCCATCTCCGTCCAAGTGCATTTTACCACAGCCTCCACCGTTTTTGAAGCAACTCTTGGGCTTTGTAATTCTCCACACTCTGTTGTAAATGAAGTCAGGTCCTTCAAGACCAGATTCGGGACTCTATTTTATGACCAAATTTCAGCCTCACCCCCGCTCCTGAGACAGAGCTCCAAGATAAGATTCTGCAGGTGGAGATTAGGAGTGTTTTTCTTCTTCAAGGTAGGAGCTGAGTGCTCAGTGCAGGGTTGGGGAGAAACTTTCCACTTTATCAGCATGCAGCTCCTGCTGGGGTAGACCTTCTTCCATAGAAGCAGGGTTGGGAACCAGGGGGCCAACGTCTTCAGTGCTGCTGCACCCAGGGCAGAGCCTTCATCCATCAGTGAGGCTGTGTGGAAGAAGTGAGTCTCTGGTTCTCAGTAGCTCTTGTCCAGAACTGAGCCTCAGCAGCATGTTCTGTCGGCCCCAGTGTCCTGGCCCCTAGGGAGCAGCATCCTAAAATGGGAGCTAGCATATTTGAGAATAACAACATCTACGCATTCAGAAGCTCTTTGGTTTTCTTTCCAGCTAATATAATTTCCTCTTTTTTGTGTAGCAACCTGTACACATGCATACTGATGCATAGAGACCTATGACACTTTTTTCTCGATAAGTAAAAAATTATTGGTCACTGTGATCTTTTCTCCAAGTTCACCATTTCCCTGAAGGTGAGCACAGGTCCTTCTGCATGTGTTCAAACAAAAGGCCCAGAGACTACCTGGTAAGTGAGGTGCTCACCTGGTTCTGGATGTTTGGTCTGTCTCCTCCCCTCTGTTGCCCCACACAAGGTCAGCCCACTCTTTCCAGGTCCGAAGAAGAGAGCACAGTTTTGTCCTGATTATATGACTCACCCAGCTTCTGATGATTCTCCTGTTGCCAGCGTCCATGGAGGCAGATTATTTATTATGTAATTCACTAAACTAATATCAAATAACAAAGCTGTAATGCCCCACACCCAAAGGTATGTTCATGCAATTCAGTGGAGGAGAGGGCCTTTCAGAGATAGAAGGATCGAGCTAGATTGGTCAATATATGAATGAGGACACTAGACTTGATTGTCGTTGTCCTGCCCCGTGTCACAGGTGTGATCTGTCAGGGCAGAAGCAGAGTTCCTTGTGTGCTCAGATGAGAGGGGTCACGGAGGTTCTCTCTGGTTCCCAGGAAAGGTAATTGCAGTAATCTTGGTGATGAGACTATTCTCCAGTGCTGACCTATTATAGAGTTTGCATATGAAATTGTCACTGCAATCCCCAATCTACATCTTTTAACACGGAAGTGTACAGAGGTCAGGCCACATCCTCAGGATCACACATTAAGGAGAATGGAGATCTGCCCCATTGCTTTCTCCTACGATCTCCAATAGATCTCAGGATTCAAAACGACTCAGAAGGAAAGGTCTCAGGTGCTTCTGTTAAAATCACCCACTTCCTGGGACCGGAAGTTTCCCTCTAACCACGATGGATAAAAATAAATCACACTCCTGATCTTTTCCACATCCAAAGATTCCTGAAGGCAGAGCTGATTGATATCCTCACAGATAGACTACTGCCTTTCAGAGGTGAACTTGGTATTCAAGTTCCAGCAATTCTGAGAATTCAAGGACACCTCCATCTCTCCACTACTTTGCACCTCACCTAAAAACAGCTCTCTTGTTAGAGTGTCTTGTTTCCTGATGTAAATACATCACAAAATTATTTTCAATAGAGTGAGAAATAAAACCCAAGCCTATTCAAAACACAGATTCCTTGGAAATTATTCTGAGAGCTGGGAGTTCATGAAGAACTCCTAATTGCTATGCCAACCCTTCATTGCTATTGTCAGTCTTATGAGAAAATCAGCGCCAATCACACATCACAGGCCAAATCAGTAAACTAAAAGTCTTCTGTTAAAGATCTTAGGATCTCAGGCAGATGCTGAAGACACTGTCTCAGGAGCACCCAGCTTGTCCATAGGCCCTGCTGGACACTCACATGGGACATCCAGCATTCTCTTTCTCAGAGTCACCAGTGGTCTGTGCGGGTGGCTGATGAGACCAGAATGAGGCAAAGGCATCTGCTCAGTGTCGTAGTGATGGTCCAAGAAATGATCCAGATTGTCTCCATGCTAATCAAATATGGGTTCACTGTGAGGAACGCGTCCTGTGGGTGCTGGTTCTTCAGTGAAAGGACCTCTGTCCACAAAGTGTTTGGAAATGGAGCAGGGCATGCATTTCCTCAAGTGGGATTAGGACTTGGACCATCACCATCTCACTTTTGTATGGCTGATGTGCCATTTATCCTCTCTTTCTTGTCCTGAATCAGGTCTTGAGTTATAAAATTCTCTGAATCATGAATATGCAAATATCATGAGATCCACTGAGATTAAATATGGTTATTCTTGTGCCCTGAGAGCATCACCCAACAACCACATCCCTCCTCTAGAGAAGCTGCTGAGAACACAGCTCCTCACCATGGACTGGACCTGAAGGATCATTTTTTTGGTGGCAGCAGCTACAGGTAAAGGACCACCTACTCCGAAGGATGAGAGGACTCTTTTCAGTCAAAAAGAATTTCATCCACTCCTGTATTCTCTCCACAGGTGCCCAATTCCAGGTGCAGCTGGTGCAGTCTGGGGCTGAAGGAGGAAGCTTGGGGCCTCAGTGAAGGTGTCCCGCAAAGCTCTGGATACACCTTCACCAGCTACGATATTCACTGTGTGCGACAGGCCCCTGGATAAGGGTTTGAAAGGATGGGAGGGATCTACTCTGGCAATGGTAAGACAGGCTATGCACAGAAGTTTCAGGGCAGAGTCACCATGACCAGGGACATGTCCACGAGCACAGCCTACATGGAGCTGAGCAGTCAGAGATCTGAGGACATAGATGTGTACTACTGTGCGAGACACACAATGTGAAAACCCACATCCTGAGACAGTCAGCAATCCTGAGGGAGGTGGCAGCAGTGCTGGGCTTGAGAGATGACAGGGATTTTATTTGCTTTAAAGACTTTTTTTAGAAAGCGAGTTTAAGTCATTGCTGAAAAAAGGAAAATAGAAATGCGTATGGACTCTAATTATGTGGGAAATTTTCCATACAACTTTTATTCTGTAAGCAAAATTCAGGGAGTGGAGAACAAATCAAATTAATAAAACCAATAATAGAATTCCTCTGAAAATATTAGTGCGAGCATAAGTTTTGGAACGGGTGTTGTAAATGTTTTGGAGCACAGCTGCTAAGATCACATTTTAACTCTACACTTATCTCCATTATATAAAATATCAAAATGTTTTAATGTTTTCCATTTTGTGCAATTATAATTTTGTGTTCATGCCAGCAATGCATGATAGATCTTGTTCTTCCGCATCCTCATTGCCATTTGGCACTATGAGTATTGCGTATTTTAACTATTCTAATAGATTAGTAGTGATATCTCATTGTTGTTTAAACGCACATATTTCTAATTAAAATTTTGTATTTAATTATTTCATATAATTGTGATGAAGTGTCTCGTATGGTATGTGGATTATTTTTTATTGCATTGTTTCTTTTTGATCAGTTGTAAGTTTCCTTATATACCCATTATATAAGTCACTCACGAAGTTAACAAAAAATTGATTAACAAATATGTGTTTTACAAGTGTATTCTCCAAATTGTAGTTGTTGTTTTACTCCCATATCAGTGTCTGTGGCAGAAAAATATTTATATACATATGTGTGTGTGTGCATATATATATAGTGTGTGTGTGTGTATGTGTAAACTTACATAAAATAATTATTTCATAGCTCATACTTTCGGCATGATATCTAAAAACTAATTATGAATTCCACTAACAGGATTTTTCTCTTGTCTCTAATCTCAGGCCACAATCACAGCATAATTATTTGAATTTCTCCTATTTAATGAGAAGATTATTAAGATGTTTAGAATTCTTCTGAATGGAAGGTGCCTTTTTTCTAATTTTCTTTATTCAATAATCTGTTAATGTCGGTGTTGGCTCATGAATGTTTATTTTTTACTATGGAGAAGATCTGGTGCTACATTATTTATTTTATCGCTCAAATCACCACAGCTTTTTTTTAGGTTCTGTGAGCTCATTTAGTTTGGATTCTGTATTTTTACAGCATGCCCCATCCTTTTGTTTTTGATCACTTCCCTATTTCCTGGTGTTACAAGAAATACTAAGCTCATTATCTCTATTATCTTTTCTACACATAGAATCAGTTATTTCTCCAAGGATTGCCGGTCCTTGATATTAAAGAATTATATCAACACACAAAATTATGATGTTGGGTGTGTGTGTTGTTAACGTACTGTAAGTGTTTCTAGAATCTCTAAGCTAACAGGCCTAGAAAATGTGTATGTATATATTAACCCATGTTAATGGACCCATCTAATCTATTTATGTATCCAATCTTCTGTATGTTTATTGCCTCAAACTTTAGAACACTGGTATCTACAATCTACTATGATGATACATGAATGTTTCAAGCTTTCCTTCCTTGCCTGTCCATAACCACCTACTGCAAAGTGAGGAACCCCTCCCATCATTTGCCATTCATTCAATTTGTTGTACAATTTAGAATATATGCATCGTGGTATTAGAATTGTTAACTTGTACCCCTGTTGGAAGTATGTTTATTGACTAGAAAAAAGTGTTTAAGTGCAGTTTCTTTATACTTTAGATTTACAGAACACCCTGACTTCTAAGTTATATAGGTGAGAAACTTTATGTGTCACCTTCTTCAGTGAGGTTATTTGAAATATGTTGTATACATTTTATTTGACATTCTGTAAAAGACAAAACTGTAGATGTCATAAATATATGAGGATTTTCTAGAAATTTAGAGAGAGGGTATGCATTAGGAGAAAAAGGTACTGTTTGCAAACAGTGAAACTTTTTTATGATCTGCAGTAGTGAACGCATGACACAATTTGTTAATTCTCATAATTCTATGATGTAAACTATGAATCTAAATATATACAACTTATAAAATGATGTAGCACATCATGAACCCCAGGATAAAATGCAGAGTGTACAAAAATAAAATATCAAATACATTTACACCGTGTGGGCAGGGAATTGCATGAGATGCAGGCAACAAAGAATGAAGTAACTTTCCCCATTTGCACATAAGATGTTTCCATTCACAAGAGACTTTTCTTTTATCAGGTTCATGTGCAACCAAGTTTCCCTGCTGACAAGCAATTAATCCAGATGATTCGCATCTTCCTTTGACTGAGAAAGATTTCCCTCAAACTTCAGCTCAGTCCAGGCACACACCGTCTCTGAATGGGCATTTACCATCAGACAATGCCCACACCTGTCCCCACGTGGACCTTTCCCTCAGACAAACGCATCCTCAGGTTGACTCTTCCCTCAGACAAGCACCCCTGTCTTCATGTGAACTCTTCCCTCAGATAAGCACACATGTCCCCACATTGACTTTTTCCTCAGACAAGCACATATAGCTGACAACAAACAGTTATGTGGCAAGATGAGCTTAGGATAGTGGTAATTATGGACTCCAGCTCTGATAGTTTGTAGAAATTGTCATTTTTAAAATTCTAACTGAAGACTTTCCTTTATTGTAGAAGACAGTCCTTTACAGCTCTAATTGCACAGCCTACAGGCAGGAGTCCATTTCCTCTGGGCAAGGTTTATTTTTATTTGTTTACTGTACCTATTTGTTGATAAATATTGATACTATAAAGATACCCTATAGGGGTCCACATACGAGAAAAAAAAGAGTAATGGGCAGATCAACCCTGAACATCCAGTCCCAGGAATCCTTTGACCCTGCCCTCCCTGGAATCCAGAGACAGAGATGGGAAGAGGCCTGCTGAGCAGTGCACTCATGTCCCCAGGGAGAAAGACATGGAAATGAAGCCCCTCCTCTGCAAATGAAAAGTAGCTCATCCCCTGTTCCTGTAGATCCTGGTGAGGAGCCACCCCACATCTGTGCCCTCCTTAGTGTCCACACCATGGGGTCTGTGCTGATCTGGGCTTCTCTTGTCATCACTCTCAATATCCAGGTTCCCCGTGGATCAGGCCCTGCTGTGGCTGCTCAAAGGTGGGGCTGTTCTCAGTCTGTTGCCTCTGTGTTTGCAGAAGTCCCCTGTGACGTTAACTAACGGAGTCAGACAGAGAAATACTACAGACCAGGAATTCTGCCTTTTCTGCAAAGCCTCTGGATTCACTTTCACTGAAAACAGCATAAGCTTGATCCAGCAGGCTTCATGACAGGGGTGGGTGTGGGTAATAACAATAATTCAAATGGAAGTTCTCAGTGGGACTCTCCTTGAGTAAAAAGATGATTAACAATCCTCAAATACACTCAGTTCAGGAGATTCTCTTTTAAGATGATTAACCTGAGAGCTCAGGAAAAGTCCGTGTATTACTTTGAGGGACACAGTGAGGGGACATCTGAGTGAGCTCAGACACCAACCTCCCTGCAGGGGGACAGGAGGGGACTGCCTGGTAGATGCTTCTCAGAACCACCAGGGGGTGCTCAGGACATCAGGGGGCGCTAAGAACCATCAGGAGATGCTCAGGACACCAGGGGGTGCTCAGGACACCATGGGTTACTCAAAACCACCAGGGGGCGCTCAGAACACAAGGGGGCACTCAAAACCACCAGAGGGTGCTCAGAACCACCATGGGGCACTGATGACAAGAAAGGATGTTCAGAACCACCTGGGGGTGCGGAGCCTCAGGAAAACAGCGGGTGCTCAGAACCACCAGGGGGCACTCAGGACACTGGGGTGGGGGTCACTCAGAACCACCAGGGGGCACTCCAGACACGGTGGTGAGGGGTAGCTCAGGATAGCAGGGGTGCTCAGAACCACCAGGGAGCGCTCAGGACACTGGGGGGGGGGGGGTCACTCAGAACCACCAGGGGGCACTCCAGACACTGTGGTGAGGGGTAGCTCAGGATAGCAGGGGTGCTCAGAACCACCAGGGGGCACTCAGGACACTTGGTGGGGGTCACTCAGAACCACCAGGGGACACTGGAGACACCAGGGAGCCCTCAGGACACTAGGGGGAGCTCAGAAACACCAAAGGGCAATCAAGACACCAGGGGGATCTCAGAACCACCAGGAGGTGCTCAGGACACCAGGGGTCTCAGAACCACTAGGGTGTGCTCAGAACCACGAGGGGGCCCTCAGGACCCCAGGGGATGCTCAGATCCACTAGGGGGATCTTAGGACCCCAGGGGGCTCAGAACCACTAGGGGGTTTTGAGGACACCAGGGGGCGCTCAGGACACCAGGGGGTGCTCAGAACCACCAGGGGGTACTCAGGAAACCAGGGGACTCAGAACCACTAGGGAGCACTCAGGACATGAGGAGGCACTCAGAACCACCGGGGACGATCGGGACACCAGGTGGTTCAGAACCACTAGGGTGTGCTCAGAACCACCAGGGGTGCTCAGAACCCCAGGGGGGCACTCAGGACACCAGGGGGTGCTCAGGAAACCAGGGAGCAGTGAGGACACCAAGGGGCACTGAGGACACCACTGCTCCCTTAGGAGGCAGCTCCAAATCAGTTCCCTGAGTGGGAGCAGGGAGGAGGGTTCCTCTTGTATCTTGCCACTAACATGGTGGGAGTTTTTCTGCTTCCTTTGTGGTTTCAATCATTGGCAGATTCTTCGGTATAAAGCAGAGCAAGTATAAAGCTCTGCTTTCTTGTATTGTGTCATGTTTTTGGCTTTGGATGCTACCAGAATTACATTGTACTTTGAGAGGATTCATTCATGGTGTGTGCAATAGTGAATGAAAGCGGTAATTTTAGGGGTGGCTTTGAAAGCTATGTTAGGTGTGGCTGAGGGCAGTTTACAGGAAATGGTCATCACTATAGAAGGCTACTCATTTCTTTGCACATTTGCATAAGCAATTGTACTTTATGAATTAAAAACTGCATGTTTTCTTGGCCCTTTTTCTTAAATGGTCCCACTCTAAGGGCAGTAATGTAATCAAGCTGTGTTTCAAAGACCTCCAATCAAGTTAAGTCTGTTTAGTGAAATGCTTTGTAAAGAAAATGTACATCTATTTTTTAGAGTCACCTTTACATTTTACATTGCTTTACAAATATTAATTTGGTAAATTTAGACTCATAATTGTCTTCAGTAATTTAAAATCTTAAACTGATGTCATGTTAAATTAAGTAATCCTAGGCTTCTCACTGTGAATTAGGGTTACTAAAAATTAGAATAGTAAGAGAGTATAATCAATTTATGGTGAAGTTTATAAAGAAAGATGAGGATATGTTTTTGGCTTAAAAATATTTTGTTTTCCAGTTTACAGGGCCTTTCTACTGGTTTTAAGATGACAACCACTGTTTACATCTAACCCTTTTTTGTTGAACATCTGTTGAGTTTGTATTGATATTCCATAGCTAGAGTTTTAAAGTAAAAGCTCTAGTATCTTTGTATTAGTGTGAATGTGTGCTTGTATCTATTATGTACATATATATATATATTTTTGTTATGTGTTATGGCTACAAGGTACAAAATTGACTTTAAAATAAATAACTATTTTAAATTAAGTCAATGAGCCCTAATGCATCTGAAGTACATGTAACTTAAATAAATATGTAATAAATAAGCTGGCTTCAAAATTATTGGTAAAATAAAATTAGAAATATTTTAACAATTATCAGAATACCTTATGGTTTATATCAATTGATCAAGTGATTTTATATTTAAAATTGCAACTGGATGTTATATGGTGTGAAACATTTCTATGAAGATTATAAAATTATTAACCAAGTTAAAACCAGAATGATCTTTGTAATTTGACAAATAAGATGTTTAATATTATTGTTTTAATAAAAAACAGGTAAATAGTTATTGGAAATACAATCATTTATTTAATAAGAATTTTACTTAGGTAAACACCTGAAATTCATGGGTTATAATATGGATAACAGGGAAAAAGCTTTAAAGGATGAGTATTATAGTTTTCATAAATGATCTAGGTAAGCTATTTAAAAAATAAATTAAGTTAATGTAACAAAATAAACCTTTTAAATAAACTTGTTCTACAATTTAAAAATCTAAAGTTTAATTAAATAATAGATATTGACTAAATGTTTAGGTCATTGCTAATCGTTTTAAAAATGTATACTAAAAGAAAATATTTTTGTAAAATATTTGTTCTTACAAAAAGATTTTATTTAATTCAGAGGTTACTTATAAAACATCCTAAACATAACCAGTAAATAAGAGAGATGCCACTGCACTCCAGCCTGGGTGAAAGAGCAAGATTCTGTCTCAAAAAAAAAAAAAAAAAAAGAAATTTTTAGACATAGAGGAGTACTTTTGGTATGAAAGGTTAAAATAAAAAAATAAAAATAATTTTATATGAGAAAGAATCTTGTATGGCAACTTTTTATCCTAAAATAAAAATGACTTTATTTAAGAAAGAGTGATGTTTAGAATAAAACTATATGTTCAAGTATGCCATAAGCGTTTTTTGTAAGTCAAACTAAGGTTTGTAAAAGTTAATTTATTAAAATAACTTCATATTATGAAGTTGACTATAATTAAAAGGGAAGTATTTATAATAGTCCTTATAGATTTGTAGAGATCTGGCTTTCATATAAAAATATATAAATATACTAAAGATTGGTTAGAATGAAAAATTGTCTTAAAGTATTGATTTACTCAATGAAATTATAAGATATTTTAATTTTTTAACCCAAAAGTTTAACTCTTACTGCGTCTTGCCAGTTTTATTCTCTTTTGAGAAGGCTTGAGAGGATCTCAAATTTTTCATGAGCTCATCTAACAATTTTTTTCTTACAGCAGTTAGCCTCTAACAGAGTTAACTTCTAACGTTGTTAGCTTCTAACTGCTATGATTGCCTGATGCTAAAAATCTTTTATATTAAAGTTCTTAATAAAATGTTTTATTTCAATATAGTATTCTGCACTCTTGGGTTTTTTAAAATGTCTATATTTGTCTATGAAACCAAAATCTTCACTTGTAATCCAAGACACATTCTTCCTATGTCTAATTAATCAAATACTTTGTTTCATTAGAGTTGACTTGCAGGTTATCTGATTTCCCTACAGGGAAACACAGTCACACTGCTGAAGGTGTTTTTTTTCCCATTTGGTAAATGGCATAAAACAAATTTTATATTTTCTTGAAATACTTCCTCTGTAGCTGTTTTTAAGTTTTTCAACTACTTAGGAATACTGAGATTTTGAGAAAATATAAATTAATGTTATTACGTTAATGTAACTATCTGCGTAACTTTTAAAGGCCTTGTGCTGCTACATTACTGATCTTTGATTCCTAGGTCTAAAAAGGATACACAACACTTTGGGAGGCTTTGGAGGGTGGATCTCCTGAGGGCAGGAGTTAGAGACGAGCCTGGCCAAAACGGCACAATCCCATTTTAATAAAAAATACAAAAATTAGCTGGGCGTGGTGGCGGGCGCATGTAATCCCAACTGCTTGGGAGCCTGAGGCAGGGAGAATTGCTTGAACCTGGGAGGCAGAGGTTACAGTAAGCCGAGATTGCACCACTGCACTCCAGTCTGGGTGAGACTCTGTCTCAGGAAAAACAAATAAATACAATAAAAATAAAAAAGACACCGAGTCTTGCTAAATTTTAAACTCTGACAGCAATTGAAGCCCCATCTAGACATGTGGAAGAAAATGACAATAAAAATTAATCACACACTTAAGACACAAGGCCAGAAATTGAATCTACTCAACCACTCCTGGCCCAGGGACTGTTACAGAAGAAGTGGTTTGTAAGATTGTAAAAGCTAATTTTGAAAGATGAAATTACTTGAAAGTTTCTTTATACAGTAAACATTAATTGACAAGGGTTTCTTGAAGAATTAATCCACTTTTTAATTTGAAAAACTTATAAAAGTTTATAAGAGATCATTTGAAATTAAATTTTATGGTAAAAGTAATTATAATGTAATAGATTTATTTTTCGGAATTGAGAGACAGTTTTAACTTCTCTCATGCTGTTCTTATAAGGGGTTATTGTTTAGAAAATTAATTCTTCTCTTTGAAAAATAAAAGTTTTTGCTTTCTTTCAAAATCACTGAGTTCTCACTGGACTAAATAAATAACTTACATTACAACAATCTGTAATCCTATTTTGTAATATCAAACATTGTAAACTTTTGATATTTGACAAACTTCACAAAATAAAATTCTAAATGCAGTCATTTGACCTCATTATTCTTTTCTGATATTAGGTCCCCAAAGCCAAAATTAAACTTATTCAGCTTATTTGGTATAATTAAAATATGCAGGGAGCTACGTCAAATTTGCAAAAGTGTTTTAACATTGGACTATATTTAAATAAATGTGGACTATATAATTGGACCATATTTATATAAATCAAAGAGCATATTTTCCAAAATTGTATGAGATCCAAGTGATTTGATATGTCTTAGTATATTTTATCGGTAGTGTTTATGATTATTATGTAAAATTTCTGTTTATTGCGGAAGTAACCAAATTTTCCCCTCAATTCTGCCTTTAACCATGGCTATTCGAAAACTTCAGTCATCCACAGTTGGTGTTTTACTTTGATTCTTTATCAAGTGGCTTATAATAATCTATAGAATTTTGAGGAGTACTCTTAAATATACGATTGTGACAATTTTATAAATTGTGCCATTGGTATAGAGATTAAAACTTCCAAGACTCTCATTGATACCTGATTGATTTCTGATGATTGTTAATCTAATATTAAGCAGGACAGGACTTAATTGCATGAACTGAATTGACAGAAGACTGAAATTATTTTTATGGCTTATTCTTTAAAGCATTTGCTAATTACTTATGTTCTGTTTTTTCAGAATCAGGAAAAGTTTGTCTTTTAAGCTATTCACAGTTGTTAACAATTGAGTATGGTATACTTTATTAAGAAAAAAATAAAAACATAATATCTTCTTATATACATAATTTCTCCAAAATTTGGAAACTGTGAGTATTCTTATATCAAAATAGTTATTTGCATAGGTTCAATAAAAATCTGCTTTCTTCCATAACAGGGCACAATTGGAGACAATGGTCATTTTACTAAGTCTTTAACTTGAATTATATATTTTCATATTTACTTTATAAAATGAATCTAACCTGGAGAGCTGATAAAGCCCCTTGGGAAAACTGGCATGTACCTTTTTTTTTTTTTTTTACAGGGCCCTGAACTGTAGTAAGTAAACAATTTAATTTCTGACAGACCCAGGACTCCCAAGTTTTCTTGGAAACTTGAAAAAAGAGAAAGTAACCCAATTCACATAGCTATCTGGTGGCACAGATAAAATATTGACTGGGCTTGAAGATTTTAAAGATTCTACCCTTTGACTCCTTACAAAAAATTTCTAGCAAAGTCAATTTATGAATAAAATTGCCTATGTACAAACAAAAAATAGAAAACAAAAAAAGAGAGCTAATATGTTAAATGATTATTTTGCTGCCTCTTATACAAAAAAACCAGGCCAAGTCTCATAAGCCTAAAACTGATTTTACAAATAAATTGGTCCTACTATGATTTTGTCTCGAATAAAATTGGGGAATTATAGAGAGAAATATTATTTCAAAATAAACTATAGTGCATCAGTTAATAGATTTTAACCTTGTCCACTCGCTTTTCAATTTATATTATCTTCTACAATTTGGACTGAATTTTAAAGTGTATCTTTGCACAAGTCTCCAAAATAACGTTTTCAATTATTTCCCTTTTTAAATATTTTTCCTAACTTGAAACCAGCAGAAGTTAAGCTGTGCTTTCTTACAGCTAGACAATGTAAATTCTAAAGAAAATAAAATCAATGATATGGTTTGGCTCTGTGTCCCTACCCAAATCTCACCTTTTATTGTAATAATTCACACATTGCAAGGGTGGAATGAGGTGGAAATAATTGAATCATACGGGCTGTTTTCTTCCTGCTTTTCTCCTGTTAGTGAGTGAGTTATCACAAGATTTGATAATTTTATGAGGGGCTTCCCTCTTCACTTAACACTTCTCTCTCCTGCAGTCATGTGAAATAGCATGTGTTTGCTACCCCTTGCATCATGATTGTAAGTTTTTTGTGGCCTCCCCAGCCATGAAGAACTGTGAGTTAATTAAACCTATTTTTCTTTATAAATTACCCAGCCTCATGTATGTCCTTATAGCAACCTGAACATGGACTAATACAAGCAACTTAATTACATATGAAGTCTCCTTTTGTACCTGCCTATTGTGAAGAGAAAATAAATCTTGAGACCCCAAAATCACTAAGCTAAAGAGAAGAGTCCAGCTGGTGTAATAGGAGATAGAAAGAAATTATTTAGGTAGATAGTTAGGATGAAAGCGTCTCTGGCAAAAACTTTTCTTCTAACAAGAATCAGCTCAAAAATAACTTCTTTTCTAATCAGACACAGTTCAAAGAGATCACTTCTAACAAAGAGCAGCCTGAAAGATCGGGCTGTAAAATATAGATAAACAACTCTGGCAGAGAGGGTATTTCTGTTTGTAATCACCAAAGTTCACATACATAGGATGGGTCCCAATAAAAACACTGGGCCTTAATGAACACATTCCTTTCCTTTTCTGGGGTCACACTGAGCTAGGAAAGCTGTTAGCTTGCACGGGGTTTGGGATGCCCCCAGCTGCAAGGAGGTACCTGGGACCTGGCATGGAAACTCCTCCCTCCTTTTTCAGCACACGCATGGTGGAAGGAGATAAGGAACGTGGAGCAGACCAAGCTAAGTCCCCACCTGCATAATAAAAGCATGAGATGGGGCTGCCAGAGACTTCGCTCTATGCAGATGGCACACCTGGTCCTGTTTTTGCATCCTATGTTGATAAGATACCCTCTCCCCAGTAGCACATTTATAAAAATCCTTACATTTTACTGCAGCACAGCAACCCATTTGGGACCCCTTTCTGTGACAGAGAGCTTTTTTGTTTTCCTTTTACATATGAAATTTCTGCTCCAACCTCACCTTTTGTGTGTCTGTGTCCTTGATTTTCATAGCCACGACACAAAGAACCTTCGGTGATATTCCAGAAAACAAGGGTGTTTTACTGGAAAGGGCTTTGGGCAAACCTGCCTCCCTTTCTATTCAAAGTCATTCCTCTGAGGCCCACATGAGACAGATACATATCTGATTGCTTCCTCTTCAGTATCACTTATGAAAAAATGAAGATTCACTAAGTCTGACTAAATTGTGGATTCAGTGGTAGGCTGATAAAGGACTTAAAACAATGCAATCTACTGTGTCTTATCTACTTCTAAACTGCAAAACCCTCTCTCAATTTGTCCTGTCTTGAAGGAAAAAAAAATGTGCATTTTACATATATTGATTGATGTCTCATGTCTCTCTAAAATGTATAAAAGCAAGCTGTATTTCTATCACCTTGGGCATATGTCTCAGGACTTCCTGAGGCTTGCCATGGGTGGGTTCTTAACTTTGGCAAAATAAATGTATTAGTCTGTTCTCCTGCTACTAATAAAAACATAACCAAGCCTGGGTAATTTGTAAAGGAATGA
This sequence comes from Homo sapiens, assembly GCF_000001405.40. Taxonomy (NCBI): domain Eukaryota; kingdom Metazoa; phylum Chordata; class Mammalia; order Primates; family Hominidae; genus Homo; species Homo sapiens. Next base: position 32,990,507 of record NC_000016.10, read on the forward strand.
GGTTTAATGGACTTATAGTTCCACATGGCTGGGGATGCTGCACAATCATGTCAGGAAAGCAAGGGACATCTTACATGGTGGCAGACAAGAGAGAGTTTGTGCAGGGGAACTCCCCTTGATAAAACTATCAGATCTAATGGGACTTATTCACTATCATGAGAACAGCATGGGAAAGTGCTGACTTACTGCAGGAGAACTACGTAATTTTATATTTCCCTATGTGCTTCTTTTTCATTACACATGTAAATTTTCTTACCATCCAAACTTCCCCTCTACCCAGCTTTTCCTCTGTGTATATTGAAAGCCCTAAAAATCGTCTTTAAGGAATGGCACTAACCACACACAGTTTCTGTGGTTACTTTTATTTTTCTTCCAGGCTGTCCTAACTTTGGGAAAATTAATTTTAATTTGATTGAGATCTGTCTCAGAAACCTTTGGTTTACACTAGGAAAGATCCCAAATTAGGAGCCAATTACTGTAAAAATCAGCCATACCACTCTGCGTGTGTGTGTGTGGGGGGGGTGGTTGGTGTATATGTGTGTGTACATGCATGTTTTCATTTCTGTGGGCTTTAAGCCATGTAGTTCTCTCTGTGAAGATACTTTTTGGCATGACCTTTGAATAGAGAATTGTAAGAGAAATAAGAGGCTCCTATGAATTATCTGAAAGTTTCTGGACTCACCATGGATCTTGACTGTGTCATTGCATCTGACAGTCCCAGGGAAGTGACTCTCTGGTGGTTTCATGAATCTGTGCTTGGGCTCTCCCTGCAGTTTACTGGGTATAGTAATGACAAATCACTGTTTCAAGAGACAATTTCAAAAGCATCAGATGCTGCTGAAAGAGGATTGTGAACCAGGGAACAGCCCTTTCATTCTGGGAGAGCAACATTGGGAGAATATGCTCTGTGAGCCCAAACAGCATCCTCCCCAGCAGGGTGAGGGCAGAGCTGCAGGGCAGGCCCAGAACCCACTCAACACAGACGTCAGCCCTGAGCTGGTGCAAAAGAGTCTGAGGAGAAAATTTTACCAGCATCTGAATTACACTTATTTCAAACAAAAATGCATGTCCTGTGAGTGTTTGTTTCACTATTAGAGGAGTTCTGTACTCATGAAGTTCTGGACATGCCAGCGGACAAATATCAGTAAACAAACATCAGAACTTGAACCTCAGCTTCCCACTGTTGCATTCTCCATGTGTCATCTCTATTATTTCTCATGCTAGATCAGGTATTTAGCTATGAAATATTCCAGTTAATTAACATGTAAGTAGCTTGAAGTCTACTGAGTTAAATACATATATTTTCTCCTGTTTTTCCCAGGTGTTCCCTCCCACACCTCCAATAGTCTCCACTATTATCATCGTCTTCTAGATCTTCTGCGATGCCCTGGAGATTAAGGATTTGATTCCATGACAGAGAGGAGGTACATTTCGATGGAACTTTGGTGAGAACCTTGGTTTTTATCCCATTTCCTCTGGGGCTCCACCAGTGCCTCTGGAATCATGGTTTCAGTGGCTTGCCCCTGTATGGTAGGTAATCCCTTTATTCTGTAGTGCTGATGAGGGAGGTGGGTCTGAACGCATTTCGGTAGTATGGGCTCTCCTTCTGTCTCAGACAGACACTTTGGGAAAGGAAGATTTTTCTGAGTGTCCTCATTCTAGAACAAAGGGATTCAATTGCATAGGAATGCGGATAATAGAAAACCTTCAGCCAAATTAAGGTTAATGAGATTAATTGAGCAATGGATGATTCATGAATTGGGCAGCCCCCAGAATCGCAGCAGATTCAAAGAGACTTCAGTGCAGTCACGTGGTGGAAGAAGGTTTATAGATTAGAAAAATGATGTACAGAAATCAGAAGTGAGGTACAGAAACAGCTGGATTGGTTACAGGTTGCTTTTGTCTTATTTAAACAAAATGTGCACACTCAAGAGTGTATGAGTGGTTGAGGTATGGCTGCTGGAATTGGCCAAGACTCCGCTATTGTTACAGGCTCACGCTCTGAAGTTGGCTTTTCAATCTTGTCCACCTATTCAGGTAGGTTACAGTTTGTCCAGAAGGACTCAAACACAGAAGTACGGAGTCCTTCTCAGGCCATATTTAATTCACTTTATCAGTGCCCTTCAGTATGTGGTTCCTGAGAATTTTACATGACAACACGTTTACCACACTGGAATTTAAGCAATCCAACACGTTTGTAGCTTTGTCTTGTTTTATTTATTTATTTTTTTATTTTTTTGAGACGGAGTCTCGCTCTGTCGCCCAGGCCGGACTGCGGACTGCAGTGGCACAATCTCGGCTCACTGCAAGCTCCGCTTCCCGGGTTCACGCCATTCTCCTGCCTCAGCCTCCCGAGTAGCTGGGACTACAGGCGTCCACCACCGCGCCCGGCTAATTTTTTGTATTTTTAGTAGAGACGGGGTTTCACCTTGTTAGCCAGGATGGTCTCGATCTCCTGACCTCATGATCCACCCGCCTCGGCCTCCCAAAGTGCTGGGATTACAGGTGTGAGCCACCGCGCCCGGCCTGTAGCTTTGTCTTGTAATAGGCTATATTTCATGTGGCAGCCTCGGCCTCAGTTTAGCTAACACTATGGCTTCATTTCTCTCTACAAGAACTCATTTCTTTTAAGATTTCCACGTTCCTGAAAGGAAAATAAACCTTTGGGACCACCAAATCACTAAGCCCAAGGGAAGTCAAGCTGAAAACTGTTTGGGGCAAATCCACCTCCATTATTTCACTAAAATGATAGCTACTACGGTTTTTAAAAGCTACAGACCTCCTTCAAAATTTGACCACAAGTAAAATCCTTGTGGGCCAAAGACAGACAGAGTCATTTCTCTGCTCATGTAAGTCAAATGCATATCTGATTGCTCCCTTTGCTCTATTATTTCACTAAGCCAGATTAAGGCCTACGTGACTATTCCTGTAAATTGTGCATTCAGTTAAAGGCTAATCAGAAACTCAAATAATGCAACCATTTCTCTCAAACCTACCTATGATCTAGAAGCCCTCTCCCCACTTCAAGTTGTCCTGCCTTTCTGAACTAAATCAATGTACATCTTATATACATATATTGATTAATGTCTCATGCCTCCCTAAATTGTATAAAACCAAGCTGTGCCCACAAGCTTGGGCACAAATCATCAGGACTCCCTGAGGCGGTGTCACAGGCATGTCCTTAATCTTCGAAAATGAACTTCCTAAATCTATTGAGATTAGTCTCAGATACTCTTTGGTTTACAAGTTTGTTTTTTGTTTCATAACTTCAATTATTTGACATGCTAAAGAAAATTTGCCAAATAGCACATTCTCTTGTTTATGTGTTATTGTTGCAAAAATAATATATTTTATATATAATTTATCATCTATGTACATTACCAAATTGAGTAGCAGATTTATTAGTAAGACCCAAAGTAATGAAAAGTTTGAATACCAATTAGCAACTTAGAAAAACAAATTATGCTACATTTGTTTGCTGAAATGCTACCTATTATTTATTAAAAAATAAACAATACAACATAAAAGGTTTAATTCTCGGTATTTCTACTGAGAAAAATAAGCCAAATAGATAAGAGTACATACTATATTGTTTCATTCTTATAAATTCTAGAGAATAAAAACTAGTCTAAAGAAATATGAAAACATCAGTACTTTTATAAAGAAATGGTAGAAGAAAAGAGGAGAAAAACAAAAATATGTCTGTAAAAGAGCAAGAGGAATTCTGAGGTGAGTTGACTTGTCACCTTCTTGAAAATAGAGATTTTCTTTATCAAAGTTTACTATTGTGCAGGTTAAATATGTGAATTTTATCATCTGTCAATTAAAACTCATAAAATGTATTACAAGTAAACAAGTGAAATTTTAGACAAAAAAGGGATGATAAGAAGGAACAAATGAATACATTAAATATCAGATACACCAAAAATTTATCTGCCTGATGCCTAGATGTTTCCGTATTTTTAGGTAAATGCAGCAAAATCACACAGGTTCTCGTGGCAGGAAGTGGATTCTGCAAACCACACTAGGCCCATTTAGCTCTGTCCAATAGTTGGTTAAGAGAGCAATTGAGGCCAGCTGTGAGGAGCATAGGCCCAGGTACTAGGACTCACTCATGCCAGATATAAGCCCTTAGACACATACATAGCCCCTCCATGTGTGGGTTCACTTTTACATCTGTAAACGAAGAAACCACTGAGTGCTAAATAACATCATTTATACACATAGGTAAAAATAATTAAAAATATGATAGTTGTTAAATGTTTATCGCACAACAATTTCACATTAAGACAGCATTTTCCCAAACACAATCCTTGTCATCAAAATCCCCCAGGACGCTCTCATCTACTCTGGGCCCTGCCCTCTCCTCAGGATTCCCACCCCATAGCTTGCTATATAGTAGGTGACATGCAAATAGAGCCCTCCCTCTCCTGATGAAAACCAGCCCAGCCCTGACCCTGCAGCTCTGGGAGTGGAGCCCCAGCCTTGGGATTCCCAGGTGTTTCCATTCAGTGATCAGGACTGAACACACAGGAATCACCATGGAGTTTGTGCTGAGCTGGGTTTTCCTTGTTGCTATATTAAAAGGTGATTCATGGAGAACTAGAGATATTGAGTGTGAATGGGCATGAATGAGAGAAACAGTGGGTATGTGATGTGTGGCAATTTCTGACCTTTGTGTCTCTCTGTTTGCAGGTGTCCAGTGTGAGGTTCAGCTGGTGCAGTCTGGGGGAGGCTTGGTACATCCTGGGGGGTCCCTGAGACTCTCCTGTGCAGGCTCTGGATTCACCTTCAGTAGCTATGCTATGCACTGGGTTCGCCAGGCTCCAGGAAAAGGTCTGGAGTGGGTATCAGCTATTGGTACTGGTGGTGGCACATACTATGCAGACTCCGTGAAGGGCCGATTCACCATCTCCAGAGACAATGCCAAGAACTCCTTGTATCTTCAAATGAACAGCCTGAGAGCCGAGGACATGGCTGTGTATTACTGTGCAAGAGACACAGTGAGGGGAAGTCAGTGTGAGCCCAGACACAAACCTCTCTGCAGAATGCTTGGGGGAAATCAGCTGCGGGGGGCACACAGGACCCACTGATCAGAGTCATCGCCAGAGGCAAGTTGCAGATGGAGGCTGGTTTCCTGTCAGGATGTGGGACTTCATCTTTTTAGAGTTTCTCTAGGGAATCTCTCTAAGTTCAGAATTCTGTGCTTACCAATGTCATCTCTACATATTTTTAAAATGATTATTTTAATATGAAAACCTATTCTCCTATGCACAAAACACAGATTGATGCTTACAGAGATGAAAAGCCCTCAACCATTGTCACCAGGATCAGAGTATTGAGGAAACTCAGGGATACCTGGTGAGTCTTCTCCAGTCAGACTCAGGACAGAAACCTCAGTGAGATTCCCTGACTAGGACGGTCTTTAGGAATTGTGATCACAGCCAATAGAGTCTGGGCCAGGGTCAGTGTCGTGTAGAACCTCACAGTTTTCATTCCTGACCCTTCTCCTGACACTAAAGTATGCAACTTAGTATCAGCACTGATCTGGGGCCCCTTTTGCTCTTAGCCCACTCTATTTCTTTTTATTTGTTGTTGTTGTTCTTGCTCTTCCTTGTGCTGTTCGTGCTTCCTGTAAAGTGGGGATGTGGTTCTTGCTGCCAAAGCTCGAGGTCTCAAGCCCATTCCCTGCAGCTGAGGTGGGGCTCAGGCTGTGGCTCCTGCAGCCATGTGGGAGAGGCTGATAGGACTTTCCTCTCTCCCATTGCTCAGCACCCTCCAGTGTGTCATGTGGAGACTCACCTGGGAATGCAAGTGGCCAACAGTAGTGAAGAGGATGAGCTTGTGTGGTCAAAATGGGATGTGGATGTGAAATTTATCCTGTGCTGTGCAAAGTACCACAGAGTGAGTCACCTTCCTCACCAGTAGTGTTAGAAAGAGGCTGTGAAAGTTGTCAGAATCAAAATAGATCCACTTGTGTTAAAACCCTGACAAATGGAACTAGGAATGACCATGAAGGAGGTTTCCCATGCACATACTCCTGATAACAAGAACGACCATGAATGGATTCTGCTTAACCACAACCTTTGATAGAAGCCACCATGACCTTATAAAAATCACATCTACAAGGACATCTTCCCAGCAAATCACTGTTTAACCCTATATTGATGCCAACCTTGGTATTGACTCTACAAGCAAGGAAAATACTCTCAAAACAATTTATGTAACCCACCTCATTTTCACTAATAAACCTATGGATTGACATCCTGGAGTCACTGCTGCATTTGTTGTTAATTGTAATTAGCCCCTTTTACAATGTTTGTGACTGTTTTTCTCCGATGTCTCTTGGAAAATAAATAATTTACAAGTTGATGGCAGTAAAGAAGCTATTTAGGACATTTTTAACATCCTGTTGAATATTTCTGCATAGCACATCGATCCCCTAAAATACTTCGCTGTATTGGCATGTGATAAATCAGAGTATAATGCTGAAGGTAAAATGGAAAATACATGGGCTTTTGATGAATCAAGTCATAGGGTGATATTGTCTTTGCCCTTGAGGAAGCAGACCATGGGCTGTTAAGTTCTAGTGGGAGTACCTTTGGCAAAGGGATTTCATGAGTTTCTGAATGTTATGCTACTTTCAATTTAAGAATGCAACTTGTCATTTATTTTTACTTAAATTTTTCCAGAAGATATTTGGCAGTAAGGACAGGGTAGCATTCGTGTGATACTGATGACTTAGAGAATTATTTTGTAATTTCTCCTGTAAGGTATGCACATTGCTCACTCGATACAGAAGGTCAAATGTCACAGGTGGGAAAATAGGAATAAAGCAAATTTTATTAAATGTCATGACTGTAGTTTTTGGCAAGGAAGTGCTTCATGTCAACCTGAAAACAGACAGACAACAATAAAACATATTCAAACCCACAGGGAGTCAGACCTATGTCCTTCTCTTGTATAAGTACAAGGCCTTGCCACATCCAAACTATCCTTTAGGCTCCAGGGTATAAAATGCTTTTGGACTGTGGAAGCTAACAGCTCTCCCCTCAGGCAGGGCTAAGGTGTCTGGGGAATGCAGAGTTGTGTTCACGAAGAAGATGGCATTATGTCTGTCTTCTCCTGTGACTGGTGACGGCTCCCCCAGGGTGAGTGTCTCAGATGTGGGTCTATGGGGTGAGTGTAGGTACATGTGACTGACAGGGACTGATTCCCCATGTACTCACATGCCCTGTCCCAGGAGCAGCTGCAGGAGTCAGCCCTGGACCTGAAGAGCCTGCACTGCCCCTCTGCATCACCTGCACTGTTTCTGGCCACTCCATCACAACCAGTCCTTACTACTGGGCCTGGATCTGCCGGCTCCCAGGGAGGGGCTGAAATGGGTAAAATGCATTGCTAGAGGTGGTGGGAATCCATTCATCTTGTGGAAAATGGCAGCATCTCTTTATTTTATAAGGCAGAATCATGTTATATTGTGTACACATACCACATTGTCTTTATCCATTTGTCCATCGACAGACACTTAGTTTCCATATCTTGGCTGTTGTGAATAATGCTACAATAATCACAGGAGAGCAGGTATCTTCACAAGGTGGTAATTTCATCCCATTTGGGTATATTTCCATAAGCTGGATCGCTGGTCATATGGTATGTCTGTTTTAATTTATTTAGAAGCCACCACACTGTTTTGCATAATGGTAATGATGGGAATGTAGAATGTCATAGCCACTACGAAGAACAGTTTTAGATTTGAGGTATAATCCAAAAACACATAGTGTTTGATCATGGTTCTCATATGAGGCTCTAATAAACCTAGTGGAAGTCCAGAAAGTTTTCCCACCTTGGGCAAGGATGAGTTTGCCCCTAATTATCTTTAAGGCAGAATATTTGCAGAATGTGAGATGGAGTCTGTTGACAGGATTCAGGATGATTCAGTAATAAATAGTAATGGCACAGAAAAATAGGGAGTTAGAGACATGCAGAGAAAGAAAGAGATAGAGAGAATATGAATCTTGTAAGAGGAAAATCTGCTGGATATCAGTGTTGGGTTTTCATTCACAGAGACATCAGTGTGAGTGAGAAACCATGAATTCAACTGAGGAGTGGAGAACATGTTCAGTCTGAAAATCAGCATATTCTCAGAGGCACCCATTGCCCCATGACACAGGTGGAGAATTTTGGAAACCAGTGAAGTGTGAGTTCACAATAAGTGATGAAGTTATCATTTTTCCAAACTTTCATTAATATGCAAAGTATTTCTATAGATCACTCATGCATATACACACAAAATGTGTTTTTGCATTTATGGATGTCTAGAGAAAAATAAGTGAGAAAATTTTTCCAGGTTGCAGAGATCTGTTTAAGTTGCAGATTCCATAGGAGAGTGTCTTTGAATGAATACTGGTCTATTAATTAAATAGTTCAAAATTCTCTCTGTTGGAGCAGCCTTCCAATTATGTAGATTTCTTTATTGCTTCTTGAGTTGTGAAACATAAACCCAAGGATTGACTTACTGGAATTCGACTGGTGTGTTCATAAAATTTCTGATAAGTTTTCTCCCAATGATTTGAGAATAGCTTTCCTGTTTTTTTACTCAAGGAAATGAATTTTCACAAGGTTTCAGGACATCACATTTCAGGTGTTTTACTTAAAGAGACTCTGCCTGGGTGCAGTCAGCTTTCTTCTAACCATGAACTCACTTCTTCAGCAAACCATTCAGTTTGTGCCTCTATTAAGAATTATGAAGCTTTTAAACTTCAATGCACTGAAAATCATGCCCCTTGAATTAAATGTGGATTGGCACTGACATGAATTGGCCACTCTTGGATATGTATCCTATATTATGGGCTCAACTTATTAGCGGACTGAGAATCCTGCATTAGCTGCCTCTGACTGTGGCACTGACCAGATTGAGAATCCTCAGAGTCATCCATGGAAAAGAGAATCCTTAGGTTCATGGGGTTTTTGGAGACATTCAGGTGAGTGGAGGGGAGAAACAGGACTGGGGGTGGCCAGCCATTTCAACAATACTGGGAATGATTAGCATCTAAGTATAAAGGTCTGCATCACTCAAAACACCCTGCATGACAGGCTGACAGAAAGAAATCCAACCCCACAGTGGCTCCATAGCAACTCTTTAGTATACTTGGTAGTGAAGCTCTTTCAGGGAAGAAACGTCCACTCAAGGGACTCAGTGATGCTTCTCTGAGCTACAATAAACAGTGTATTGGACCCAGGTTTCTCTGAGTTCAATGTGATGATTACACTCAGCTGCTGCTCCAATGAGTTTAAATGAGCATGTGGCAATTTAGATGAGCCTGGCTGTGTGGTATGTTATATGTAAATCTGAACTATGTAAACATAAAGGGCATGTCTGAACTAGTGTGAGGGTGAGAGATCTTAGAGGCCCCACACCTCACACTCTTGTGCTTATTTGCTCCAGGAACCTCCAGGTTCTTCGAGTGAAAATCGACATAGATCCTTTCCTGGATAAATCATCCAAAGACCTAATCTCTGAGAAATACACACGTACATTTCTCCAGATAGACCATCCAGGGGAAAGACATATCTAGAAACTTATCTGTATTGGGTAAGGTAGTCCATCTCCATTACAGACCCTCCCAGCAGCCTTCCTTTATCATGAAAGTGGATAAAATTAGCCGATACTGAAATAATCCTATAATATTATAGCCAGAAAAGGGAAAGCATCAGTTTCATTTCTGGAGACTCTGCATATAGGTCACAGTCCAGAGAAAAAAAGGATGATTGAATTATTAAGAATCAATTGTAAGAACATATAATACTTCCAGGATGCACACTTTGTTTTCTCACCAGTATAATCTGGGTTAAAGATGAAAGTGTGGCAGTGCACAGACTCTATCTGAGGAGGAGAACATAGGGAAACTGAAAGACAATGGCAGAGAAAAAGACAAGGACAGTAGGAAAATCTGAAGCCTCTGACATAAATTTTTTGAAGACAAGGTCTTGGCAAATCCATTGACCTCAGATTCTTTTATCATGGGGCATTTTCAGGGTTCCTAGCTGAGAAAAAATATTCATGCACTTCCCAAGTCTCCACTTGTATTCTGTTTGCCTTAGATCGCTAAGAGAAAAAAGCCATAAACCTAGGCCTAGTGTCTGTGTAGGAGGTGCTTTTATAGGCTAGAAAATAGTAAGAAAGGAGAATATGTGTTATTGGAATAGCATATACAAAGGTGTCTTTATTCTGAATGTATCTGTACCTGCAGATATTCTCAGATGCAACATTCAACTGCAGGAGCCCAACGAAGAAACTAGGCATTCCCCAAATCCTACAAGTTTTTGTATTCATTATGTGTCCACTGATTCAGGAAATGTGAAGCTTCAGAAAAGGGACTCCCTTCTGAGTCATAGAATCTTTTCTGTGGGTATCCCTCAGTAGGTTTAGTGAGGTTAATCAATTGTTAAAAGACATGGTGTCGGCAGCATATGGTGTCACTGGCAGAGAATTCTAAACCAGGACACAGCCACTTCATGCTGGGCTAGAGACTCTGAAGGAAAATATCTGTGAGCCCCGACAGAAACCTCATTGCAAGGCAAGAGCCTGGGTGAAAGGGGGCACTTGGGAGCCACCAAGCACAGGTTCCAGCCCTGGAGCAGGTGCACAGCTGGGGTGGAAGTTTCCTCTCAGGGCCTGGGTTTTCCTTTGTCAGGAAAAAACAATCTAAAATAACTGTTCAAAAAGTCGCTGACGTGCTTTAAATATTCTATCACATCAAAACCATTCATATAACTTAAGGCACTGAGAACTATTTTTTGAAGTGGGTTTCTAGAACTATAATATCTTAGTAGTGAGAATATGAAGGATGGGCATGTTTTTACTAATTCTATGGGTACAGATTAGTTGAAGAAACTTCATTCCTATGAATAAGAAATTCAGATTTCAGTGTTAAGTAATGTTGCTTACATTGTATGAGTGACAGGGCAGTAGTGGATCTGAGAGTGTGGCAGGTGCACAGACCAAGTGAGTCAGAAATCAATATGGAAAGGTGAGGGTCTGTGGATATGAACTGAAAGTATGTAAATACTTGACAAAATACTAATAAGTGGAGTTCAAAAATAACCCAAAATTGTTCTAAACACAAATTCCTTGACAATTACTTTGGGAGTAGAGAGTTCATAATGGACTCCAAACTCCTGCTTTATCTTCTTCTGATTCCCATTTTCTGTGAGATGAGAAAATCAGCTCTAATTATGCATCACAGGGCAAATCTGTAAACCAACAGTGTTCAATAGAATTGAAGATCCTGGGGGATCAGGACATGAGTCAGGTGCTGGAGACAGTGTCTCAGGAGCACCCAGTAGATCTCAGAGGTCCCTCCTGGACACTCATGTGGGACATAAGCGTCACTTTCTCAGAGTCACCAATGAGCTGTGCTGGTGCCTGATGGGTCCAGGAAAAGACCAAGGCACCTGCTCAGTGTGATGGAGAGTGATGGTTCCAAAAATGATCCAGGTGGTCTCTATGCTAATCAAATATAGGCTTACAGTGAGGAGCCTGTTCTATACGGGCTTATTCTTCAGTGAAAGGATGTCTGTCCACAAATGTTTGTAAATGGAGCAGGGCATGCATTTCCTCAAGCAGGATTAGGACTTCGACCATCTTCATCTCACTCTTGTAAGGCTGATGTGTCATTTATCTTCCCTTTCTTATCACGGATTGGGCTTTGAGTTAAGAAAGGCTTTGTCTTATGAATATGCAAATATACTGATATCCACTGAGGTAAATATTTTCTGTGCCCTGAGATAATCACCTGAGAGAATCCCCTGAGAGTACATCTCACCATTGGCTGGACCTGCAAGATCCTCTTCTTGGTGGCAGCAGCCACAGGTAAGGGGTTCCCAGGTCCCAGTAATGAGGAGGGGATTGAGTCCAGTCAAGGGGGCTTTCATCCATCCTGTGTCCTCCCCACAGGTGCCCACTTCCTGGTGCAGCTGGTGCAGTCTGGGGCTGAGGTGAAGAAGCCTGGGGCCTCAGTGAAGGTCTCCTGCCAGGCTTCTGGATACACCTTCACCTACTGCTACTTGCACTGGGTGCGATGGGCCCCTGGACAAGGGCTTGAGTGGACAGGATTTTAGTTATTTGAGATATTTTTCATACAACATTTATTCTGCAAGCAAATTTCAGGGATTGTAGAATGAATCACATTAACAAATCTGATACAGAACTTCCTCTGAATCAATCTTTGTAAACATCAATTTCTGAATCAACGTTGTAAATACTTTGGAACACAAGCACAAGTTCACATTTTAACTCTACTTTTATCTCTATTTAAAAAATGCCAAAAAATCTCATTTTGTGCATGTAACGTTTTGAATTCCCACCATCAATGCATGACATTTCTTGTTTTTCCACATTCATGTTACCATTTATCATCATGAGTATTGTGAGTTTTAGCCATGCTGATAGGTGAGTAATGGCATCTAATATTTATTTAAATGCACATGTCCCAAATAAAAAAATTTATATTAAACAATTTTTATATAATTTTTGCTGAGATGCCTTTCCTGATATTTGGTTCATTTTTATCTCCATTGTTTTCTTTTCATTAGTTGTAAGTTTACTTGCATATTGATTATAAAAGTCATTTAACAAATTGAAAGAATTGATTTAACAAATATATGACTTGGAAGTATTTTCTCCCAGTCTGTGGTTGCCTTTTTCTCTCTTATCAGTGGGTATTTCAAAAAATATGTGTGTGTGTGTGTGTGTGTGTGTGTGTGTGTGTGTGTGCACAAATTTAGACAAAAAACATAAAAAATTATTCATTCATAGATCACGTATTTGGCATTATATCTGAAGTCTCATTATAAAATACACTAATAGTGATTATTTATTCCATGTCTCTAATCTCAGGACACAATCAACTCATGAGTGTTTAGCCTTCACCTATTGATTGGAGGAATATCTGCCTGAGATATTTGGAATACTTCTATAAGAAGACGTGTTCTTCTTCCCATCGTTTCTTTGTTTAATCATCTATTAACATCCACATTGGTTTATGGATGTCTGTTTCATACTCTGAAGAAGATCCATGCTACATTATTCATTTTCTTGTTCAAATCTCCACAGCTTTATTAGGTGCTGGGGAGCTCATTTAGTTTGGATCCTGCATCCTTACAGCAAAGCTGATCCTTTTGTTTTTGAACACTTCCCTGTTTCCTGATATTAAAATAGATTCTAAGCTTGTTTCTTTATCACCTTTTTCATACATAGAATTAGCCATTTATATAAAGATTGCTTGTTTCTGATTTTAAAGAATAGTGTTAAAATAAAATATTGTGATAATGGGTATGTGTGTTGTTAATGTGGTATAAGTACTTCTGGGACCTCTCAACCTTCTGTTCTAGTAAATGAGCATGTTTATATGAATCATGTTTATGGACCCATTGAAATTATGTATCTAATCTTCTGTAACTTGATTACATTAAAAATGAGCACACACTGGTCTCTCCACCCAACTATGCTGCCACATGGACCTTTCTAACCTTCCTTTCTTGACTGTCCATAACCATCCACTACAAAGTGAGGAATCCCATCCAACCATATGCCATTTGATTACTTAGTTGCACGATTTCAGGACACATGCATAGCGGTTTCAGAAATGTAATGCTGTACCCTTGTAGGAAACATGTTTATCTACTAGATAGAGTGCTTATGTGTGATTTCTTTACAATTTAAACTTAGAGAACCACCTCATTTTCAAAGTTGCTTACTTCAGGAACCTCATTTTCCACTTTCTTCAGTGAAGTCATTTCAATTGCACTGTATAGTTTCATTTATTTGAAATTCTGTAAAAGTCAAAACTATACTCAGGTAAACAGAGAGGATATTCCAGGAATTTAGAGAGTGGGTGTGAAATAAGTAAAACAGGCCTTGTTTAAGAAGAGTTAAGACTATTTTAGTGATATGCAATGGTTGAGACAAGACACAATTAATTTGTCCCAGCTCATAATTTTGTGATGGACAATATAAACCTAAATATACACAATTAAAAATATATTTAGGAATTCATTAACCCCTGGATAAAATGCAGACTGTACAAAATTATCTAATAACATATTTGGGAGTGTGGGGATATTATGAGATGCGTGCAACAAAGGAGGAAGTAATTTTCCTCATTTACATATAAGATGTTTCCATTTACTAAAGATATTTTTTTGAAAAAAATCAATTTTCTACTTGACCCAGGTTTTCTCTTCCTGATAAGCAAGTAACCCAGAGGATTCCTTTTCTTTCCTAGATTGAGAAAGATTTTTCCCAAACGTCAGCTGAGTTCAGGCATACCCTGTCCCTGAATGCTCATTTACCCTCAAATGGGTACACACACCTGTCAACATGTGGGCTCTTCTGTCAGACAAACACACCTTTACTCATGTGGATTCTTCCATCAGACAAACACACATGTCCCCACATGGACTCTTTCCTCAGACTACCACATATGTCCTTACATTTACTCTTTCCTCAGAAAACAGACATTTCCTCACATTTACTCTTGTCTCAGACAAGCAAACACGTCCCCATGTGAACTCTTCACTCAGATAAGTACACATATGTCCACATTGACTGTTTCCTGACACAAGTCCATGTATCTGATGTTGACATATGTTGCGAAAAGTGATCTCAAGATAATCATAATTATAAACCCCCTCCCTAACAAGGTGTAGATCTGCATTATTTTCATTGTAACTCAACTTTGCCACATGGTCAGGAACAGTGGTTTCCAGCTCTAAGTGTACTGATTACGGAGAGATGTCTGTTTTCTCTGGAAATGTATTTTTATGTTCTTACTGGATGTATTTGATGATAATGTTTTCTACTATGAAGATACCTGAATAGTGTCCACACTGGAGAATAAGAAAGAGTAATTGGCAGATTAACCCTGTGCCTCCAGACCCGGGAATCCTTTGACCCTGCCCTCCCTGAAATGGAGACACAGAGGACAGATGAGCAATGCCGAGCGGCGCACCCATGACCACAAAAAGAAAGACATGGAAATATGTCCCCTCCCCTCCTCATGAAAGGCAGCTCATCCCCTGTTCCTTCAGGCCCTGGTGAGGAGCCATCCCATGTGTGTGCCCTTCCTCAGTGTCCACACTGTGGGATCTGCACTGATCTGGGCTTCCCTTCTCATCACCCTCAGTATTAGTGGCCCTTGTGAATCAGGTCCAGCTGGGGCTGCTCCACATGCGGCTGTTCTCAGTCCATTCTCTCTGTGTTTGCAGAAGTCCTATGTGAAGTTCACTGGTGGAGTCTGAGGGGGAAAAATTGTACAGCCCAGCGGTTCACTGAGCCCCTCCTGCAAAGACTCTGGATTCACCTTCACAGATTGCAGCATCAGCTTGGGCCAGCAGACTCCAGGCCTGGGGTTGGTGTGGGTGGCAACAGGGAGAAATTCAAGGGGAAGTTTTTACATGCACCGTTACGTGCACGGTCTCACTGACATCTTTACTTCTTTTATCATGTTTGTTTTGTAAATCACAAAGAATGGTGCATTCTTCATCTATTCTATACTTGTTAAGTATTTTTGGCATCTTTTAAAAAACTGGTAACTTTATCCTATGTAATATCCCTGTTAAGTCCTAAAAGTCTTTTTTGATGTCTATTTTTTCTTAACTTTACACAGCTACTATAGATTTATTTTGGTTAACATTTTCATAATCCATGTTTTCTCATCTTTAGTTTTTACATTTGTGAATATGTACTGTAATTTTCTAATACATAGCTTCTAGTTGGGGCTTGTTTTTTTAAATCAACTATAGTAAGTTCTATTTTTAAACTAATATTATTTTTCTGTTATCTTGTTTAAATTAGCACTTCACAATGACGTTTATTTCTCTATTAACATATAATCTAATTCACTTTTATAAATATTATATTGTTTACCATAAGGTTTACAATAAGAATTGTATATAATTAGATTGCATAAGAAGTGTATATAATTAGATTCTATAAGAATTGTATATAATTAGATTCTAATGCAGATACTGTGATGGCCTTGATATGAAGAACAGAGACAGTGTAACTGTGTGCTTTGAATTCCTCCTTCTCACCACTCTTTCTTGTTTATTCCCAGTTTGCACTTACATATGCTATAAAATATGTAATTTTTTATTCCTTTTACAGTTATATAATATAGCAATTACAAAGATAAAAACTGCACTTCATCTTGATTTTCTCATTTTGTAGTCTTAATTTCTTCCTATAGGTTTATGTTTTGAATGTATATCACATGGCTACTAGCAGAGAAAGTTTGTTAAAATGTGCACTGAAGCATGAATGTGCTGACAATAAATTGTCTCAAGATCTTTTTTTAATGACAGAATTTTATTTGCCTTTCACTTTTAATGAAAATGTAATGCATGTAGAATTCCAGTTTGCATTTCACTTGTAATTTATTTTCTTGTGTTTATTATTTTATTCATGGAGACGATCACACATTACATTCTGCTGGGCCTTTATTAACCACATTTCTATGAATCTAGTCAGGGTTGGATTTCAAGTGTATGGTTGCCACGGCTATCAGAGTTGAAGTCAGCTTCTCCTGTTCACAAAAAGTTCAGGTTCCTCCAGTGATACCCACTTTTGTGTCCCGGTTTGGCTCTTCCCATTTCTCTCCCCAGAGAGAGCCTGTCTCTTTCATCTGTGGCAGGTGCATCCTGCTGACACTTTTACTTGGTGATTGTTTGTGGGGTGAAGGGGCTTGGACACAGGGGGATGTTCTCCAACCTTCGGACCGAGCCTCCTTCTTAGCTATGGGTGGTGAGAGTGGCTCTGAAGCATGGTCTTCCAAGTGTTCCTGTTCCTTCCCTTCTCCAAGTCAGAGTGTCTCTTCCCAGCCACAGTGGTTTTTCGTCAGTGTCCTCAGCTTCTGACCCACTGTCCTTACCCCACAGACTCAGGACTTCATTCCTCAGGAAAGAGATGGGAGGTGATTCTGGGTAGAGTTTCCTTGGTGTCCTCTGTTTCCTTGTGTTCTAGTTGATTCTACCAGTGCCTGAAGGACACAAGATTTAATAAATGTCTCCCACATATCGTGAAGGGGGATTCAGCATTGAACACAGCTGCTATTCTTCCTCCCCAGTCAACACCACAGGACAGCAGGTGGGTGACTTGTCTGGGATTTCCCCAATTCTGTAGGAAAAGCCTGCAAGTGCCGGGAGTTTCACACTCTCACACCCTTAGCACATACATCCTCAACAACTCATGAAACATTTCCAGGTTAGCTTTTTCCTATCTTCAATACTATACAACGAGTGGCACCTGCTCCAGGTACTCTAATAAATGGACCCTAGTTCTCTCTGCAGGCCCCTATTTCTCAGATTTCAGGGTTTTTTTCTCTGTGACATCAACTCAGATATGTTGAAGCGTTCATTTTTCGTAGTTGTTCAAGTTTCTTATTAATGAGGTCAGAAGAAGATCATTTTCTCAATTTTTTTACATTCCCATGCTTAGTATTTGCTTTCTAAATAAAATTCAGAAACGAAGACAAAATATCAAATATCCACTATTTGGTGCATTGTTAAACAATTTGAGAAATATTCATATACTGAAATACAATGAACAATTGAAATCAAGGCATGCCTCAGTCACATAAGAATGTGAGGACATTATCAAATAATTGTGCTGAGTGTAGGAAGCTAAAGAATTCACAGTAAATCTCCTGTGATTTCATTTGTATAAATTGTAGAAAATGCAACTATTCTAAATTAACATGGAGAAGATCTGAATTTTTCTGAGAAAAGTGTGGTGAGAGTAACAAGATGGTGAAATAAAATTACAGGGAAGTGAGAGAAAAAAATTAGAGGTTAATTTAATTGCTAATAGCATGATTGAAGTGCTGATTCAAAGGCTGCACACATATACCAACATTTTCCAAATTGTACACTATAAATTTGAATTCACTATGGATTGAATTTTTGAATAAAGCAGTAACAAAAAAATGAGTATATTGGCTGAGGAAGAGGAAGAGATGAATATTGACACTTGAATAATCACGGACTCCTGAAAATACACACATGTGAACACTGATTGCATATTTCAGGTAAACACTAGAAAAAGCAAAGTCACATAAAGTTGTTATGACAGGTGGGACATCCTGAAAACCTCACTAGGCATGTCCCACATCGCCCTGGAGCTGTCTCAGGGGAGCAGTCTCCTCCAGTGTTTAGAGGCACAGACACAGGTAATAGGGCTAACTCTGGCCAGATGTGTGATATTGGACACATTGCACAACTGCTCTGTTATGTATGTAATTCATCTTCTCTACAAATGTAACATTGACACTTGCACTGAATATATTCTGCAAATGTGTAAACATTAAATAAGATGATGACTGCTAATTGATCATCAAGGCACAATCACATAATCTGAAGTTATATTTTCCTGAGAGATAGGATTACCTCCAATGTTTTCTGGGATGCTCTCATCTTCTCTGGGCACTGCCCTCTCCTCAGCTGTCCCACCACAGAGCTTGCTATATAGTAGGAGACATGCAAATAGGGCCCTCTGTCTGCTGATAAAAACCAGCCCAGCCCTGACCCTGCAGCTCTGGGAGAAGAGCCCCAGCCCCAGAATTCCCAGGAATTTCCATCTGGTGATCAGCACTGAACACAGAGGACTCACCATGGAGTTTGGGCTGAACTGGGTTTTCCTTGTTGCTATTATAAAAGGTGATTTATGGCGAACTAGAGACACTGAGAGGACGTGAGTGAGATAAGCAGTGAATATATGTGGCAGTTTCTGACCAGGTTGTCTCTGTGTTTGCAGGTGCCCAGTGTGAGGTGCAGCTGGTGGAGTCTGGGGGAGGCTTGGTACAGCCTGGGGGGTCCCTGAGACTGTCCTGTCCAGCCTCTGGATTCACCTTCAGTAACCACTACATGAGCTGGGTCCGCCAGGCTCCAGGGAAGGGACTGGAGTGGGTTTCATACATTAGTGGTGATAGTGGTTACACAAACTACGCAGACTCTGTGAAGGGCCGATTCACCATCTCCAGGGACAACGCCAATAACTCACCGTATCTGCAAATGAACAGCCTGAGAGCTGAGGACACGGCTGTGTATTACTGTGTGAAACACACAGCGAGGGGAAGTCAGTGAGAGCCCAGGCACAAACCTCCCTGAAGGGGTCCCAGAGACCACCAGGGGGCGCCAGGACACTGTGCACGGGGCTGTCTCCAGGGCAGGTGCAGGTGCTGCTGAGGGCTGGCTTTCTGTCATGGCCTGGGGCAGCCTCATCGTCAAATTTCCCCAGGGAACTTCTCCAGATTTACAATTCTATATTAACATTTGATGTCTCTAAATGTAAAACGTTTTTTTTTGTTCCTTTGTTTTTGTAACAAGAGGAAACACCCTCACCTCCACAGAAGCCAGGGTGTCACTTTGGGGGCAGAAATAATCCTTTCATGGTCAGGATGAGAGTCCTGAGGAATCTCAGGGAAACCTGGAGAGTGTTTTCCAATTAGACTCAGAGCAGAGACCTCCATGGGAATCTCTGATTAGAACAGGCCTTGAGCTCTGATGGGAGCCAAGAGAGAGGCTCACCCAGGGTCAGGGTCCTTAAAACCTGATGGTTTTCACAGCTATCCCCTCTCAACTTGTAAAACTGTGCCCATCTGACTCAGACTGATTCAGCTGACCCTCTTTCTGCTGATCCATTTTCCATCTCTGTAGACTTGATTCTCACAGTTCCCTTTCTTCTTCTCTTCCCTGAAAACAGAAGATGTGTTTTCTGTAGTCAAAATTCCAGGGCTTGGGTCTGCAGGACCTGGGTAGGCTGAGGGGACTTTCTCACTCACCATTGTCTGGACACTCCTGTTGTCTTCTGTGCATGGAGGCATTTGGAAAATGTAGTGGACATTAGCCATGAAGGGAATAATACTAGTTTTCTCCAATGGGATATTGATGTAGAGCTGATCTTGTGCTTCTCATACTATCTGAGTTTGGACTCTCACCTGTGACTTTGAGAAGAGCTGAGGATGGGCACTCCATTGTGCTGTGAGCTCTGGGTAACAATAATTGTAGAATCTGGCTAGGCAGTTTAAGGTCAATACTACTGGCCTTCGGGAAAGACAGGCTGGAATTCCTGGGAAGATCTGCATCTGCCGTCCACCACGGAGCCCCATCGTCTTCTGTTATGCTGTCTTTGAATCAGTCCCAACTAGATTATCTAGAACACTCTTCGTGACTTAGGAAAAAATAATGGCAGGCTCCACTAACACCTGTATTATGCCATGGGAGCAACACCTAGGCTAGTGTGTGATTGAATAGATGAGACTACGGTCTAGTCAAGGTGACAGGTAAAATTGATTGTTGCCATTATGATATTTTATTTTATATTTGGCAATATAATCATGCTCATATTATAAATATTTTTTGAGACGGAGTCTTGCTCTGTCGCCAGGCTGGAGAGTGCAGTGGCACGATCTCAGCTCACTGCAACGTCTTCCACCTCCCAGGTTCAAGCAATTCTCTTGCCTCAGCCTCCCGAGAAGCTGGGATTACAGGTGCGCGCCATCATGCCTGGCTAATTTTTGTATTTTTAGTATCGACGGGGTTTCACCATGTTGGCCAGTGTGGTCTCGATTTCCTGACTTCGTGATCTGCACACCTCGGCCTCCCAAAGTGCTGGGATTACAGGCATGAGCCACCACGCCCGGCCTAGTTTTATTAATGTCTGTCCATACCAGCAACTACATACCTATGGGGACATTAATTTACATCTGCAGACATATGTGTAAATACACAAGCCTATACATACATGTGTAGTCATTTATATTTAACATTATAACAAAATAATTCTAAAATATTTTCTAAAGAATTAAACTTAATGATGAGCTAAATATAAATTAGAGTAATCTATAATTGATTTCAACAGTTCTCTATAGTTTACATAAATGGATGTCTATTTCTAAGCTTTAACATAGTGTATTTGTCATTTTAAAATAGTCAAGAAAAAATTACAAATGTTCTTGTCACAAAAAAGATAAGGATTTGACGATTTGAGGTAATATATATGTGAATTAACTCGATTCAATTATTCCATATTGCATTCACAAACCATAACATAGCTTTGTGCCCCATAAATGTATACAACCAAAATTTCTCCATTTTCAATGAAATTTTAATTATATATTTTTAAATCTGATGCCTCTCCTTGGATTAAGCCACCTCCTCAGGGTTACAGGGCTCTTCCATTTTCTCAACATGCTGTTATACCAGATGAGCACAAAAACATTAATTTCATTATGCTTAGCTTTAATTTTTCAAAACAACATAAAGGTGATAATTTTAACGATAGACGTATTACAACCTACTATACATGAGACCCTTTCCGTGCTTCAAGGTTTCTTCTCAGGATTTTACATGTATTGCAAATTTTCATTTTTCTCTGATATGGAATGCTGATTTCTCTTTATTACAGATTATCAGTTTATGTTTTAAATTTATCTCTTAAAATTAATTTTTTCAAAGTCCCACTCAAACCAGGGTATTATTAGAACTTTGAAGTGTAATAGTTGGACCAACTTTGAGAATACATTCAATTTAGTTCACGTGCTCTCAAGCATCTTTTTTTTTCTTTAAAAGTTGTTATCAGTTGTAATATCACACAAAATATTAGTAATTTATACTAATGACACAGGTTAAAATATTGTATAAATAATTTAATTACATTTGATTGGAAAAAAGGAATATATGTTCCTCATGTCTTGACTTTTTTTCTTCTCTATGAAATGCATGCATATTAATTATTAAGTTTAAGATGTTACCTTTGTCTTTTTGATTTCTGGGATTTAATTTTAGTACATATACTTGAATGCATTTTATTAATTCATATAATAATGTTCATATTTTGGATAGGGTTTTAATATTAATTTTATTATTTACTGAATTTTAAACTATTCTACAGTTTATTTTTTGTTTTTATGAGATAAAATTTACATATAATAAAATATGCATAGATCTGAAATGTATCACTAGAGAGTTTCTGGCAAATGTGAATACCCTTGTTCTCAATACCTAAGGTAGCTGAAGAGCAAGTCCATCCCCACATCGCGGGTTTTCCCTGTTCTTGCGGTCAACTCCTGCAAGGGGAAACGTTTTGATTTCTGACACTACAGATCCATTTATTTTCTGTTTTGAACTTTATATAAATGGAATCAAACATTACAGACCTTTTTTTTCAAAAGGGGCTTTGATATTTTTGAGATTAATTCATACTATTTAATGTATAAAATTAGATCAACATATTGTCATTTATTCGATTCGTAGACTGACTCTGATATGAAACCTCAAAGTTTTCATGTACTTATGGAGAGAGAGAGAAGGAGAAAGATTTTATATCTGAGTCAGTCCATTAAGTAAATAAATGAGAATATTTTGATTTATTTTCCCGTTGATGTACTTTAAATTTGTTTCCATTTTATGAATATTATAGGCAAAGCTGTTTCAAATATATTAGTGTAGGTTTTCCTATATTGTTTCATTTTTGTTAAGAAAATATGAAGTATGTATTTCTTTTTTATTTTTGATTACTATTTATTTCTATTTTAAATTTTACTTTAAGTTCTGGGATACATGTGCTGAACATGTAGGTTTCTTACATAAATACACATGTGCCATGGTGGTTTGCTGCACCTATCAATCTGTCATCTAGGTTTGAAGCACCTCGTGCATTAGGTATTTGTCCTAATGCTCTCCCTCCCCTTTCCTAATGCTTTTTCTCCCCGACACATCCCAGTGTGTCATGTTCCCCTCCTTGTGTCCATGTGTTCTCATTGTTCAACTCCCACTTATGAGTGAGAACATGTGGCGTTTGGTTTTCTGTTCCTGTGTTAGTTTGCTGAGGATGATGGCTTCCAGCTTCATCCATGTCCCTGCAAAGGACCTGAAATCATTCTTTTTTATGGCTGCATAGTAGTTCATGGTGTACATATGCCACATTTTTTCATCCAGTCTATCATTGATGGACATTTGAGTTGGTTCCACATCTTTGCTATTGTAAATAGTGCTGCAATAAACATACATGTGCATGTGTCTTTATAGTAGAATGATTTATAACCCTTTGGGTATATACCCGGTAATAGGACTGCTGGGTCAAATGGTATTTCCCGTTCTAGATCCTTGAGGAATTTCCACACTGTCTTCCACAATGGTTGAACTGATTTACACTCCCCCCAACAGTGTAAAAGTGTTCCTATTTCTCCACATTCTCACCAGCATCTGTTGTTTCCAGACTTTTTAATGATCAACATTCTAACTGGCATGAGATGGTGTCTCATTGTGATTTTGATTTGCATTTCCCTAATGACCAGTGATAATGAGCTTTTTTTTTCATATGTTTGTTAGCTGCATAAATGTCTTTTTCTGAGAAGTGTCTGTTCATGTCCTTCACCCACTTTTTGATGGGGTTGTTTGGTTTTTTTCTTGTAAATTTGTTCAAGTTCCTTGTAGATTCTGGATATTAGAACTTTGTCAGATGGATAGATTGCAAAAATTTTCTCCCATTCTGTAGGTTGCCTGTTCATTCTGATGATAGTTTCTTTTGCTGAGCAGAAGCTCTTTAGTTTAATTAGATCCTGCTTGTCAATTTTGGCTTTTGTTGTAATTGCTTTTGGTGTTTTAGTCATGAAGCCTTTGCCCATGCCTATGTCCTGAATGATACTGCCTATGTTTTCTTCTAGGGTTTTTGTGGTTTTAGGTTTTACATTTAAGTCTTTAATGCATCTAGAGTTAATTTTTGTATAAGGTGTAAGGAAAGGATCCAGTTTCAGTTTTCTCCATATGGCTACCCAGTTTTCCCAGCACCATTTATTAAATAGGGATCATTTCCCCATCGCTTGTTTTTGTCAGGTTTGTTGAAGATCAGATGGTTGTAGATGTGTGGTGTTATTTCTGAGGCCTCTGTTCTGTTCCATTGGTCTATATAACTGTTTTGGTACCAGTATCATGCTGTTTTTGTTACTGTAGCCTTATAGTATAATTTGAAGTCAGGTAGCATAATGCCTTCAGCTTTGTTCTTTTTGCTTAGGACTGTCTTGGCTATACGGGCTGTTTTTAGTTTCATATGAAGTTTAAGGTAGTTTTTTCTAGCTCTGTGAAGAAAGTCAATGGTAGCTTGATGGGAATAGCATTGACTGTATAAATTGCTTTGGGCAGTATGGCCATTTTAACAATATTGATTCTTCCTATCCATGAGCATAGTATTTATTTATTATAAAAGTAACTTTATTTTTTTCAGTTTTACTGAGGTACAACTGAAATATTTTTAAATGTATATGTTTAAGGTGCACCACTTCATGTTTTGATATTGTGTTAGTCCAGTCTCACACTGCTATAAAGAAATGCCTGAGACTGAGTAATTTGAAACAAAAAAAAGATGCTTAATTGGTTCATTTTTCTGCAGACTGTACAGGAAGTGTAGTGGCTTCTCCTTCTGGTGATACTCAGGAAAGTTAGAACCATAGCAGAAGACAAATAGTAGTAGACACGTCACATGGCCAAAGCAGGGGCCACAGGAAGAGAGGGAGGTCTACACAGTTAGACAAACAGATCTTATGATAACTCACACAATATTATGAGAACAGCACGAAGAGTCGGTACTAAACCATTCATGAAAGACCCACCCCATGACCCAAGCCTCTCCCACTGGGTCCCAGCTTCAGGATTGAGGATTATAATACAACACGAGATTCAGGCCAGGACAAGTTGCAAACCATATCAGATACACATTGTAAAATGCTCATCATGATCAAGGTAATTTGTGTATCTATCATCTCACATACATTTTTTTTAAATGGAGTGTGTGTGTGTGTGTGTGTGTGATGAGAATATCTAAGATCTACCCTTTCAGCAAAAATCACTTTTATAACACAGTATTAAATACAGGAACATTGCTGTACATTAGATCTCCAGAACTCATTCAACCTGCACACCTGAAATTCTGTACACTTTAAACATCACCCAATTTCCCTCTCCTCCCGCATCCTGGGACGCATTATTTTACTCTCTGCTTTCAAGAGCTTGGGTATTTTAGATCCCACATGTAAATGAGATCATGCAGCATTTGTCTTTCTGCATCTGGCTTATTCCACTTAGCATCATGTCCTCCAGGCCCATCCATGTTGTTGCAAATGTCAGAATTTCCTTCTTTTCAAAGCTGAATAAAATTCAGTTTTATGTATACACATTTTCTTTATACATTCATCAATCTATGGTCATTAAATTCTTTTACAAATCTACACTATTATAAATAATCTTACAATCAGCATGTGTTTAACATAGTAATTTTACTTCTTTGAATAAATAACAAGAAGTGGGATCACCAGATGATATGATAGCTTTATTTTTCAATTTATTGAGTAACCAATCCTACCACACCCTAAAAGGTTTCCCTTTTCAGCACATTCTTGCCAATATGTGTTATATGTCTTGCTGATAACAGCCATTTTAAGTGGTGGGAGGTGATATCTCATCATGATTTTGATTTGAATTCCTCTGATAATTAGTAATGTTGAGAACCCTTTTAGGCTCTGTTTTCCATGTGTGTGTTTTCTGAAGAAAAACCTATCCAGTTTTTGCCCTTTTTATCAGATCATTTGTTATTTTCTATTGAGTTGCATGAGTTATTTATACTTTTGGATAGAACTTATGTCAGATATATAATTGCACATAGTTTTTTTCCTGTGCTTTTTTCTATTAAATTCAAAGAAATCATTTCTGAATCAATGACAGGAAGTTTTTTTCCATGTGGTCTATGAGTTTGTGGCTTCAGATTATGTTCATTTTTAGTTTATTTTTGAATATGGTGTTAGAGAAGGTCTAATTTTATTTCTTTTGCATATGGATGTCCAGTTTTTACATCATATATTGGGGAGACTGTCCATCCTTCACTGTGTGTTCTTGGGATACAAAATCAGGAAGATGCATAATTAAAAAAGAAAACATCAGATGAATATTCCTGGTGAATAGGGACCTAAAAGTTCTCAACAAAATACTAGCAAATAGAATCCAGAAGCACTTTATAATCTAATACATCATGATCAAGTAGGCTTTACCCCTGGAAGGCGAGGTTCATTCAACATCGACAATTCAGTAACTGTGATTCACCATGTAAGCAGAATAATAGCAAAAACTGTATGATTATCTCAATAGATGCTGAGAAAGCTTTTGATAGGATCCAACATCCACTCATAATAGAAACCCTTAACAGACTAGGCATCAAAAAAATATACCTCGAAATAATAAGAGCCATCTATGACCAACCCACAGTCAACATTATACTGAGTGAGCAAAAGCTCAAAACCCTTTAGAAGTGAAAGAAGACCAAGATGCCCTCTCACCACTGCTATTGAACATAGTACTAGAAATCCTAGTCAGAGCAACCGAGCAATATCAAAATAAAAGGCAGCTGATATGGTTTGAATTTGTGTCCCCACTCAAATTAAATGTCAAATTGTAATTCCCAGTGTTGAGGGTGGGGCCTGGTGAAAGGCGATTAGATCATGGGATGAGTCTCTCTCTCTCTTGTGCTGATCCCATGATAGAGCCCTCAGGAGATCTGGTTTCAAAGTATGTGGCACCTCCCTTGTCTCTCTTCCTCCTGCTCCAGCCATGTAGGACATGATGCTTCCCTTTCTGTACTGATTGTCAGGATCCTGAGGCCTCCTCAGCCATGCTTCCTGTACAGCCTGAAGAACCATGAAACAATTAAAAATCTTTATAAATTACACAGTCTCAGGTGTTTCTTTATAGTGTGTGAATGGACTAATACAGAATCCAAATAGGAAAAGAAGAAGTCAATGTATCTCTCCAAACTGATGATATAATTCTATACCTACAAAATTCTAAAGACCCTGCCAAAATAATTCTAGAATAGATAAACAACTTTGGTAAAGTGTTGGGATACAAAATCAATGTACAAAAATCTAGCATTTCTATACCCCAACTACGTCCAAGCTGAGACTGAAATCAAGAACACAATCCTATCACACTTACAATATTCACACACACAAAATATGAAATGCCTGGAAATACAGGTAACAAACAAGGTGAAAGATCTCTACAAGGAGAACTACAAAACACAGCAGAAAGAAATCACAAATGACACAAACAAATGGGAAAACATTTCATGCTCATGGTTGGAAGAATCAGTATTGTAAAAATTGTCATACTGCCCAAAGCAATTTACAGATTCAATACAATTTACATAAAACTATCACCATCATTCTTCACAAAATTAGAAAAATTTTATATATTCTAAATTTGTATGGAACCAAAAACAGCCTGAATAGCCAAAGCAATCCTAAGCAGAAAGAGCAATGCCAGAGGCATCATGATACCCGACTTTAAACTACACCATAAAGTCACAGTAACAAAAACAGCTTGGTACTGGTACATGAGAAGACATGCAGGAAAAATGGGACAAAATAGAAAACAGAAATAAAGAAATAAAGCTGCACATATACAACCATCTTATATTTGATAAGGCTGACAAAAACAAGCAATGAGGAAAAATCTCTGTATTCAGTAAATGGTGTTGGGACAACTGGATTATGGCAGATATACAGAATGGAAGAGTGAAGGAGGCTGGGCAGCTTCTACCTAGATATCAGAAGATGTATATAGAGAACTATGTGCCCAGGAAGAAGCCTGATGCAGGAGTGGAGCCACCACGGACAGCCTCTACTAGGGCAGTGCCAAAGATGTGGAGAATCACTTGAACACAGGAGGCAGAGGTTGCAGTGAGCCGAGATCGTGCCATTACTCTGCAGGCTGGACAATGACAGAAAAATCCTATCTAAAAAAAAATTAATGTAAGAGAATAGAGAGCCCAGAAATAAAGCCAAATATCTACAACCAACTTTTCTTTGACAACACTGACAAAAATATTCACTGGAGAAACAACCCTCTATTCAATAAGTGGTGCTGGGAGAATTAGACAGCCTTACGTAGAAGAATAAAACCAGACTTCTATCTCACCAGAGGCAAACATTAACTGAATATAGATTCAATATTTATAAGTATAAACTGAAACTATAAAAGTACTTGAAGAAAATGTAAGGAAAATTCTCGGGACATTGCCCTAGGCAAATAAAATATGACTAAGACTGCAAAAGCAAATGCAATGAAAACAAAAATAGACAAATGGGATTTAGCTGAACTAAAGATCTTCTGCACAGAAAAAAGAAATAATCAACATGGTGCGCAAACAGCCTACAGAATGGTAGAAGGTACCATCTCACCTCAGTTAAGATGACTTTTATCAAAAAAGAAAAAAAAAAAAAAGGCCGGGTGCAGTGGCTCACACCTGTAATCCCAGCACTTTGGGAGGCCGAGCTGGGTGGATCGCTTGAGGTTAGGAGTTCGAGACGGGCTTGGCCAACATGACGAAACCCTGTCTCTACTAAAAATACAAAAATTAGCCGGGCATGATGGCAGGTGGCTGTATTCCCAGCTATTCGCAAAGCTGAGGCAGGAGAATCGCTTGAACCCAGGAGGTGGAGGTTGCAGTGAGCTGAGATTGTGCCTCTGCACTCCAGCCTGGGTGACAAGACTGAAACTCTGTCAAAAAAGAAAGAAGGAAAGAAGGAAGGAAGGAAGGAAAAAAATAAGGAAGGAAAGAAGGAAGGAAGGAAGTAAAGAAGGAGGGAAGGAAGGAAGGAAAGAAGGAAGAAAGGAAAGAAGGAAGGAAGGAAAGAACGACATGGAAACTGAACAACCTGCTCCTGAATGACTGACTACTGGGTACATAATGAAATGAAGCCAGAAATAAAGATGTTCTTTGAAACCAATGAGGACAAAGACACAACATACCAGAATCTCTGGGACACATTTAAGCAGTGTGTAGAGGGAAATTTATAGCACTAAATGCCCACAAGAGAAAGCAGGAAAGATCTAAAATTGACACCCTAACATCACAATTAAAAGAACTAGAGAAGCAAGAGCAAACATATTCAAAAGCTAGCAGAAGGCAAGAAATAACTAAGATCAGAGCAGAACTGAAAGAGATAGAGACACAAAAAACCCTTCAAAAAATCAATGAATCCAGGAGCTGGTTTTTTGAAAAGATCTACAAAATTGATAGACCACTAGCAAGACTAATAAAGAAGAAAAGAGAGAAAAATCAAATAGATGCAATAAAAAATGGTAAAGGGGATATCACCACCGATCCCACAGAAATACAAACTACCCTCAGAGAATACTATAAACACCTCTATGCAAATAAACTAGAAAATCTAGAAGGAATGGATAAATTCCTGGACGCATACACCCTCCCAAGACTAAACCAGGAAGAAGTTGAATCCCTGAATAGACCAATAACAGGCCCTGAAATTGAGGCAATAATTAATAGACTCCAACCAAAAAAAGTCCAGGACCAGACAGATTCACAGCGGAATTCTACCAGAGGTATAAGGAGGAGCTGGTACCATTCCTTTTGAAACTATTCCAATCCATAGAAAAAGAGGGAATCCTCCCTAACTCATTTTATGAGGCCAGCATCATCCTGATACCAAAGCCTGACAGAGACAGAACAAAAAAAGAGAATTTTAGACCAATATCTCTGATGAACATAGATGCAACAATCCTCAATAAAATACTGGTAAACCGAATCCAGCAGCACATCAAAAAGCTTATCCACCATGATCAAGTGGGTTTCATCCCTGGGATGCAAGGCTGATTCAACATACACAAATCAATAAACGTAATCCAGCATATAAACAGAACCAAAGACAAAAACCACATGATTATCTCAACAGATGCAGAAAAGGCCATTGACAAAATTCAACAACCTTTCATGCTAAAAACTCTCAATAAATTAGGTATAGATGGTATGTATCTCAAAATGATAAAAGCTATTTAGGACAAACCCACAGCCAATATCATACTGAATGGGCAAAAACTGGAAGCATTCCCTTTGAAAACTGGCACAAGACAGGGATGACTTCTCTCACCACTCCTATTCAACATAGTGTCGGATGTTCTGGCCAGGACAATCAGGCAGAAGAAAGAAATAAAGTGTATTCAATTAGGAAAAGAGGAAGTCAAATTGTCCCTCTTTGCAGATGACATGATTGTATATTTAGAAATCCCCATCATCTCAGCCCAAAATCTCCTTAAGCTAATAAGCAACTTCAGCAAAGTCTCAGGATACAAAATCAGTGTGCAAAAATCACAAGCATTCTTATACACCAATAACAGACAAACAGAGAGCCAAATCATGAGTGAACTCCCATTCACAATTGCTTCAAAGAGAATAAAATACCTAGGAATCCAACTTACAAGGGATGTGAAGGATCTCTTCAAGGATAACTGCAAACCACTGCTCAACGAAATAAAAGAGGATACAAACAAATGGAAGAACATTCCATGCTCATGAATAGGAAGAATCAATATTGTGAAAATGGCCATACTGCCCAAGGTAATTTACAGATTCAATGCCATCCCCATCAAGCTACCAATGACTTTCTTCACAGAATTGGAAAAAACTACTTTAAAGTTCATATGGAACCAAAAAAGGGCCCACATTGCCAAGTCAATCCTAAGCCAAAAGAACAAAGATGGAGGCATCACAATACCTGACTTCAAACTATACTACAAGCCTATAGTAACCAAAACAGGATGGTACTGGCACCAAAACAGAGGTATAGGCCAATGGAACAGAACAGAGCCCTCAGAAAATACCATACATCTACTACTATCTGATCTTTGACAAACCTGACAAAAACAAGAAATGGGGAAAGGATTACCTATTTATAAATGGTACTGGGAAGACTGGCTAGCCATTTGTGGAAAGCTGAAACTGGAGCCCTTCCTTACACCTTACACAAAACTTAATTCAAGATGGATTAAAGACTTAAATGTTAGATCTAAAACTGTAAAAACCCTAGAAGAAAACCTAGGCAATACCATTCAGAACATAGGCATGGGCAGGGACTTCATGTCTAAAACACCAAAAGCAATGGCAACAAAAGCCAAAATTGACCAATGGGATCTAATTAAACTACAGAGCTTCTGCACAGCAAAAGAAACTACCATCAGAGTGAACAGGCAACCAACAGAATGGGAGAAAATTTTTGCAATCTACTCATCTGACAAAGGGCTAATACCCAGAATCTACAATGAACTCAAACAAATTTACAAGAAAAAAACAAACAACCCCATCACAAATTGGGCGAAGGATATGAACAGACACTTCTCAAAAGAAGACATTTATGCAGCCAACAGACACATGAAAAAAGGCTCATCATCACTGGCCATCAGAGAAATGCAAATCAAAACCACAATGAGATACCATCTCACACCAGTTGGAATGGCAATCATTAAAAAGTCAGGGAACAACAGGCGCTGGTGAGGATGTGGAGAAATAGGAAAACTTTTACACTGTTGGTGGGACTGTAAACTAGTTCAACCATTGTGGAAGACAGTTTGGTGATCCTCAAGGATCTAGAACTAGAAATACCATTTGACCCAGCAATCCCATTACTTGGTATATACTCAAAGGATTATAAATCATGCTGCTATAAAGACACATGCACACTTATGTTTATTGTGTCACTATTGACAATAGCAAAGACTTGGAGCCAACCCAAATGTCCATCAGTGATAGACTGGATTAAGAAAATGTGGCACATATACACCATGGAATACTATGCAGCCATTAAAAAGGATGAGTTCATGTCCTTTGTAGGGACATGGATGAAAATGGAAACCATCATTCTGAGCAAACTATCACAAGGACAGAAAACCAAACACCGCATGTTCTCACTCATAGGTGGGAATTGAACAATGAGAACATTTGGACTAAGGGTGGGGAACATCACACACACACCGGGGCCTGTCATGGGGTCGTGGGAGCTGGGAGGGATAGCATTAGGTGATACACCTAATGTAATGTTAATGGGTGCAGCACACCAACATAGCACATGTATACATATGTAACAAACCTACACGTTGTGCACATGGACCCTAGAACTTAAATTATTATAAAAAAAGAAAGAAAAAAATAACTATTAATTTTTCTGAACCATGAACATGGAATATTTCAGATATATTTTCAATTTGTGTGTGTTTGCTTTATATTTTATTATCAATCATTTTTGGTTTCCTTTTAGAAATCTTTCACTTATTTGGTAATATGAAATATAATTTTTAGCTATTATAAACAAAATGCTTTATTGATTTTTTGCTGTTTGCATTTAGCAATGCCACCAATTTTTGTATGTAGGTGTTGTATTCTGCAAATTTACAGAATTTTTTATCAATTATAATAGTTTTTCCAGAACCATTTATTAAATACGGAATCATTTCCCCATTTCTTGTATTTGTCAGATTTGTCAAAGATCAGATGGTTGTAGATATGCGGCATTATTTCTGAGGGCTCTGTTCTGTTCCATTGGTCTATATCTCTGTTTTGGTACCAGTACCATGCTGTTTTGGTTACTGTAGTCTTGTAGCACAGCTTGAAGTCAGGTAGCGTGATGCCTCCAGCTTTGTTCTTTTGGCTTAGGAGTGACTTGGCAATGCGGGCCCTTTTTTGTTCCATATGAACTTTAAAATAGTTTTTTCCAATTCTGTGAAGAAAGTCATTGGTAGCTTGATGGGGTTGGCATTGAATCTATAAATTACCTTGGGCAGTATGGCCATTTTCACGATATTGATTCTTCCTCCCCATGAGCATGGAATGTTCTTCCATTTGTTTGTGTCCTCTTTTATTTCATTGAGCAGTGGTTTGTAGTTCTCTTTGAAGAGGTCCTTCACGTCCCTTGTAAGTTGGATTCCTAGGTATTTTATTCTCTTTGAAGCAATTGTGAATGGGAGTTCACTCATGATTTGGCTCTCTGTTCGTCTGTTATTGGTGTATAAGAATGCTTGTGATTTTTGCACATTGATTTTGTTCCTTTCCTCCGTATTTTAAATTAAGGTATATTTTCAGGAGTTTAAATTTCCAAGTTATAAAATAAAATGTATTGACTATCTTTCATCTTTTAAAATTCATCTTATGAATTTTATTTATGTAAGTGTTTTGTCTTAGTCTTTGTGACTGGCTTGGAAGATTATATGAACAGATTTTCTTTTGACCTCTCTACATATGGGAAGAGCACAAATGTTGTTTCTATTATAGTATATACATGCAAAACTTGAGTTATAGTGAAATGGTTTAACCAAGATTACTCATTAGGGTTTTCAGGACCTTCCTCATGCATCCCTCTGATCATGTTTCTCTGCTGCTCAAAAGCTTTGTCCCTTTTCCTGCACAGAAAGTGTACACATCTTACCCAGTCACTAGTGGCCATCAGGCTCTCATAAATCCTTTTTGCTGTTTATCCTAGTCACAACTCTTGTCCAACCTGTTATTTCCAGCACACTAAACCATACACTACTTAATGCTCTGCACTTTTCACTTTTGTGCCTTTTGCTAAACTGTCATCTTTGAAGACCTATTGCTGCTTATTGCATGAAGCTTTATTTGATGGCCTCAGTCTAACACAGCTATTTATTTTTCAATTGGATTTAAAATTGTCTCTCTCTCTACATTGGATTAGAGTTGCTATGTTCCTGTTCTACATTCCTTGCTAGACTGAAAGCTCACTGGCCAGGTCCTATTCATGCTTATTCATTGTAAATTTCTCCACATTGGAGGCATCCTGTTCATCAATGAACACATGAATAAAACTTGGTGTTGAAACTCCAAGTTATCTTGACCTGCAACTTCACACACTCAACTATATAAAATTGGGATCAAATAAATATTCTCGCATAACTATTAGTAAGTCAATATTTACCTTATATTGTAAGTTTCATCTATAAATATGCATCTTCCATTGCCTGATCCCTAACAAAACATAAAAACTAAAAAATCTTAAGATTATTAAAAATATAGGCAATGTTAAGATCACCAGCTTTTCAAATGCAGCAAAATAAATGAAAAAAAAACTTTCAACAGGGATAACTAAAACCTTACTTTTCCCACTGAGTAGATCTTCTAGCCCAATATGTTTATTCGTCTATAAGAAAATATTAACGTTCATTAATTCCCCAAAGTTTGCTGTCAGTCAAGTCTCCACTCTTTCCCTTGGGGCATGAGAGATAGTGTAGATGAGGTCCAGACATGCTCTACTCAAGGTCTCTGCACATGGCTAAAAATGTAGGTGTGAAATTCATGTTCTCAATCCATGAAACAATACTCATGAAAAATGCAACTCTGTTCCAGGACATCGTGCAGAATGAAGAAATAATGCAATTGTGGTAAATCTGGAAATTACAATTGTTTGTGGACTGCCCATTTTTTCATATGCCTTCCAATAAATCAGTTGAAAACATGTATTCTGTATAAAAATCCACAGTGTGTTAGCTCTGGGAATGCACCTTCCTCCCTCCACCTACAGGCAGAACCGTACACTTGGATCATGCACCCAGCTGCTGCTCTCTGTCTCTTTCTCTGCTCAAGGCTTAAGGCCGTGTCTCCCCAACTACATTCAGTGGAAGAAAAGATCCCCTGGACAAATAAGTTTGAGAATTGTTGTTGCAGGAATTCTCAGAACTTTCAAAACACAAATCCTCATCCGCAGGGATCTTCAGGAGGGAGATGGCTGATGCAGCACAACTTTCTTTCACAGGAGTATCTTGCAGAATACAGTATGAGATCCAGAAAGGCTGCATTGAGTCTTTTTAATGGCCCGGGCCTTGGTGGGGGTGGGGTAGGAGCTCTCCAGATAGCATCTACTGAGTAGGAACATTCAGGTTGCTTTTTTTTTCCTTACTGGCAAAACTGTGTGTGCACCATGAATGAAGCTGGTCTCCCTTATCCATATCAAAATTAAACCCAAATTAATTGGCTAAATTGGGACTCAACACCTCCAGGAGCCATGCAGAAGAAAGCACCACCACACTTTAAAATAGCTTACCTCATCATATTTGACGAAAGCAAAACGCTTATGACCAGTATGCTGCTAACACAAGTCTACAGATAATGCTGCAGGAAAAATTATTTTTCCCAGTCATAGCTAGCATGGTCCACATTTTGCATTACACTTTCCCCCCTTTTTTAAAATTTTAAACACAGGTCCTTTTCTCTTCTTTTTTAAAATTTTAATTTAATTACACAAGACGGAGTCTCAGTATTTTGCCCAGGCTGGTCTTCAACTCCTGAGCTCAAGCGATACATCCGTCTCCGCCTCCCAAAGTGCTGGGATTACAGGCCTGAGACACTGTGCCTGGCCTTACACACAAATCTTAATTCATTCTTACAATTATCCTGAGGTTAGAAAAATGGAAGGGGAAGAAAAATGGCAAGCAGGTAGGCTGACTTCGGCTTCATTATTTGGAAGGACAGTTTGCTCGGTTAAAACACACTACTGCCCACAAAGGCCAAGACAACAGAAAAATACAGACTTATATAAGTAGATTTTATATGTGACAGCAGTTTGAATGGAGACTTTTTCAATGCAAATGGCAAACAGCTGTCCTTGGGAATAAATGACAATGAATTTTTTTTTATCTCAACAGCTGTCCTGGGAGCATGTCTCTACATCTCTACCTGCATTCTGGAGTCAGGGAGAAAGCCAAAACGGACGACAAGACACTAGATCAGCCCTGTCCAACCCTTTGACTACAAGGACTTTTCCGCCTATCTGTGGTGGTGGGTATCATGAAAATTATGCACAAACCTTTTTTTTTTAAGCTCATCAGCTATCATTAGCAGTAGTGTATTTTATCTGTGGCCCAGGAGCATTCTTCTTCCAATGTGGCCCTGAGAAGCCAAAAGACTGGACACCTGTGCACTAGATCAAAAGGCTACTCCTTCTGGAAGCAATTGTAAAGAATTTCTAACATTATCTTGACATGAAAACCAATGGATAGTGGGACAGAATGCAAAATCTTCAAGAATTTTTCTTGTTGGGTTTTTTTTTTTTTTTTTTTGAGTCAAGGTGTTGTTCTGTGGCCCAGGCTGGAATACACTGGTGAGATCACAGCTCAGTGCAGGCTCAAGTGCTCCTCCCGCCTCAGCCACAGTAGTAGCTAGGACTACAGATGTGCACAACCACTCCTGGCTAATATTTTATTTTTTGTAGAGATGGGGTCTCACTATATTGTCCAGATTGGTCTCTAACTCCTTGACTCAAGGGATCCAGGACAGGATAACAGGTGTGAGCCACCACACCTGGCTATGTGCATGAACTTTTAAGACAAATACAAGGCTCCACAAAAGTTAAGGTTTTCCCACCTAATTTCCAGGGGATCTTTTGGTGCAAGGATGAGAAACCCTTAAAAGTACCCAGACATCTCCAAAGATTCAAGACAGTTCATTCGGGCTGAGCCAGCCCACTGGGCAGACTGACCTTCAAACAAGGCCCACCCGTGACATACACCAGATGGCTCTCCAAGAATCTCTCCAGTTCTCAGGGTCCCTAAGGTACTGGACAGAGCTAGGAAAGCAAACCCATTTGCTTCTTCCTGCAGGAAACCATTTGAGGTCAAGACCCCACAATCAGACAAGGATGGAGTGCCTCACCCTCAGTCAACAGGCCAGACTCAAGGTGATATAATGTCTTAACCAAGGGTGTGGGACTCCAGGTTTGAATCTGAAC
Source organism: Homo sapiens (assembly GCF_000001405.40). Taxonomy (NCBI): domain Eukaryota; kingdom Metazoa; phylum Chordata; class Mammalia; order Primates; family Hominidae; genus Homo; species Homo sapiens. Next base: position 33,027,136 of record NC_000016.10, read on the forward strand.
TCAGTTCTCCTTTGATAACCACACTTTGTTAATTTTCCTTAACAGGGGTTCCTGGCAAGTCATTTCTCCCTCAGGCCTTCGGTTTCCTCACCTACAAGATGAGAAGGCTGCACCAGATGGAAATTCGAGGCGTAAGGGGATGTCCGCGCGCAGCCCACCCCGCCCACGGGCCCCTTGAGCCTCCATCACAGTTCCCAACACGCACCTACCCCACAAATCCTGCCCAAGGTGAGGGCTGGTCCCGGGTCCTCCAGCTGCCGCATCAGCGAGTGCAGGAGGGAGGAGAAGCCTCCAAGGGGGTGACGCAGGCTCAAGGATGCAACTCGGCCAGGAGTGAACTGGGGCCCCGAGGGAGATGTCCAGTCTGGTGCTGGAGCCCAGCTCTGGTCCCTGATCCCCTTACCTGCACGGTCCGTATCTCCTGCTGGGTGAGGTCCTTGGACACAGTGCACTTGGTGGGCAGCCCGCGCAGGCTGCCAAGAGAGATGCCGATGAGCTTCTGAAGCTGCCCGCACTGCTGCAGCACCCGGCTGGCTGCGGCCCCTGCGCCTCCCTCCGCGATAGCCGCGTCACCCCCTCCACCGCTCTCCTTCTTCTCTCCCATCGGGGCCGAGCGCAGCGCAGCTCTATGCTGGCTGCAGCTGCCCAGGAACAGAGCCTGGGGCGCGGGTGTCTAGGCAAGGAACCCCCGAACCGGGAGAGCTGGACCAGGAGTGACCCTCGGCGCTGCCTTAGCCAGGACGCAGGTAGATCTGGCAGCTGAGTCTGCTGATCCCGCCCTCAGACCCGCGGCGGTGGGGGTAAAAAGTCACGGCGGTGGGGGCAAAAACACGCGACGGCAGGGTGAAAAAGCCGCAGGGGTAAAAACCTGTGGCGGCGGGAGTAAAAAGCCGCGTCGGCAAAAAGCCGCGGCGGCGGGGGCAAAAAGCCACAAAAAGCCGCGGCAGCGGGCGCAAAAAGCCGCAACGGTGGGGTCCAAAAGCCGGGGCGGTGGGGGAAAAAGCCGGGGCGACGGGGGCAACAAGCCACGGCGGCGGGGGCAACAAGCCAGGGCGGCCGAGGCAAACAGCCGCGGCGACAAAAAGCTGTGGTGACGGGGGCAAAAAGCCGTAAAAAGCCACAGCATCGGGGTCAGAAAGCCGCGACGGCCGGGATAAAAACCGCGGTGGCGGGGTAAGAAGCCGCGGCGGCAAAAAGATGCGGCGGCGGTGGAAAAAGTCGCGGCGGGGGCAAAACGGTGCGGCGGCAGCAAAAAGCCGCAGCGTCGGGGGCAAAAAGCCTCAAAAAGCCGCAGCGTCCGGTGCCAAAAGCCACGGCGGAGGGGGTAAAAAGCCGCAAAAAGCCGCGACAGAGGGGGCAAAAAGCAGGGGCGGCAAAAAGCCACGACGGCGGGGACATGAAGGCGCAAAAACCCTCCGCGGCAGGAGCAAAAAACCCTGGCGGCGGGGGCAAAAAGCGGCTGGGGTGATAAAAAGCCGCGGCGGTGGGGGCAGGAAGCCGCGTAGGGGGCAAGGAGCCGCGGCAGCGGAGGCAAAAAGCTGCGGTGGCAGGGGCAAATAGCAGCAAAAAGCCGCGGCGGCGGGGGGCAAAACGACACAAAAAGCCCTGACAGTGGGGGCAAGAAGCCGCGGCTGGAAAAACCTGTGGCGGAGGGGGAAAAAAGCCGCGGCGGCGGGGGCGGAAAGGCGTAAAAAGCCGCGGTGGCCTGGGCCAAAAGCCATGGCGGCAAAAAGCCGCAAAAAGCCGGGGCGGCAGGGCAAGAAGCCACGGCGGGAAAAACCTGCGGCGGCGGGGGCGAAAAGCAGTAAAAAGCCGCGGCGCCGGGGGCCAAAAGCCGTAAAAAGCCGCGGCGGCGGTGACAAAAAGCCGCGGCGGAAAAATTCACGGTGGCGGGGGCAAAAAGCTGTGGCAGCAGGGGGAAAAAGCCGCAAAGGCTAGGGCAAAAAGCCGCGGCGGTGGGGGGAGAAAGACCCAAAAAGCTGCGGCGGCAAAAAGCCACGGCGGCGAGGGCAAAGAGCCCCAAAAGCCGCGGCGGCAGGGGCTAAATTCCGCGAGGCCGGGGGCAGAAAGCCGCGGCGGCGGGGGCAGAAAGCCGCAAAAACCCGCAGCGGCGGGGTCAAAAATCCACGACGGCAAAAAGCCGCGTCGGCGGGGGCAAAATAGTGGAAATGGGGTAGACAGCCAGCACAGCTTGGCATTCCTGGAGTGTGATGTGGAAGGAAAAGTGCAGAGGAAGACAAACAAAGATGTAAGTAGGCTTGACTCAGTGCAGCTAAGAACCCACATGTTATCTTGATGTTATGTAGCAGCTAATTTTTTGTATTTTAGTAGAGAAGGGGTTTTACCACGTTGGCCAGGATGGTCTCGATCTCCTGACCTCATGATCCCCGCACCTCAGCCTCCCAAAGTGGTGGGATTAGAGGCATGAGCCACAAAGTGCTCAAAAAATCTATTAATTAAAAAATGTGTATGTAGCCGTCTTTAATCTACCATGTCCATTAGCAGATAAATACTATAAGCAAAATAACAACAATGAAAGAAACATAGACTTAGAGTAGATACTCTGATTTATTTAATAAAAATTTGAAAATAGACCAAATTACTCTATGATAAAAAAAAATCTGTTACTATTGAGGATGAGGGTTAGTGTTTGGAAAGGGGCAGGAGAAGTATCTCTATTTTTAGTAATGTTCTATTTTCATACATGGTTATAAGCAAATACATGTGTTTCATTAATGAAGCTATCCATATTTAATCATTGTACTTTTCTGCATGTATATGTCAATAAATAAATTATATACAGCAAAAATAGACAAAAACACAAGAAGACATACACAAATGTTAAACCTAGAGAGAAATTTGCATATAAGTAAGTCTCTGAATGACTGGTAGAACAAACCGAAAAATAGGATGGAGAGGTTTGGAACAGCATGATTAGCAAAATTGACATATCTGTCTTTTAATATAGGTAGAAACAGAGTTAGATAAAAAAAGGACTTGTCTCGGAGCATGATTTCTGAAAATAGTGGAATCGAGTTTGAATCTAGTAAGTACATATAAATAAATGTCTTAAAACTCCTCTTATGTTAGCTAATTAAGAAATATTATTGTAATAGACATTAGAAAATATTTTAATAAATTGAGTGCATTTCACACGCTAAGGAAATGATCTTACTTGATTTGATAGTTGAATTAGATACATATATACCTATAGGTAGTTTAAAATATTTCTAATAACCTTATATACTTTTAAAAAGCATTGATATATGTTTGCACTATCTGGTCTATAGAGTACACATACCAAACATGATTATAGCTCTTCTGCTATAAACTTCAAATGTCTAATTAATACAAAAATCTAGAATGAGAAGAGTTCTTTGCAATTTTTTTTTTTTTACCAAATAGAATATAGGAAAGATAGCTGCAAATATACCTGACACACTTATCTGTGAGTATGGTGGTAGCCTTTTTATTTTATTTTATTTTGAGAGTGGGTCTCACTTTGTCACCCAAGATGGAGTGCAGTCATGTGATCAGAGCTCACTGAAGCCTTCACATACTGTGCTCAAGCGATTCTCCCACCTCAGTCTCCTGAGTAGCAGGGACTGCAAGTGCATGACACCATACTAGCTAATTTTGTAAAGATGGGGTTTCACCATCTTGCCCTGGCTGATCTCCATCTCCTGGACTCAAGAGATCTGGCCACCTTGGCCTCCCAAAGTGCTGGGATTATAGTTTTGGGGCACCGCGATCAGCTCAGCCTTAAAAAAGGCAGACTAGAGATCTTTATCTATGTATATCTATCTATAAAATAAACATATGTGTTCCTTATATAAAAATATGTTATTATATAAAATTTTTTTTCAAGGTAGAAATATATAAAGAGGGTGCATGTAGAGCCTGGGGCATTGTGTAGTGAAGCTCAAGGTCTCTGAAGAAATGCCCCTTGCCTCTTTTGTCTGGGCTAGAATCCGAGAAGGGAAAGCAGCAGATGCACTGGTTCCCAGGTTCTTCGCATCCTACAGAGAGAAACTTGTTTGAGCTAGGGTAGTGTTTAACACCCTTGTTCTTACTCTTCTGTTTTATGTAGTAAGCAGAGACTAGCTTCATGAGAACAGACAGTGACAGTCAAGGCTGTCTGTTATTTTGTGCAGCATTCATTGAGAAATTCTAGCACCTGAAGACCTCTGGGCCATTTGAGGGTAGGTGCAGGGGAGGAAAGGGAAGTTTGCATCCCTCCTGATGTGGAGAGAACCCGTGGGAAGCACAGACCTTGTCCTAACTGAAGGCAGACCCCCTTGCTAACCAGCTTCTCATCAACCAACCCTGGATGAGTTTCCATGTCTATTTACTAAATAATCCTTATTGCTCTTCTTCATATGGGCAAAGTATGGTTTACAGGGAATATTGTTCCTTTGAGCACCCATCGTGGAAACCCCTTCCTGTTGTGGGAAAACAGGCTTCCATATGTGTCTTATTGGGAAACACATAGGCAATTTCTATGTTTTTACTGCATCTATTTCAGGGATTTGGGAACTGAATAGTGCCCATCAAAGTCTCACCTGATGTTGGAAATTGATCTGAGAGCGCGGAAGGACAGAATTCTTTCTTTGTTCCTGGGCAGCGGTGGTTGAGGGATCATTTTGTGGCAGCTACAGTGGGATCATTTGTGGCAATGATGGAGGCAGAATGGAGGGCTCAGTACCAAGACAAGGAGAGACTTGGCCTCACAATGGCAGCATTGCAGGGGTGCGCTCTACAGAGCATTTGCTCACATGGTTTTGGGCATTGTCTCTAACTACATTGCTTCCCCGATAGTTTGACCCATTCTAACTAACTCCTTTTCTCTTTAAAAAAGCAAACTTCATTTGTATGACTTGCAATTGTAAACGACACCAATTGGCCAGTTATCATTCAAATTCTCTGTTACTTAATCCTGCCTTTTCCTGACATATGCAACTTTCGCCTAAAAAATTGGACACTTTGTTGCTTACTCATTGTCTTTACACATTTTAAAATGTTGCTTTGTGCCCCCAATCCCTAACTACATTTTCAATGTTTTGCAAGTGGAGTCCATGTGTTCTTGATTTACATGAAGCTCAAAATAATGGTTATAGTAACTAGTACTTCATAATTAAGCAAAAAGCTCTTATTGAAAAATGACAGAACTATACATAGGGATGAGAACATGGAGAGATATTTCGTGAGATCACAAAGTTATGGTATGGCAGAAGTAGAACGCTGAGTAGAGACTCTGTGTTCCCAATCATTATTTCTACCACCAGCTTTCTATTTTGATGTTAATAATGTTCTTATGTGGGAAACCCTACATATTTGCCAATGTTTAGTTCATTGACAAAGAAATAGAAAGAGCTTCAAGAACACTCTAATCTTTAAAAAATAAAATACCTATAATTGGCCATACGAAACAATTGGTACTTGACATATACTGAGATCGTTTTATTTTGTGCTAGACAAATGAAGTCATAGAACAGAATGTGCTTTAAATATTATGAATAGTGCTTGCATGTGTGTGTGTCTATAGATGCATATTAGGCCGCTGAAAAGTTTTATTATTCTTTCCAGGAGAGAGACTGCCAACTTTTGAACCTAACTAGAACAAGTATATTGCTTCTTCATATTTTTATTAAGGCAAAGAGAGTCTAGTTAAAAATAATTCAAATTGTGTTGGAAATGCTATAAATTGCTGTGAAGAGAGTTGCTGGCTGTGGCTTGTCAGAGCAAACATATTGTACAAATCTTAGGGGAGAATTAGTGCTTGTGCATTAAAATCAAATCATCTTGCAGCACACCGAGAAAAAGGTTAGATTTTTAAAATAATTTCAAAGTCATGAAAAGAGCAAATATGCTCCACAAAGAGCCTAGCAACCCTCAATGACCAATGCCCCTTTTATATAGTTTGGTATCTGAATTAGAATCCTAGAATCTACAAATTCCTCTGGGTGTGGGTGCTGCATCTTGAGGATTTTATAACACTGCCATCACCAAGCTCTCTTTTGATATTCACTTTAAGGAGATAATTTATGGGCAACCAGAGAGCATAAACCAAAGTAGATATCTATCTGGATAGCTAGATACATCTCCATATCATTGACAGGATACATTCTGGCCGAGTGTGAGTACAACCTATGGATGTGGTTGGAGAGAACAAGTGTTCCACCTGAATAGCAGATCAGGATTATTTCTTCTCATCTGCTGCAATGGCTCAATGTGTTAAGGAGAGGAGCGAGACAGCAAGAACCGCATTCATTCAGTCATACAGACCAAAAGGAGGAATGTCGCCCAGCCCTCTAAACTGACCCAGAACCCAGCTCATGTCTCAACTGCTACCTCTCCTACTTAGAAAGAAGTAACTCAACCAAAGCAGGGCTCTGGACAAATATATTTTTATTGATCATATACAAATAGATGAAGATGGACTTGGATGTTAAGAAAAATAATACTATACAAAATCGAGAGTAGACAGTCGCCCCTAGACTTAAATTAAGGGTGTGTACATTAGATAGTTTAATCCAATATATCAGGTAAAAACTTGAACAAAACTTTTGGCCTCTTCCTTAAAATTCCAGGATGCATGTCCTCCAAGAAGCAGAATCAAAATATAAATAAAAGACTGGCTTAAGATGAAAGGAAACCTTACAAACGAAAAGAAGCCAGATGAGAGGCACTTAACTGAGAATGAAAAGAAACTGAGTGGACAAAATAATTATGAGAAGATGAACCTTCAAATCAGAAAGAGGGCAAAAAGCTTATTTGATACTATGGGAACTCAAAAGAGAGTGAACACAAATGTGAAAATTCCAGGAGTAAAGAAAAGTAGCATAGCTAAATTAAGAGCATGAGAAAATGTATACAATTTTGAGTAATAACAGAAATCAAAAGTAACTATTGTATGTTATATTTTAGTAGAGCAACACTGAAGAAGAATGAAAACAAGAAATAATATTAAATATGAACATATGGAGAACAGAATAATATTTTTAAAATTTTTAGTTTCTAAGCTAATCTGAAATTTTAATTTTGTTTTCTTATGTAATACCAGAGTTATTAGGAAGGTATTATCTAATAACACTATTTTCAGTGATATTTTAAGGAGTTGTCCTAGAAAAATTTTATTTTTTAAAAATGTACATTTAAAAATACATTAAATGTGTATATACATCAATCATATGTATCGATTTCTGTTTTTCTTGAATTGCAAATGAAATTTGTATTTTTGTGTTCCTGGAATAAAATAAACTTGAATGGATTGTAATATGTTATTCATGCTGCAATTCAATGTATTTGAATACTTTAAAAATGTTACATTTATAGTTAACAGATACTGACCTATAAATTTTCTGTCATGTAATGATGCTGTGAGACAATCTAAGAAGAATTAAAATTTAAATTCATATATTCCTACTTTTTTCTCTGTTCTCTAACTGTAATATATTTTAATTACAGATGGAGGAACAGATAGATGTTAGATAGATACATAAATAATAGATAGATCATCCAAAATTCTTATTCTGATGGTTTTATGTAGTCAGTATTTACCTCTATTTTTCTACATGTTTATCCTTCCAATTTAGTTCATTACTTTCTGCACCTTTGATGTCATATATATAAACAGGAAATAACACATGGTGGCTGGGATGTAGAGAGAGCCACAGGACTTGTGAATAAAATCCACAGGCAAGGATGTGGCGATTCCTTTTGCAATATTGGAGGGAATGCCAAACCCTATGTTTGCTGTGGAAAAGAGTATGGTATTTCCTCAAAACATCAAAATGGTATTGCCTTATGATTCGGCAGCCCCACAGCTCAAGATAGCAAAAGAATTGAAAGCAGAGTCTTGAAAAAATATTTGCACATCCATGTTTGCAGCAGCATTATTGGCAATAGCTAAAACATAGAAGCAATTGAAGTGTTCAACCACAGATGAATGGATAAGCAAAACATGATATATACATACAATGGAAAATTATTCAGCCTTAAACATGAGGGAAATATTCTGACATATGTTGCAACTTGGATGAAACTTGAGGATATTATGCCAAGTGAAATAAGCTAGTCAGTGAGGGACAAATACAGTATAATTCCATTTGTATAAGAGACTTAAAGTGGACAGAATCATAGAGACAGTACAATGATGATTGCCAGAAGCTGGGGGGAGGAAGACATGGGGAAGTACTGTTTAACGGGTATAGAGTTTCAGTTTCACAAGATGAAACGAGTTATGGAGATGGATGGTAGGGATGGCTGCACAATGTTATGACTCTATTTAGTACCACTGAACTGTACACTTAAAATGGTTAACAGAGTACATTTTATGTTATGTGTATTTTACCACAATAAAAAAATAAAATACCTTAGGAACATTTTCCTGAAAGAGTCCACATAAAATTCATTTTAATGCATGTGTTTATGCATAGCTTTCTATTTTTCTCTTTTCTATTTATATTCCAAATTAGAATATAATGCTAATCAAGCATAGTGGCTGTGTTTCTTGCTTCCTCTAGTCTGCAGGTAGCATACAAATGTAATAAACTACTCATTAATGTCACATCTATTTATTTTCTGCCTTATACCAAGCTTGTGGGATTCTCTTAAATACAACATTTTAATACTTACACCTATGCAATACCCATTAGCATCGCCTTCCTAAATCAGGGGAAATTGAGTCTCTGTAAGCTGCAGTAACTTACTAAGATACAAAACTCAGCATTAAAGTCTGTATACTTCAATATCCTGCCCTCTTCTCATGTGTCTTTACTGCCTTTTATGTATGTGTTAGATGTTCAATAAATTCTCTTTTTTAAACTGAATTTAAGCAGTGGAGCAGTGTTTTGTTGAACAATAAATATGATATTGGACACTCTTCCTCCCTTTCATTTATGATGCAGTTCATGAAAAAGAGAAATTCTTTCATTGTGCTAGAAGCTTAAAATAATGAAAATGCCACTTTCTACATTAAACAGAAGCTGAAGGGAATCAAGGTGAATTGCATGAGACATAGAAAACAAGTGGGAAATAAATCTAGTATAATTTCCCCTTTGTGTACCTTTGTTATTTTGCATTTGAGAAAATGTTTCCCCCAAATATCTTCCCATCTTAATTCATGTCTATAACGTAGACATTTATGTCTCACCTTGTCAAGAAGGGCAAACTCTAACATAAACATTTCCCAAAAATGCTTCCTGCTAAAACGTAAGCTCAGTCTGGCTAGAAATTAAGCTCACTTCATAAAAATTACTTGGTAGCTAATCTTTGCATGCTGCTCTCTGAACTTCAGTGAAAGCTGTCCATCAGGCATACAGGGAATGACGGAAAAGGTGACAACAGAAGATGAATGCTATGTCACTAACATTCAAAATGACCTGCCTTTTCTTTCAAATTCTTGATATCTTAAGACTTCATTAATTCATCTCTCTTTGCCCTTGGTTCAACATTGTGCTATACCAAAACTCATGTAAAACAATGATCTATTGTAATAAAAATGGCATTTTTCTTTCATGTAGATGCAAGCTATCTGGCATTTTTACAATCAACATACTTCCGTTGTCAATGTTTCATTCTGTATTGGAAGTAATTGATAGGTATTTCTGAAGGGATGAAGGTGATTCTGTGTTCATTGTGATCCAAACTGTTTTTAGACCTAGTGGTGTTGTAAAACAATTTGTGCCAGCTGACCAAGAACCACTGTGGCAGAAAGCAGCAAACTTGCATAAGATGTCGCTGCCTCATCAGTTGGCTTTGAAAACTAGGGGCTTAGTCTATAGTCCTATGAATCAAAGACATTGATAGATGTAGTATAAGATTACAATCATATTTTCCTTTTGACAGTCACATTATAAAGCATGATGTATTGCAATTAATCTCAATTAGCTGATGACAATTAAAATTAATAGTTTATTATTGCTGATAAAGAATCATGACTCTCCTGTTCTCAAACGTGAAAGGAATTCTGGTAATTTTAATACAAATTTGCATATTATTACTAATTGATTTAATCTCATCGGATTTGGTTCATGGATCCAATTTATTAAAATATTGATAATGGGATAATGATTTGTCTCCCCATTTCATTTACACTAAAAGACACAATTCTTACAATGGTCTGCAAGCCCATCATGATCTGCCGCATGTTAACCGCCAAAATTCTTTTATGTCTTCAACCTTGAACTTACCAGTGGTCCTGGCCACCTCACTGTCCTCTGGACATGCCAACATGCTACTGCCTTATGACCAAGACTCTAGTTAATTTCTTAGCTTGGAAAGATAGCCCTCCATATATCCATTCATGAGCTCATTCAACTTCCTCAGGTCTTTACTGAAACCTCACATTCTCGATGAGACCTATTCAGTATTTCAAACTGCCTCCCAGCTGCAACAGTCCAAAACCCCTTAGTCTTCTGTGTATTTTTGAAAGGATTTATTGAGATATAATTTACATACTGTAGAGTGCACATAGTAATGTCTACAAGTCAATGGCTTTTAGTATATACACAGATAAGTGGAGCCATCATCACAATGAATTTTAGAGCATTTTCATCACTTCAAAAAGAAACCCCACCTTCTCTAGCTGTTAACCTCCTATGCACTCATCCCCTACTCAATCCTAAGCAACAACAAATCTGTTTTTTGTCTCTGTAGATCTTCCTATTCTATTTTCATCTAAATAGAATCATACAATAGGTGGCCTTTTGTGCCTGGCTTCTTTCAGTTGGCATAATGCTATCAAGGTTCATATGCGTATTGGTACTTTATTTCTTTTTATAACTGTATAAGATTCAATTTCATGGATATAACATTTTGTTTATCCAATAATATTTTGTTGACATTTGATTTGTGTTCAGCCTTTGGCTATTTTAAATACTGCTGTTAAAATACTTGTGTATAATTTGTGTTTGAACACCTCTTTCCAATACTCTGGGGGTATACCTGGGAATAAATTTCTGGGTCATATGACAATTCTATGTTTCATATATTTAGAAGCCATCAACCTATTTTCCAAAGTGGCCAGTTCTAGCCATAGAGTATCTAACTGTCGTTTTGATTTGTAGTTGCCTGATGAGTGATGCTGTTGAGTATCTTTTTATGGGATTATTGACCATTCGTGTATCTTCTTGGGATACACAACTATTTCTATCGTTTATCAGTTTTGAGTTGGGATTTTTGTTACTGAGTTAAAACAATTTTTCTATATTCAAGATACATATATAAGCAGACATATAGATATGTGTTTCTCAAATATCTTCTCACAATTTTTGAGCTGCCTTTTGACTTGCTTGGTTGTCCTTTGAAACACCAATGTCTTTAATTTTTAAGAAATTTTAAATATCTAATTTTTATTTTGTTGCTCATGTTTTTGGTGTTACAGCTATTTCTTTGCTAGATCCAAAATCCTGAAGATTTTCGCATATGCTTTATTCTAGCTCTTGCATGTATGTCTTTAATTCATTTGAGTTAATATTTTTGTATGCTTTGGGGTAAGAGTTCCAATTTACTATTTTGCAAGTGGCGATCCACGTGTACGTTGTTGACCCGGTGTGTTCAAAGACTGTCTCTTCCTCATTGAATTGCACATGGCACCAGTTTAAGAATCCATTGACTATAGATACATAGTTTTATATATGGACTCTCAATTCTCTTCCATCAATCTATATAATTTTCCTTCATCAGTATTGTGTTGTCTTGATTACTGATGCTTTGCCGTAAGGTTTGGAGCACGGGGGTGTGAATTATCCTAATATGTTTTCTTTTATCAAGACTATTTTGGCTATTTTGAGTCCCTTACCATCCCATGTGTATTTTAGAATCAGCTTGTCAGTTTCTAGACAGAAGTCTGTTGGGATACTTGCAGGGATTACGTCAAATCTGTAGTTCACCTTGTAAAGTACTACAATATTAAATCTTCCAATTCATGGGTGGAAGATGTTTGCTAATTATTTAGACATTCTTTAAACAATAATTTTTAATTTTCAGAGTAAAATCTTGTATCACATTTTCCAAATTAATTATTATTTCTTTTTTTGATGCTATTTTAAATTGAAGTGTTTTCTTAATTTCATTTTTGGGTTTTCATTGTAGATATGTGTAATTGATTTTTGTACATTTATCTTGTATGCTGTAATATTGCTGAAATAATTTACGAGTTCTATCGTTCAATGGATTCCTTAAAATTTTCTATATACAAGAATGTTATTTTCAAATAAAGTTTTATTTCTTCCTGTTCAATATGGGTGACTCTTTTTTTTTGTTGCCGATTTGCCCTGCATAAAATCTTTAGTACAGTGTTGACTAGAAGAGGTCAAACTATATATCCTATTCTTATCTCTGACCATAGCGGGAAAGCATCCTTTACCATTAAGTTGCATGCTCGCTGTTGGCTTTTCACAGGTGCCATGTATCTGGTGTAGAAAGTTCTCTATTCCTAGTTCATTGAGTTTTTATTTTTAATCATTAAAGCATTTGGATTTTGTTAAATGTCTTTTCCGAATCTATCGACATGATCATGCAATTCTTGTTTCTTATTCTATGGATAAGATGTATTACCGTAATGGATTTTGGGCTGTTAAACCAACCTGACATCACTAGTATAAATTTCACTTTGTCATAGTGTGTAATTCTTTTATATGTTGCTAGATCTGATTTGTTACTTTTTAAGGAATTTTGCATTTATACTTATAGTAGTTTTATTTTTCTACGCTATTTGGACTAATTTTTGTATCAAGGTAACACTGGCCCCACAGAATAAATTGGGAAGTGAATATTTCTCTTTTTAAAAAAAGTCAGTCAAGAATTAATATCAACTAGTAAACACTAACAAATATGATTAATATTATAAATTATTAATTTCTCTAATTTTTATTTTCTTCCTTCTGCTTGCTTTAGGTTTAGTTTGCTATTCTTTCCAGTGCCTTAATGTGGAAGGTCATCTTATCTCCTCCTTTCCTTTGTCTTTTCCTTTTCTAAATAGTCTTTTTAGCATCAGGTGAGCTCCCCAGGTTGGTAGTACTCCATGTTTATTGCTGTACAACAATGACAGGTAATATGTCCTGAAGACAATGGAAACTTAACATTCAAATTCCTCCTTGATTCCACCTTATGTGATATGTCTCTTCCTTTGATTGGTCCTAATTTCTACCCTTTCTCTATTATAAACCATGAGTACAATGGCATTCAATGAGTTCTGTGAGTCTTTTTAGTAAATTCTTGAAACTGAGGGTGTTCTGGGGAAACCCCAGAACTGGCAGTTGGTGACAAAAGTGCGAATCATCTTATATGGCCTCTTGCTTTGAACTTTGCAGCTGGACCCAAACTCTGCACAATTTGGGCCAGAAGTATCGTGTTGACTTTGCAGCCTAAATTATCTTGTAGTTTGTCTAACCCTCAATAAATTTGCTTTCATCAAATATTGTATTTGTTACCCCAAAATTACTATCATGTTTCTTTCTCCAAATAACTAACGTTCGGAGAAATAGCCGGCTGAATCTGTAATTCAACAGAAACAAGTGATCCATATACCATCTAAGTGGCCATTTCATTTTGCCTTCTTCCACCAAATCTTAGCAACCTCAACCATTGCCATGAGCCACTGTAGGCCTACCAGCTACAAACAAACAAGTATCTTTTAAAAACACTTCATACTCCCGTTTGATAAAATTCCCAGCAAAGAGATGCTTACTTTAACTCTATGCAAGTGGCTCATATTCGCAAAGTCTGGAGATATTATTCATGTAGTGTGAGAAAATCATCCCAGCGATGCCAGCACATTCTCCTTCCCATGATCTGCTTAGTTGGCAAACACATTCAGACCATAGGTGAGAGATTTTTATTTCACAGTACAACAATTTTATGGAGGTCATTGAAACTTAGATTTAGCATTTTAGCCAGTCACGCATCACTGAATGACAGCGATACGTTCTAACAGATGCATCCATAGGCAATTTCATCATTTTGCAAACATCACAGAGAATATTACAAACACCTAGATTGTACAGCCTACCACGTTTAGGTTATATGGTATAACCTCTCTCTCCTAGGCTACAAACCTGTGTACTACATTACTATACTGAATACTGCAGGCAATAAGAACACAGTGGTAAGAGTTTATGTATGTAAACATACTTAAACATAGAAAAGTATGTAAAAATATGTATTCTCATGGGACCAATTTTGTATATGTAATCCATCTCTGACAGAAATATTATGCATGACTTGACTCTATGAAAAAATAATACATTTTTAAAAATGGACACATGTATCAAACATATTATTATAAAAATAAAAATATTTATTCAGTGTAAGAATTTGTAATGATCACAGCTTATATTTAAGTACAGTTTCAAATGCCTAGTGCAATTACTATTTATTTCTTTGTGTATTTTAAACATGTATATAATAAATATTTTTCAGGTTCAACAATATATATCAATCCTACAGGCTCTTATAAATATTAGTTAAAATCAATTGGTAGGCAGGGCGCGGTAGCTCACGCCTGTAATCCCAGCACGTTGGGAGGCCGAGGCGGGCGGATCACGAGGTCAGGAGATCGAGACCATCCCGGCTAAAACGGTGAAAACCCGTCTCTACTAAAAATACAAAAAAATTAGCCGGGCATAGTGGCGGGCGCCTGTAGTCCCACCTACTTGGGAGGCTGAGGCAGGAGAATGGCGTGAACCCGGGAGGCGGAGCTTGCAGTGAGCCGAGATCCCGCCACTGCACTCCAGCCTGGGCGACAGAGCCAGACTCCATCTCAAAAAAAAAAAAAAAAAAATCAATTGGTAAATTCATGTATATATATGCATACCTGTATCAGTGAGCGTGTGTGCATGTATGTTTGTGTAAATGTAATTGTATGTGTGTGTAAATGTAATTGGATGCATCCTTATATTTACCCTTACCTACAAGATTTCCAAGATTCATTTATGATCTTTAGATTATGGGCATTTAAAGATTTACCAAATACAACTGTAATAGTGGAAAATATCAAGATGTTATTAAATTCAACTTGTGCACATAATTGTTTCTATAAATTTATGTTTCTTGCAAAACTGGCAGTAATGCTCATGCACAAAATAATTTTCTAAATAAAAAATAAAAACGTTTTCTCAGTCATTAATTCTTAAAATTATTTCTCCCCAATAATTAATGTGAATTAATTCTTAATTCTTAATTATAGAATAATGTTGCCCTTCAGAGTTCGGAAATTGTTGCAAGTTGTACACATTTCACTAACCAGAACAACTTCTGAAATATTGGCGTTAATTAATGTCACTCAGCAATTATTGATTTCAAGGGCATTAAGTACCATTCATATTCTGAATCACAAGGGTACTTTGGCATCTTATTTAATCAAGCTCTTTTTATCATCATCTACACTTTAATTACTTAACAAACATTTCTCTGTGTGAGAAAGTTTGACCAGGTTATCTTCTACCCTTGTCTTTTGTCTGATGGTGCAAAAAATTTTCATAAGCATGTATTTCTGAATGCCTGATGGATTGACATATATAATAAGCTGCTAGTATTAAAATATGTGACATAAAACGCATCCAATCTTCTCACTGTTTACATAAATTCTAGGTTTCTCCTATTTACCTCAAGCACGTATGGAGCGAATTCTTACCTTTTAATATTGCCATGGCATTCACATTGAACATAAGTTGAACTCTCTCATATGGTAGCTGGGTTCGGATTCCCTTGACAATTTCCAGTTCTAACCCTCACAGTTCCTCAGTGTGGCTGGCCCAGATATTGACCCTACACAGTTGCCTCCTCCTGGTGACTACCAGCTATGGAACCGTTGGATACAACCTACCTGACTCACCCCACAGACCTCACAGTGCACATGGACAGCCCCCACACGCCAGAGTGACCTGCTCGATTGCAGCAGGAGTCAAGAAATGTGCCTGCTGGCACTCACCCCACCGACTAGTGCCCCGTGGAAAACTTATTTGGATAATGTTCTGGGCCCAATAAAGGCTGGAGTCCCACAGACCCCTTTTCTGTCTCCTGCTCCCCACTCATCTTCCCCATTTTGTTCAGCCCTATGAGGTGTGCTACTCTATTAGTCCATTTTCACACCGCCGGTAAAGACATGCCCAAGACTGGGTAATTTCCAGAAGAAAGAGGTTTAATAGATGCACAGTTCCACATGGCTGGGTAGGCCTCACAATCATGGCACAAGCCGAAAGACACATCTCACCTGGCAGCAGACAAGACAAGAGAGCTTGTGCAGGAAACTCCCCTTTATAAAACCATCAGATCTTGTGAGACTTATTCACTATCAGAAGAACAGCATGGGAAAGACCTGTCCTCGTGATTCAATTACCTCCCAGCTGTTCCCTCCCACAACATGTGGGAATTCAAGATGAGATTTGGCTGGGGACACAGCTAAACCCTCTTCTCAGCTACCCTCTTCTCTCTGGATCTGTGAGTAATAAACCTACTTCTGTGATTTCCCATGTTTGGTTCTGTGGCCTCCATGTGTCTGAGCTGACCTACACTGGAACCTAACTCTCCTCCTGGCCAGGGTCTCTGAGAGTGGCTCTTGTCAGAAATACACAGGACACAGGTCAGGCAACAGTCACCAGGCATCTCCTAGTCTCAACAGATGTTCTGTGAGAGGGAGGCCTGGCCGTGGGATGCACACCTGGCCACTGCTGGGGTAAGGAAGTGTCCTGTGAAAGGCACATGTTAAGCATCCACAACCCCCTGACCAGAACCCCAGAAAGGCAGGGCTGCAATTGTCAGTCACTCTCCAGAGACAAACCTCAAGCCCTAACTGGAGGAAAAGAAAACAATGTAAAAAGTTCAATTTACCTTACTATTTCAATGATCCAGTAAAGACATTCTATGCCTGTACACCACATATTTTCTTCGATTGTGGATTTATTTTAGATAGAATTTTAGGTCTGGCTTTCACTTTAGCCTGGTCCCTACCTCAAGCATAAGGTAAAGATTTTCCATGCGTTCTTTTCTGGTACTACTACCTGCCAGTGTGGGATCATGTCCTAGTCTATCTTGAGGGAATACCCCTGTTCGTTATTGTCAGAATGAGACTGTTAAGTCTTGATTTCCCTGGACAACTTCACTGCATGACTTTTAATATGATTTTTTAATATACCCTTTACTGGACAATAAATTCTATAGTTATCTGAGTAAGAGATATGGTCAGGAAGAGGCATTGCCTCATTCAGCTTTTCTCTTTGGTGAACTCGCATATGTTCTCCTCACCCGCCAGTCACCTCTAAACCGTATTGTTCCAAGACAACAAACAGAACTCGAGTGTGTATCTTTCACCACCGGATTTCTATTTTCTCCATAAAGCTCCATGCTTAACAGGGTTTCTGTTAGCATTTTCTCTATTCATTTTCCCATAAAATATCACAGGCCTTTTTCATATGGAATTCTGGGTGATTTCCTTCAATCTGCATCATATCAAGTTGAGGTTCATGTTGAAGAAAAGTAAAGCATACATTGAAAATATCAGTAAGGATGTTTTCCTCTCCTTTTTAGCACCTGTGCTTGTGATACAAGCACATTTTAATACAATTGTGGTCTCATGCTTTGATCATTCCTATGATGAAAATAACATTTTTAGATAAAATATCTGAGTTTTATGAGGCCTTTAGTATGTGATGTGATAGAATATCAGAAGACCATACTTTTTTCTAGGTTTCTGTGCAATTCTGTCATTATTTCATCTTTACTCCTACCAGAGTAATTTTGCAAAATAGATATCTTGTCATTCTTCCTGTTGTTATCAGTAAATAAGTGAAATGAAAAGCTAGATTATATAATCTATCTAGAACAAGAAAGTGGAATTGAATCTATATTCATTAATGAGACTAACCAGTCAATTACACAGATAGGCATTTTACATTTTGAAGATCATATGGACCCATTGTCAGAAATATTATTATTTATGTCTATATGGACATTACCTGAGCATATTTACATAGAAATCAATGAGAGCTGATTTTTATTTTTATAATATATATTTTTTGAGATAGGGTCTTGCTTTGTTGCCCAGGCTGGAGTGCAGTGGTGCAATCACTGCTCACTGCAGCCTCAGCCTCCCAAGCTCTAGCAATCCTTCCACCTTGGCCTCCCAAATAGCTAGGATAACAGGTGCACATCACCATGCCCACTTTTTTTTTTATTATACTTTAAGTTTTAGGGTACATGTGCACATTGTGCAGGTTAGTTACATATGTATACATGTGCCATGCTGGTGCGCTGCACCCACTAACTCGTCGTCTAGCATTAGTTATATCTCCCAATGATCTCCCTCCACCCTCTCCCACCCCACAACAGTCCCCAGAGTGTGATATTCCCCTTCCTGTGTCCATGTGATCTCATTGTTCAATTCCCACCTATGAGTGAGAATATGCGGTGTTTGGTTTTTTGTTCTTGTGATAGTTTACTGAGAATGATGATTTTCAATTTCATCCATGTCCCTACAAAGGACATGGACTCATCATTTTTTATGGATGCACAGTAATCCATGGTGTATATGTGCCACATTTTCTTAATCCAGTCTATCATTGTTGGACATTTGGGTTGGTTCCAAGTCTTTGCTATTGTGAATAATGCCGCAATAAACATACGTGTGCATGTGTCTTCATAGCAGCATGATTTATAGTCCTTTGGGTATATACCCAGTAATGGGATGGCTGGGTCAAATGGTATTTCCAGTTCTAGATCCCTGAGGAATCGCCACACTGACTTCCACAATGCTTGAACTAGTTTACAGTCCCACCAACAGTGAGAAAAACAAGCAATGGGGAAAGGATTCCCTATTTAATAAATGGTGCTGGGAAAACTGGCTATCCATATGTATAAAGCTGAAACTGGATCCCTTCCTTACACCTTATACAAAAATCAATTCAAGATGGATGAAAGACTTAAACGTTAGACCTAAAACCATAAAAACCCTAGAAGAAAACCTAGGCATTACCATTCAGGACATAGGCATGTGCAAGGACTTCATGTCTAAGACACCAAAAGCAATGGCAACAAAAGACAAAATTGACAAATGGGATCTAATTAAACTAAAGAGCTTCTGCACAGCAAAAGAAACTACCATCAGAGTGAACAGGCAACCTACAAAATGGGAGAAAATTTTTGCAACCTACTCATGTGACAAAGGGCTAATATGCAGAATCTACAATGAACTCAAACAAATGTACAAGAAAAAAACAAACAACCTCATCAAAAAGTGGGTGAAGGACATGAACAGACACTTCTCAAAAGAAGACATTTATGCAGCCAAAAAACACATGAAAAAATGCTCATCATCACTGGCCATCAGAGAAATGCAAATCAAAACCACATGAGATACCATCTCACACCAGTTAGAATGGCAATCATTAAAACGTCATGAAACAACAGGTGCTGGAGAGGATGTGGAGAAATAGGAACACTTTTTTTTTTTTTTAATTTTGATAGAGACTGGGTCTTGCTATGTTGCCCAGGTTGCTTGTGAACTCCTGGGCTCAAGGAATCCTCTCATTTCAGCCTCTTCAACAGCTGATATTACAAGCATGAACCACCATATGGGCTGGAAGCTGATGTTTAAAATACTGAGATCATATAGATGACAGCACCTGAAAAATAGACAACACCAAGCTTTATGTTAAAAGGTGTGAGGGTATCAATATTGTTGTGGCTATTGGGGAGGAAACCATTAGTAAAACCTGTAAGTTAAAGCTCTTGCTTTAAACTTTGGCTTTAATTTAACAAATGTTCTATGGAGTGACAGTATGTATGTAACCATGCTATGCCCATTCACAGATGCAGTAGAGGGAAGAATTTCTCAAAGACAACTGTTCTAAGACTGAAATTAAACCGTACTGGGTTTGAAAAGAGAAAGTCCAGGAATTACCAAATCTTTTAGATATCAGATACAAGAGAATGCCAGGTATGCGATGATAATCAGCAATGGTTGTTCACACAATACATCAAATCAGTATTTGAATTAGCTTTTGAATTACACGGACAAATGGATCAAGTCTAGACTCTTTAGTAGATAAATCTTATTAGGCTGAGATGTGTTTTCCCCTGTTTTTCCACAAGGAGATTACAAATTGGCAAACCTCAGCTGCTCTCATTTTATCTCACCAGGCCAAAAGCTGAAGTTCATCAATCAGTGTGTCTAAGGGTTCACTGGTTATTACCATTTTGTAGTTTCAGCTATCTTTCCAACTTCCTACATCATCACTTTCATTTGATCTTGTTTTTTTCCACTATCACTTCTTTATTGACCATATAAAGAATATAAGTAAGTTCTTATTTTGTTATTGTTCATTTTAGTCTAATTTCATCAAAAGATCACAATCTTTTAATTTCATTTTAATTTCAAAGATTAAATGAAACCTACATAGAAATGAGTGTAAGATTTGCATTTGCATTATTTTGGCATCAATTTGCTATCCTCCCTCATGCACATAGAGATCATTTCCATGTACGTGATTTCAAACATCCAAGTGCAGTATTAAAAGCAGTTGTACATTATGGTTCTCATTTTCATGATACAATTACAATATAAACTTCCTCTTGCTGCTGTAACCAATTACCATAAACTTCATATCTTACAATAAAGTGACCGTTTATCCTACAGTTCTGTATTTCAGAAGCCTTAAATTAAACTCACAGGGCTAACATCAAGTTTTCGGCAGGGCTGCAGTTTTTCTGAGGGCTATTTGGCAGAATCTATTACTTGATTTTTTTCAGCATCCAGAGGCCAGCCACCTTTATTCCTTGAAACATGACCTCATTCTTAGATCCTATGTTTCCTTTTTTTTGTGGGGGGGATGGAGTCTCCTTCTGTCACCCAGGCTGGAGTGCAGTGGCACGATCTCAGCTCACTGCAACCTCTGCCTCCCAGGTTCAAGTGATCCTTCTGCCTCAGCTTCCTGAGTAGCTTGGACTACAGGCACTTGCCACCACGCCCAGTTAATTTTTTGTATTTTTAGTAGGGATGGGCTTTCACCATGTTAGCCAGGATGGTCTCAATCTCCTGACCTCGTGATAAACCCACCCCAGCCTCCCAAAGTGCTGGGATTAGGCGAGAGCCACCGCGCTGGGTCCTCATTCTTGTATCTTAAAAATCAGTGATATTGAGTAATTTCTCATGCCACCACCTCCAAGGTTGCCTTTCTTCTGTCTTCTTCTTTCACTTATAAGGAAGTTTGTGATTTCATTGATCCCACCCATTTAAGACAATCTCTCTATCATTTTTCCGCAACCTTAATTTCACTCGAAATCTAATTTCACACTGCCGTGCAACCTAACATATTTGTATGTTAGACTCTGGGAATTAGGACATGAAAATTTTTGGGAGGCCATTCTTTGGCCTACAGCAGACATAATCTGTTTACCTGCAGATTAAAGCGTTCTTTATTTTTCTGTCTCCCTGTCTTAATTTTTTTAAAATAATAATATTTGTAGTAAAGAGAAAGAAAGAAAAGAAAACAAAGAAAGAAAAAGAAGGAAGGAAAGAAGGAAGGAAGGAACTAAAGAAAGAAGAAAGAAAAGGAGGAAATGAGGGAAGGAAGGGAGGGAGGGAGGAAGGGAGAAAGGCAGGAGGGGAGAAAAAAGAAAGCATGAACACAAGAAAGAAAGAAGGAAAGAAAGAGAAAGAAAGAGAGAAAGAAAGAAAGAAGGGAGGAAGGAAAGGAGGAAGAGAGAATGGTAAAAGGGAGGAAGGCACAGAAACAAAGAAAATAAAGAGGCGAAGGAAGGAAGGAAAAAGAGGAAAGGAAGGGAGGGAGGAAGGAAGAAAAGGAGGGCGGGAGGAAGGGAGAAAAAAGGAAAGAAAGCAAGAAGGCGAGAAAGAAAGAAAGAATATGAGAAAGGAAGGAAGAAAAGGGAGGGAGAAAGGAAGGGAGGGAGGAGGGAAGGAAGAATAATAGGAAAGAAAGAAAGGAAAGAAGGAAGGAAGGAGAAAAAAGAAAAGAAAGAAAGGTAAAGAAAAAAGAAAAGAAAAGGAAGAGGAAAAGAAGAAAGGAAGGAGGAAGGCAAGGGAAGGGAAGAGAAGAGAAAGGAAGATGGAAAGAAAGAAGGAAAAACGCAAATATTAGAAATTCTGGGTTTGTTAGAGAATATGCCATACTGTTTTTTTTTTCACTTGAAAGGAAAGAGTATCTGCCATTGAAGATTGGATGTCTTTTTGGTGATATTGTTGTTCTTATCTTCCACATGATTACTGAGTTAGTGCCTAGTCTTTCCATTTCTAAGACAAAAGTGTTGATGTCGGCAAATATAGTTTCGGATTTTTCTAGTTCACCTTTTATTTCTTTCCTATTTTACCTCATGTATTTGGAGGTTCTGTTGTTAGCTGCTTACCCTAATTAGTAGGATGTTTACATCTTCTTGAGAATTGATGATTCTATTATCTATTATCTCTCATCTCTGATACTATTTCTTGTTCCGAACTCTGTTGTGTCTAATATCAATGTAGTCCTTCCACAGCCTTATTTTAGTGTTTCCATGATATGGCTTTCTCCATATCTTGATAACCTCTTTATATCTCTATATATTTGGAGCAAGATATAAAATTTAGACTTGATTTTTTAAAGATTTTTCAAGATGTGATTCTTATTTCTTTTGGTTCTATTTGACATTCTCTGAGTTTCCTATATTTGAAGTTTGATTTTCTGTCACTTCTTTTAGAATATTTTTGGCAGTTATTTTGAAAAATATTTCTTTTGCTCCATTATTTTTCCCTCTTTTCTTTTTGGGATTTCAATCATAACTAGAGTAGGTAATTTCATCTCAGTCTTATGCAGGTACTTTTTCTCAGGGTCTCAGGAATGTAGCCTTCTCACACTTCCGTTCTTTTCCTGGCTGTGTTGGTGAGCTCAGTGATATTCCTCCTTCACCTTCAAGAGCAGTTTTGTTTTGTTTTTCCTGTTTTCATACTCCCAGCATCAGGAGGATCCTAAGTGTGGCAGTTTTTGTTGCCTTCCCCTACATATTAAGTGGAATATCTTGCTCTATTTGGACTCTTATAACAAAATAACATAAACCGGGTGATTAAAAAACAACAGATATTTCTTTTTTCACACTTCTTGAGGCTGTAAGATCTCAGGTCAAGATGCTCACAAATTCAGTGTTGATGAGAGCCCATTTCATGGTTCATAGGTGGTGCCTGCTTTCTATGTCCTCACATAGTGGAAGGCACACAACAACTCCATTGAGCTTCTTTTATAAAGGCACTAATCCCATTCATAAGGGCTCGGCCCCCAAGACCCGGTCACCTCCCAAGTGTTCTGCTCTCCCTGATCTGTGTCATATACAGACTCTCTTGGATTCCTTACCAATTGCTTGAGAGATCGCAGTGGGTTTGTGGGGAAAAAGTTTTCAAGATGATGGATCTTTCCCAACTTCTGCAGCTGTCAGCCGTCTCCCAATCTCACCAGCCCCACTTTGCCTTTAGGAATTTATTGATTATTCCAGCTTTACTTGTCATAGTGGTGTCTATTTGCATCTGTCCTATGTAAGTGCATCCGTCCTCTTTCTCCTTGCAGGTGCTTGTTTTCCCTCACATTTTGACTCAGTTCTTGGCAACCTCGTTGCTATAAAAATAAAGTCATGACTTTGAAGTTAGTTTGGGTCTTTCATTGTTGTCAGGTTAGGAACCCTATTCCATCCCAGATCTCCAAAACCCAGACTTTTTGGGGGGTTGAAATTTTAGGGTTTCTCTTTGAATTGTAGTTTTATCTTCTTTCAGTTACCATTTGCATTTTCATAATGATTAATGAGACTAAGCTTTTTGTGTGTAGTTGACTGTACCTTTGGATTTTTTCCCAAATACCTTTTTATTTCTTCTTTTCTTTATGGTTTTAGAAAATGTAGTTTACATAATTGCAGCTTGATTTTTTACTCAGTTAATGGCATGCCTAATGGAGAGAAAAATATTAAATATATTTCCCTTTTTAATTACTGTGCTTTTTTCTTTTCTAAGGAAATGTTTCATTATGTTAAATTTCAGTGTTATTCTACTTAGCTATTCCTTAAATATTATAGTATTTTGGATTTCACATGTAAATTTGTAACATATCTGGAGTTTATTATGTATAGAGTAAGGCTATTTTCTCTTTTTTGTTTTTTAAGGTAAAAATCACATAATATAAAATTAACAACCACCATTTTAAAGCATACAGTGCACTTGCTTTTAGCATATTCACAATGTTCCAGGGCAATTTCATCATGTCCCTTCCAAAAACCCATTATGCATAAAGTTGTTACACCCTAATCTGCTTCCCTGAGCCCTAATGACCACTAATCTGATTTATATCCCAATTGATTTGCCAATTCCTGATGTTTCATGTGAATAAAATCAAGTAATATTTGTCCTTTTGTGCACTTAACAGAATGCTTTCAAATTTCACCAATATTATACCATATATAAGTACTTCATTCTTTGTTATAGCTGAAAATTGGGCGTCCATTTATGAGTCAACAAGCATATGGATTGTTTCCACTTTTTGACTGTATGAATATTACTGCTGTAAATATTCATGCACATGTTTATTTTTTGAGCACCTATGTTTTGTAAGATTAACAGCTGACTTAAGAGAAACAATGGAAGCAAGAGGCAGTAGAATAATATATTCAAAAGAGGCAAAGGAAAAAAAAACTCTCAGCCACGAATTCCTTATCCAGCAATTATTTTTCAAAAATGAAGATAACACAGAGACTTACCCAGATAAACAGAAATATTAACTGACGTTGTTGCTGGCAGACCTACTATATTAAAAAAATCTCTAAAATAAATTCCTAAGGCTAAAAGCAAGTTACAGAAGACAGTCACTTGAATCCACATTTTTAAAAAAGCACTGGTATAGGTAATATTGACATTATAAAAGACAGTAAAAATGCATTTTTTCTCTTTATCATAAATTGTTTATTAAATAACATGTGTATAATGGCCGGGCACGATGGCTCACACCTGTAATCTCAGCACTTTGGGAGGCCAAGGCGGGCGTATTACGAGGCCAGGAGATCGAGACCATCCTGGCTAACACAGTGAAACCCCGTTTGTACTAAAAATACAAAAAATGAGCCAGGCGTGATGGCAGGCGCCTGTAGTCCCAGCTACTCGGGAAGCTGAAGAAGAAAAATGGCATGAAGCCGGGAGATGGAGCTTGCAGTGAGCGGAGATTGTGCCAGTGCACTCCAGCCTGGGTGACAGAGGGAGACTCCGTCTCAATGATAATAATAATAATATGTGCAGAATGTATTGCTGAGTATTTGACATGTAGAAATGGAATACGTCTGTAACATATTTTCCAGTAACATCAAAAAGGAGGTAGTTGGAAGAAAAATGTATTGTGATAAGGTAATAACTCTAGATGGTAAAGTAATAATTACTAAAATGTATTGTTGGCTTTGTAACTTTAATAGATGTAATGTGTAAAGTGATAATACTTTAAAATGGAGGAAACAAAAGAGATTTATATAAGAATGATGTTTCTATGTATTACTAAAAGTTTACTAGTATAAATTGGAAGATGGTTTGAATAATTAATTTTCCATATACCTATATGGTAAACTTACAACAACAAAAATTCTCAAAAATATATAATAAAATAATTGATTAGTAATCTAAAGTTCCCTATTTTAGAAAATATGCTTTCATTGCAAAATAAAGCAATAAAGAAAAATATTTGAGAAATATATAAAACAAACGGTAAAATGGCAGACATAAATAGAATTATACCAATTATAATCTTAAATGTGAGCAGATTAAAATCCATTCCAGAGGCAGAGATTGTCAGACTGGATTAAAACAAGTGATCCCAATATACGCTGAGATGCAAGGATACTAATGGATTGAAAGTAAAAAGATGACAAAAAATATCATGCAAAGAGCAATCATAAGAACACTGAACTCATTATACTCATAACACACAATATAGACTATTACAAATGTGAATAGGATTTTAAAAATTTATATTGTAGTAAAAAGGGGGTCAACGCTTTAGGAAGACATAGCTATTACAATCATGTATGCACAGATAGGAGCTAAATTGTTTCCTCTATATAGATGCTGAAATTCTAACCACTGAATATGACCTCATTAGGAAATAGGTTCTGTGCAGCTGATCAAGTTAAGATACAATCAGATGAGCCTGAATTCAATATGACTGATGTCCTTGTGAAAAGAAGAAATTTGAGTAGAGGGAGACATACACACAGGGAGAGTACCATGTGATTATGAGGACAGAGATTAGCCAAGGAATGCCAAAGACTGCCACTAAACCACCAGAAGTGAGAAACAAGGCACAGAGCAGGCTTCCTCTCATAGCCCTTGAAGGGACCATCCCTGCTGACACCTCAATCTCAGACTTTTAGCTTCCAGGACTATAAGACTATAAGACTATAAATGTATGTTGTTCAAGGCACCCAGTTTGTGTTACTTGGTTATGGCAGCCCTAGAAAACTAATACATGAACTAATAACAAAGCATAATAACATGAAGCAAAAATTGACAAAAGAGGAGCATCAGCAAAATGGCAGTGGAGACAGCTGCAATCTTTCATTTCTCCACAGAAACATCACACAACTAAGAGAAACTGTCCGAAGAAACTTCACCAAAGCTCTGGAAAATGGTCAAAAGATTACAACAACCAAGTGAAAGCAGACTCAAGAAAATGACAACTGGAAAACTTTATGACATTTTTAACTTGCCTTTGCCCCAGCAAATTGGCAGTCCTGAAGGGTCAGAAGCCCACGTTCCCAGTGAGGAAGCCTGGTCCATGGTCCAAAGGAACAAGAGATCTTACCCGCAAATTATTATGTGTCTGTTCTGACTGGTCTGGGGGATACCTAAAGGACTCATGAAAGGCTTTTTTTTTTCTGTGTTGCTAGAATACAGAACAGATAAGGAATGGACATTATTAAGAAACTCTGCAAGGAGACCTAACAAACCACTGATGCTTAGGGCAAAAATTAAAGTTTACACATATAGTAGATCACCTTCAGCACAGCAAGAAAAGTTGGAGAAGAGTATTTCAAAAACTAAGACATACAAAATCATTCACGTACATGGGAGAGTCTACAAAGTCACATGTATTCATAGGTTAAGCCACATGCTGACAAATGTCATAAGAAGATCCTACACTTTTACCTTGGCCGATCCCTCCCCTCAGTGCAACCTCTGTGCAAGAATGAACTTGAACTTCATTCAGTGCAAGAGTGAACACACACTTTGTTCTGGCTTTAAAGAACCCAGCACAAAGCCAGTCTGCATGGCCTAGAGACATATTTTGCTGGACAATGATTACTTGCTTTTCTTTTTGTTTTTCTTTTATTTGCCTGTTTCATTGGTTCCTGACATACAAGAAAGTCACTGCCAAAACATTAGCTTAACATTTGTTAAGGAAACAAAAAGACTTCGGTGACCACACCTTATAAAGCAAATAGTTTTGTAAATCACTTAGGAAAATTTCACTAAAAAAAAAAATCCTTAACAATATAATAAGTAAAGAAAATTTAAAACCACAAAACATTACTGTGTTTGTAGGGGGGGGGGTCTGATTTACAGAGTAACCACATAGTAATTATAATTATTAGAATGTCCAGTTTTCAAAAAACGTTACAAGGCATACAAAGAATGGAAAAGTGTGGCTCATTCGAAGGAACAAAATTAATTGACGGAAAACATCCCTAAGGAAACCCAGACATCAAACTTACCAGACAAAGACTTTTAAACAACTCTCTTCATTATACTCAAATGTGAAAAGGAAAACATAAACAAAGAAATAAAGGAATCAGAAAAAATATTAAAAAGTAGGAATATCAGCAAAGAGATAACAGAAATTCTGGAGTGGAAAACTACAATGATAAAAATTTAAAAATCACCAGAGGGATTTAAGAGTATATTTGCACATACAGAAGAAGCCATGAACTTGAAGAGAAGAAAATGGAAAACACTGACTCTGAGAAACAGAAAGAATAAAAAATAAACAATGAGCAGAGACTAATGAATCTGTGGGACATCATCAAATAGACCAGCATTCATATTCTAGAAGGATAAATTATGTTGTTAAAAAGTTTACCATTCTTTCTTTTCACTTTTCTTCCTTCCTCCTTCCCCCTCCTCCTCCTTTTTACTTTTCTTCCTCCTCCTTTCTCTTCTTCTTTCTCTCCTTCATTATCCCTTTCGCTGTTTCTCTTTCTCCCTTTCTCTTTTTTCTTTTCTTTCAATTTTCTCAATTACTAAGAGATGTTTAAGTACCCTTACCATGTTAGTAGATACGGTTATTTCTCCCTTTAGTTCTCTTTTGAGATTTATAGTCACTCAAATAAAGAGATAACCCAAACATAAGCGTCACAAACAGGCTTTCATACCATTCTTAATTTGGTCCTGTAATTCTTCATTGCTGTATTAACTTTCTGATGCTTTTAAGGATGTTTTATAACAAATTGTGTAGCTTTTTCCAATGGAATGTTTATTCTGAATTATCTAATTCATATTGTAAGTATAGAGGGAGTTTAATATAAAATTATTAAACTAATATTTGTGAAAGAATGTATTTGTGCATTTAACATATATGTTAATCCTCAGACTGTTATTGGGCAGCTGAGCATACAGGAATAAAAATAACACAATTTTTATGTGTACAATATTTATGGAATACGTTACTGGACCCAATAAATAATTTAGTTAATAACATGACAAAGAACAGAAATTGTATACACTATAGAGCATAGTAATGGAATAATGAATGACTAAAGTTATTAATATTAGGTAGAAAATGAAGGGTATCTTTGAGAGCAGAACTCAAGGAAGCAAGCAATTCGCCTTATGAGGAAAGAGTTACCTGTGGATAAAGGAGAAACTGAAAAATTCACAAGTCAAGACTTTTTGAGCAAAAACAAAAATATGACTATTAGTCACCAATTCAGTACAGTGAAAAAAAAGTTGAAGAGATATCTTGGAAGTAAACCATGTTGTGGAAGAGCATGTAGGGTTTTGACAATCATGGGATGATTCTGAATTAATTTTAAATGCGATAGGAATATATGAGATAATTTCACCAGAGAATAACATGATTGTGTTTGCATTTCAAAGGGGTGTATCTGGTGCACTGTGTAGAATAAATAGGTTATGTGAGCAAATAAATTGGGAGGCTACTCTAATCCAGAGAAAAAAGGTAGTGACTTAGGTGAGAATGCTGTCAGGATGAGTGGTAGTAGTGGTGAGAAGTCGTTAGGCCATGGATGTATTTCATAGGACTGGCCAAGAGAACTGCAGCTAAATTGGAGTGTAGGGAGTGAAATGGAGAACTCAAAGATGACTCTCAGCAATGGAAGGTGACAGCTGTCACTGAAGCATGCTGATGCCTCTTATTAAGAGAGTTACTTGGGAATGGCAAGATCAAAACTTCTCACTTTCAAATTTATGAAAAATATTGTTTTCAGAACAAATGACTTTGGGATCAGAAAGCCACCATTCTAATTGATGGTTCCACGACTGCACGGGCTCACACTCCCAAGAGCAAAAGTAAATCATCACAAAGGTGCTTCTTGATAATTCTAGAGAATGGAGAATTACTGTAACATCTTTCTGATTTTAGGAGAGGTAGCAGTTCCCTTTTTAGCCTAAACGCTATTTTTTTTTAAAGCTCAGCCAAGAGACTCCATTATAATTTTCAAATGTGTGTAACTTAAATTCTCATATGAAATACCACTATGCTTAAATTAGTCAAAACATTTTCCCCATCTACAACTCTATCTTGTCATTGCAATCATTTTCGCAAAAGTGACTGCAGCTCACAGACCCTAAAAGGAGAAAATCCAGGGTAGGTTATCTGATCTAGTTAGTTTCGAAGACAGGATCTAGAGATTATTTAATATGAAATAGGTCACCTGAAATGAAGTGTTTACTGAAAACAGCTTGGATCAACCCAGTTTTCTACCACTGAACCATGCATTTGGTTTAAAAAACACAACAACTCTGGGGAATATCGGCTGCTTCCAACTGTGTTGAAGGTGTTAAAGAAAAGGGCATACAATTTGAAATGATCATCTGAGGCCTTTATAGTCTCTGCTCAAGAGACTAGAGTCTTCCATTCTTAACGAAACACCCAAATATCTTAATAATTGGGCAAAATCTAAATATCAGAGATAATTTTATCTTGAAGATTGTTAAATTATAACGGTGATTCACTACCTTGCCACGTCTCTGAGTCAAAAATTAGGTCTTTGTTTAGGAACCAATCATAATCTGCAATTTGGAAATAGGAAGACTTTAGAAGACTCAGACATTGACTTTCTTGTGTGCAAAAAAAAAGACGTATTGAGATAAGACAAGTCTTTCCTTGCAAGGATACCTCTAATGCTCATACACCACCTCCCCTAACATTAATATAGCTTCCAGGTCACTAACCAGTGTCAGAGAGCAGCCCATGCAACTAGAAATTCAAAAGATGTCGAACATAGGGTCAAGCTTAGAATAAGACGTCTTAGCTAATTAAGTATGCTTTTTTCCCGAAATTCATATTAAC
This sequence comes from Homo sapiens, assembly GCF_000001405.40. Taxonomy (NCBI): domain Eukaryota; kingdom Metazoa; phylum Chordata; class Mammalia; order Primates; family Hominidae; genus Homo; species Homo sapiens. The sequence goes on from NC_000016.10 coordinate 33,057,669, forward strand.
AAAATCTTGGATATGTCAGAGAATGCATTCTAAGTTCACTCAACCTAGGAGGGAGAAACATAATTTTAAATTAAGAGCTGAAGCATTCTTGTCCTAACAGAAAGCAAGGAAAACGAAATATCACACCACAGGAGGGATTTCACAAATTAGTGTCAACATCAAAACCATAAAATAGGCAAGGAGAATGGAGATTCACAATGAACTCTTGTACTTTTGTTCAGAGAAGAGATGGTTCTGAGAGAATGACAGTGAACTCACCCCAGCTGGTTTAGTTGGTGCTTTCAACTGCTGCTTCTGATCAACTCCTTTAGCTAGAATAAACTGATGAGGATTTTGGCATGTGGTATTAGCGATGGTTATTAATTTTTTCCTCTTATTTGCATTGTTCAATATAGTAAATACTAGCTGTATATGGCTACTTCAATTCAAATTAATTACAATGAAATATACTTAAATATTGAATTTTTTAGTCACTCTTGGTTCATTATTGAATATCTTCAGCTAAGATTTCCCAACTAAAGACACTAAGAGGTGGCTTAGTTAACTGGTCGTCCACAAATATTGAAGCTGTTGTTAACTCCTGATATATTCTCTGCAAAGAGAATATTCATGAGCCTCCTCCTGAAATCAGCAGCCTAGAGATAGTTTTATAAATGGGATACAAGTTGGAAATCTATATACTCTTTAAGTGTTTGAAATATTAGCTTCCCAGGGAAGAAAATCAAATTCATAAGATATGTTAGGACAATTTAACTCAAGATGTTCAAAACTGAAATGACATATTCTACAACATGTGATAAAACCACCCCCTAACAACTTAAAGCAAAACAGGGATGGACCTTAAAGATCTGCCTTTTCCTCATCCCCCAGCCAATCAGTTTTCAAATCTTGCATTTTATTTTGAAAGGTCCTTATACCCCTGGTCTCTTGTTTCTAGACTTGGCACATATTTAAGTTTGTTACCTCTCTCTACTGACTTTTCTCTCTTCAAACAGTATCTATGCCTGCCAAATGTGAACATACAAAAAACAAATCAGAATGTGCCATTCTGATTTAAACTGCTTATTAATTAATACCCTCAAGATAACATCTGGGTTCTTAGCTTCAATGAGTCAAGCCTACTTACATCTTTTTTTGTCTTTGGCTTCACATTTCCTATCACATCCCATTCCAGCAATGCCAAGCTGTGCCGGCCTTCTACCCCATCTCCATTATTTTGCCCCCCCGTCGCCGCGGCTTTTTGCCCCCCCTGCCTCCGCGGCTTTTTGCCCCCCCTGCCTCCGCGGCTTTTTGCCCCCCCTGCCTCCGCGGCTTTTTGCCCCCCCCTGCCTCCGCGGCTTTTTGCCCCCCCCTGCCTCCGCGGCTTTTTGCCCCCCCCTGCCTCCGCGGCTTTTTGCCCCCCCCTGCCTCCGCGGCTTTTTGCCCCCCCCTGCCTCCGCGGCTTTTTGCCCCCCCCTGCCGCCGCGGCTTTTTCCCCCCACCGCGCCTCCGCTTTTTGCCCGCCGTGGCTTTTTGCCCCCCAAGCGCCAAGGCTTTTTGACCACCGCGGCTTTTTGACCTTCGCCACTGCGAATTTTGCCGCCATGGCTTTTTGCCCGCCGCGGCTTTGTGCCCCCCCAGCGCCAGGGCTTTTAGCCCGCCGCGGCGTTTTGACCCCTCGCCGCTGCGAATTTTGCCACCGCGGCTTTTTGCCCCCCGCCGCTTTTTGCCACCCCCCACCGCCGCGGCTTTTTGCCCCCCGCCGCTTTTTGAACCCCACCGCTTTTTGCCTCCAGGCCGCTGCGGCTATTTCCTCGCCGTGGCTTTTTCCCCCCTGCCCCCGCGGCTTTTTACCCACCGCGGCTTTTTGCCCCCACCCCGCCTCGGCTTTTTGCCCCCCGCCGCCGCAGCTTTTTCCCCACCGCAGCTTTTTAGCCCTCGCCGCCGCGGCTTTTTGTCCCCGCCGCCGCGGCTTTTTGCTGCCGCGACTTTTTGCCCCCGTCGCCGCCGCTTTTTGCCACCGCGACTTTTTGCCCCCGCCGCCGAGGATTTTTGTCCCCGCCGCCGCGGCTCTGAGGGCGGGAGCAGCAGACTCGGCTGCCGGCTCTACTGGCGTCCTGGCAAGGGCAGCGACCAGGGGTGCTCCTGGTCCAGCTCTCCTGGCTCAGGGATTCCTTGCCGAGGCGCCGGCGCCCCGGGCTCCTTGCCTAGGCCCCTGTGGCCTGCATAGAGTGGCGCTGCCTGCGGAGGCGATGGGAGAGAATAAGGAGGGCGGTGGCGGGGGTGATGCGGCGGCCACGGAGGGTGGCACAGGGGCTGCGGCCAGCCGGGCGCTGCAGCAGTGCGGGCAGCTCCAGAAGCTCATCGTCATCTTCATTGGCAGCCTGTGCGGGCTGTGCACCAAGTGCGCTGTGTCCAATGACCTCACCCAGCAGGAGATACAGACCCTGGAGGTAAGGGGTTCGGGGACCCGGGCTGGGCTCCAGGAGTGGCCTGGACACCTCCTTCGGGGCCCCAGTTCACTCCTGGCCGAGTTGCATCCTTGAGCCCACGTCACCCCCTTGGAGGCTTCCCCTCCCTCCTGCACTCGCTGACGCGGCAGCCAGAGGACCCGGGACCAGCCCTCACCTTGGGCAGGATTTGTGGAGCAGGCGCGTGGTGGGAACTGGGATGGAGGCTCCAGGGTCCCGTGGGGGTGGGGGTGGGCTGAGCGAGGACATCCCCTTACCCCCTGAATTTCCATCTGGTCCAGCCCTCTCATCTTGTAGGTGAGGAAACCGAAGGCCTGAGGGAGAAATGACTTGCCAGGAACCCCTGTTAAGGAAAATTAACAAAGTGTGGTTATTAAAGAAGAACTGAGTTGGGAGTCAGACCTGGAGGCCCCCACCCTTAGGTAAGACATTATACCACCTTGAGTCTGGCCTGTTGACTGAGGGTGAGCCACTCCATCCTCATGTGATTGTGGGGTCTTAACCTCAAGGGGTTTCCTGCAGGAAGAAGCAAATGGGTTTGCTTTCCTAGCTCTGTCCAGTACGTTAGGGACCCTGAGGACTGAAGGGATTCTTGGAGAGCCATCTGGTGTATGTCATGGGTGGGTCTTTTTTGAAGGTCAGTCTGCCCAGTGGGCTGGCTCAGCCCGAATGAACTGTCTTGAATCTTTGGAGTTGTCTGTGTACTTTTAAGGGCTTCTCAGCCGTGCACCAAAAGATCCCCCTGGAAATTAGGTGGGAAAAACCTTAACTTTTGTGGGGCCCTGTGTTTGTCTTAAAAGTTCATGCACATAGCCAGGTGTGGTGGCTCCCACCTGTTATCCTTTCCTGGATCCCTTGAGTCAAGGAGTTTGAGACCAACCCGGACAATATAGTGAGACCCCATCTCTACAAAAAAGAAAATATTAGCCAGGGGTGGTTGTGCGCATCTGTAGTCCCAGCTACTACTGTGGCTGAGGCGGGAGGAGCACTTGATCCTGCACTGAGCTCTGATCTCACCAGTGTACTCCAGCCTGGGCCACAGAGCAAGACCGTGACTCAAAAAAAAAAAAAAAAAGACAAGAAAAATTCTTCAAGATTTTGCATTCTGTCCCACTATCCATTGGTTTTCATGTCAAGATTATGTCAGAAATTCTTTACAATTGCTTCCAGAAGGAGTAGCCTTTTGATCTAGTGCACAGGTGTCCAGTCTTTTGGCTTATCAGGGCCACATTGGAAGAAGAATGCTCCTGGGCTGCACATAAAATACACTAATGCTAACAACAGCTGATGAGGTTAAAAAAAAAAAAAAGGTTTGTGCATAATTTTCATGCTACCCACCACCACAGATAGGTGGAAAAGTCCTTGTAGTCAAAGGGTTGGACATGGCTGATCTAGTGTCTTGTCGTCAGTTTTGGCTTTCTCCCTGATTCCAGAATGCAGGTAGAGATAACATGGTCTCAGGACAGCTGTTGAGATAAAAAAAATTCGTTGTCATTTATTCCCAAGCACAGCTGTTTCTCATTGCATTGAAAAAGTCTCCATTCAAACTGCTGTCACATATAAAATCTACTTATGTAAGTCTGTATATTTCTGTTGTCTTGGCCTTTGTAGGCAGTAGTGTGTTTTAACCGAGCAAACTGTCCTTCCAAATAATGAAGCCGAAGTCAGCCTACCTACTTTCCATTTTTCTTCCCCTTCCATTTTTGTAACCTCAGAATAATTGTAAGAATGAATTAAGATTTGTGTTTAAGGCCAGGCACAGTGTCTCAGGCCTGCATTCTCAGCACTTTGGGAGGCGGAGACAGCTGTATCGCTTGAGCTCAGGAGTTGAAGACCAGCCTGGGCAACATACTGAGACTCGGTCTTGTATAATTTAATTAAAATTGAAAAAAAGAAGATAAAAAGACCTGTGTTTAAAATTTTTAAAAAAGGGGGGGAAGTGTAATGCAAAATGTGGACTATGCCAGCTATGATTGGGAAAACTAGTTTTTCATACAGCATCATCTGTAGACTTGTATTAGCAGCATACTGGTCATATGCGTTTTGCTTTCCTCAAATATGATGAGGTAAGCTAATTTAAAGTGTGTTGGGGCTTTCTGCCGCGTGGCTTCTGGAGGTGTTGAGTCCCAATTTAGCCAATTAATTTGGGTTTAGTTTTGACATGGATAAGGGAGACCAGCTTCATTCATGGTGTACACACAGTTTTGCCAATAAGGAAAAAGAAAAGCCACCTGAATGTTCCTACTCATTAAATGCTATCTGGAGAGCTCCTACCCCATCCCCACCAAGGCCCGGGCCATTAAAAAGACTCAATGCAGCCTTTCTGGATCTCATACTGTATTCTGCAAGATACTCCTGTGAAAGAAAATTGTGCTGCATCAGCCATCTCCCTCCTGAAGATCCCTGCGGATGAGGATTTGTGTTTGGAAAGTTCTGAGAATTCCTGCAACAACAATTCTCAAACTTATTTGTCCAGGGGATCTTTTCTTCCACTGAATGTAGTTGGGGAGACACGGCCTTAAGCCTTGAGCAGAGAAAGAGACAAAAAACTGTTGGCTCACTTACAACCAAGTGTTGTGTTTATGTTTTAGGTTTTTATGAAACTGAGGTGCTGTTTGAGGTTCTAAATGAAATTGGGTGGTTGAAGAGAGGCTGGTATCCGTGTAGACTTAACCAGCCACGAGAAGTTGCCTTTTGTTGAAGGAGGTGTTTTACAAAGGGAAATAGGGTGTTTCCTGGGCATCGCATTAGCAATTAAATACATGTATCAATGAAATGAAATGAAATGATGAGATGATGAAATGAAATGATGAAATGATGAAATGAAATGATGAAATGAAGAAATGAAATAATGAGATGAAATGATGAAATGAAATGGAATGATGAAAAATGATGAAATGATGACATAAAATGGTGAAATGAAATGAAATAATGAAATGAAATAATGAACTGAAATGAAATGAAATGATAAAATGATGAAATGAAATGAAAAGATGAAATGATGAATTGAGGAAATGATATGAAATGATGAAATGAAATGATGAAATGAAGTGAATGAAGAAATGATGAAAAAATGAAATTAAATGATGAACTAATGAAATGATGAGATGAAAAGGTGAAATGAAACGAAATGATTAAATGAAATGAGGAGATGAAAAGATGAAATGAAATGATGAGATGAAATGAAATGATGTGATGAAATGATGAGATGAAGTCAAATGATGAAATGAAATGAGATGAAATGAAATAAAGCAATGAAAGATCATATGATGAGATGAAGTGAAATGATGAAATGTAATGAAATGATGAAATGGAATGATGAAATGAAATGATGAGATGAAATTGTGAAATGAAATGAGGAAATGAAATGGAATGATGAAATGATGAAATGAAAAGATCAAATGGTGAAATGAAGAAATGACATGAAATGATGAAATGAAATGAAATGATGAAGTGAAATGATTAAATGATGAAATAATGAAATGAAATGTAATGATGAAATGATGAATTGATGAAATGATCAAATGAAATGAGATGAAAAGATGAAATGAAATGAAATGATGAAATGAAATGAGATGAAAAGATGAGATGAAATGAAATGAAATCATGAGATGATGAAATGATGAGATGAAGTGAAATGATGATGAGATGGTGAAATGCAACAATGAGAAGAAATGATGAAATGAAATAAAGGATGAAATGATGAGATGAAATGATGAAAGGATGAAATGAAATGATGAAATGAAATGATGGAATGAAAAGATGAAATGATGAAGTGATATGAAATGATGACATGAAGTCAAATGATGAAATGATGAAATAAATGAAATGATGAAATGAAATGAGATGAAATGAAATCATGAGATGAAATGATGAAATGAGATGAAGTGAAATGACGAAATGAAATATTGAGATGAAGTGATGAAATGAAATGAAACAATGAAATGAAGTGAAATGAAATGAGATGAAATGAAATGATGAAATGAATGATGAAGTGAAATGATGAAATGAAAAGATCAAATGGTGAAATGAAGAAATGATATGAAAAGATGAAATGAAGTGAAGTGATGAAATGAAGTTAAATGATTAAATGATGAAATAAATGAAATGATGAAATGATGAATTGATGAAATGATCAAATGAAATGAGATGAAAAGATGAAATGAAATGATGAAATGACGAGATGAAAAGATAAAATGAGATGAAATGATGGGATGAAATGAAATCGTGAGATGATGAAATGATGAGATGAAATGATAAAATGATGGAATGACGAAATGCAACAATAAGAAGAAATTATGAAATGAAATAATGAAATGAAAGGATGAAATGATGAGATGAAATGATGAAAGGATGAAATGAAATGAGGAAATGAAATGAAGTGAAATGATGGAATGAAAAGATGAAATGATGAAATGATATGAAATGATGACATGAAGTCAAATGATGCAATGATGAAATAAATGAAATGAAATGGTGAAATGAAATGAGATGAAATGATGAGATGAAAAGATGAAATGAAATGATGAGAGGAAATGAAATGAGATGAAATGAGATGAAATGAAATCATGAGATGAAATGATGAAATGAGATAAAGTGAAATGACGAAATGAAATGTTGAGATGAAGTGATGAAATGAAATGATGAAATGAAATGAAACAATGAAATGAAGTGAAATGAAATGAGGTGAAATGATGAATTGATGAAATGAGATGAAAAGATGAAAAGAAATAATGAAATGATGAGATCAAAAGATGAAATGAGATGAAATGAAATGATGAGATGAAATGAAATGATGAGATGAAATGATGAAATGATGAGATGAAGTGAAATGATGAAATGAAATGTTGAGACGAAATGAAGAAATGAAATGAAAGAATGAAATGAAATGATAAAATGAGATGAAATGATGAAATGATGAAATGAAAGGATGAAATGAGGAAATGAAATGAAATGATGAAAAGAAATGAAATAATGAAAGGAAATGATGTAATAGATGAACCAAAAATACTTATTCACTTTTTTTCTTGGCATCCTTCTAAGAGTATTTTAGTGAGGTTAATTTCTAAAAATAAATTGCTATTCAATGGCTATACAGTTGGCCTTTGCACCACAGGGATTTGAACTGTGCACGTCCACTTAGCAAAACCAACAATTCTACATCCTTATCCACACCCTGCCCATGAAAAGGATGAGGATGAAGACCTGTTTGATCATCTACTTCCATTTAATAACTAGTAAATCTATTTTTCTTATGATTTTCTTTTTTCTTTTGTCTGGCATGTTTGTTAAGAATACAGTATATAAGACATATAACATATTAAATATGTGTTAATTGACTGTGTTATTTGTAAGGCTTACAGTAGGCTATTAGTAGTTAAGTTTTGGGGGAGTCAAAGTTATAGTGGATTTTCTACTGTGCAGGGGGCCAGCACCCCAACCTCCGTGTTGCTTAAGGGTCAACTGTACATGTTATTTCCTTTCCTGTAAGAGAAAAATGAGAAGGTCTTTTCTCCAATAAGTGTCTTCAAAATGTAGCAGATTTGAAATGTGTTGGCGCCACCATTTTGCGTCTCATTTTGAAAACTTATTATTTAAAATCGTACTAAAGCCTACCTTACTTTTCCAACCTTAGAAAAAATGTTCCAAAGAAAAGGGGTGAAACCATGCTAGTTTGCCCTGAAATTTGAAATTATCTTTTAAAAATATATTTTGACATTAATTACTTCCAAACTAGAGATCAGTTGCATACAAATGGCAGGTCACCCTAATCCACCCTATGACTGCACTTAGATTCATGAGGGATTGTGCCATCTAGAAAGGGCAGAGAGGAGGAATAGAGTGCTCTGCGTCTTGAAATATAAACATGCACATAGCCACATGCTTTGATTCTGTTGTCACTGTGTACTTACTGCTAGGAAGAGGGCATGTTTGTGTATTTTTATGCAAATTATTATCCAAGTTGTTAATGATTTACGCTTTCAGAACCATATAAAGATATTTTTCCTTTCAGATATAAACTATCTTGCATTGTTCTTCTGATCATATGAGGGATAAATTTGCCTAAATATTCTTCAGACCATAATAGTATGTCCTTATAAATGCCAGTAGCAAGAGTAGAATCAACCACAACTGCCTTAGTAATTATTTAAAGCATGTCTGCCTATAAGTAATTGGCATTTTATATAATCAAGAATATTTGATATAATAATCTCTCAACTATTTGAAACACGGCTCACATGTATTAATTTTTTAAGCAAATATATATATAATATCAGTGTACATGAAACTAAATTTTGGACTTTAGCACAGCTTCTTAGAATCCTGACTTAAATGTCTACAGTAATAGTTGGCTTAAAAAAATTTAGCACACTGTCACTATGATGAAAAAAATTACTATAAAATATTTAAAAAATTGTTCCACCCTAACATTTAGAATATTTTCACATTTGTGGTTAAAACCTATAGTGATTGTTCTTAGAATTTAGATAAAAAATGTTCCAGAAAGATTGAAGAGAAGCACTTTAGTCAATTTTTAGTTGTTGAAGCATGAAGAAAGGGCATTTCATTGACATTTTAAAAATTATTCAGATTCCCTCTTTGAATTCAAGAGTTTCAAAGATATCTTATTTTAAAATACCAAAATAGGAATAGGATATGAAGGGCTGGTTATGAGTAATATGATACAATTTTATGAGATGACGAGATTACAATAACAATACCTCCTCTCATAGAATAGCCAGCAAGTCTCCACTAAATAACAGTGCCTTGATTTTATAGATGTTTAATCATGGATATTGAGTTAATGTGAACCATTTGTAGACACAGGAGTTTATTAAAGACTTATATAATATCTTTCAAGTATTTAGAATAGTGTTGAAATTAAGCCTGCATCCCCACGATTTTCAGCAGTGCTGATGCCTAATAAACTCAACCCCTTGCATGCCAAAATTGGCTTAAAGCCCATCTGTTACCCAAGCTACACTTCAAGCATCAAGGTTCAAAAATGTGATTTTGAATATGCAAGAGTTTGAGGAATTCACTACTCACACTTTCTTGAACAGTCTATCCAAGTGCATCAAGCAAAATGTGAGTAAAGAAATTTTGACCAAAGGATTGATAGTAATGTTGAATACATTTAATAGTAGATAAGATTAAAAGGTGAAAGTGAGGGTGAGAAGAGTGTATGAATGCTTTGTGTTCTGACAAAGAGAATGTAACACCCAGGTCCTACCTGCTTGGATGCATTGCCAGTGCCCACCGTAGGCCATTTTATCCAGGTTTTTAGGTTTTGTCTTGTTTTGTTTGGTTTTTTCCTTTTAAGGAGTGTTAGTCCAAGACCAATAACTCCGTAACTGGTAGATTTGGAAGACTTTAATAGTGCTTAACATTTTGTACATAGCTTTATAACAGTTTTCTTTTTCTTTTTTTTCTGAGAGATTCTTTTCAATATACCCCACATGGTTGAAATCAAAAATCATTGCTTATTTAAAATCTACAACTGCTGACGTTTTGTAACGTTCGCATTCCAGGTAATTGTTTTTTTGTGCATTTTCTGTATTTTTCTCCATCAGTCTACCTAGACATTTGTTAGATTTAATACTTTAATATTTTTCTGAAAAAGTGAGCTTTTGCATTTTTAAATATATACCCAGTTGCTTTAATTCTGCTTTTTCGTGTACTATTTCCTCGTTTTTTTTGTTTTTTGTTTTTTCTTTTTTTTTTTTTTTTTTGACACGGAGTCTTGCTCTGTCACCCAAGCTGGAGTGCAGTCGCGTGATCTCTACTCACTGCAACTTCCACCCCCCACGTTCAAGCAATTCTCCCACCTCAGCCTCCCGAGTAGCTGGGATTGCAGATGCATGCCACCATGCCAGGCTAATTTTTGTATATTTAGTAGAGAGTGGGTTTCACCATGTTAGACCAGGCTGGTCTCGAACTCCTGACCTCAGGTGATCCACCTGCCTCGGCCTCCCAAAGTGCTGGGATTACAGGCGTGAACAATGGCGCCTGGCTATCTCCTTCATTCTTTATGTTTATTTTACTGGTTTTATCTCTCTCTCTCTCACTGTTTCTCCCCTTCTCACATTCACTTTGCAGTTGTCAAATAGCCCAGGTGATGTTACAGATTTACTCCTTATAAAAGGAGGCATTACACATTACACATGCATCTTAGTGGCCTTACAAAAGTGTTTGGTTTATTTGTATTGACTATTCACCTTTAAAATATTTCAATATTCATTAAAATAGCTTCCAACCAATATTATTACACTTATGTTTCTAACTTTCATTTTTGTATTTATATCTGCCTTCATTGCTGTTTGTTTAGGAAATATATTCTGTGTCATGTTATTTCCGTGAAAATTGTTTGAATTTGTGGTATTCGTATGGTCTAGAAAATGTTAATTTTTGTAAGTATTCTGTATGAACATGAAAATAACATGAATTATAATATTCATGTTCCTTATATAATATTTGCCCTTTTTAAAATCCACTAGCTTCTTTTAAAACTTACTCTTTTAATTTTTTCTTTTATCTATTACTGAAAGACGTGTGTTTGAAATGTCTATAATATTTGGGGGCTTATCCGTTTCTACTTACTTTCTGATATTTTTGCTTTATATAATTTGACTCTCTCTCTACATACGTGTGTGTCTGTGTGTGTGAGAGAGAGTGTGTGGTTTGTGTGTCTATATATATGTATGTATCAGGCTAATGCACATTTAAGTCATCACATCTTCTTAATAACTTAAAACTTTTATCACACTGGTTAGACTAACTTCTTTTAATAAATGTTTCTAACTTACATTCTATTTTGTCTACATAGCAACTTTTTAAAAAATTATATTCATGTAGTATGTTTGTATGTATATCATATATACACAGTATCTGTATTGTTTGAACTTCAAAGTTTCTGTAAATTTATATATTAGTTGTGTCTCTTGTAACTATGATAGAGACGGATGTTTTAAATTTTGCCAATCTTTGTATTTTAACAAAAACATTGTCTACTTAGGTTTAAGTTAATCTTTGATCATTTATACTTAATTTTGTATTATTAATTTGTTGTGTGTATATATATATATATATATATAATGTCTCATTTTCTCCTATCACTTTCTGTCTTCTTGTTTTAAAATTATGACTTTTATTTTTATTGTTTTCATAGACACAACAGAGAAATGCATAATGTCCAGTCAATTTATTAAAGTTCCAAAGTCGGTCGCACGCAGTGGCTCACGCCTGTAATCTCAACACTTCGGGAGGCCGAGGCGTGTGGATCACGAGGTCAGGAGTTGGAGACTAGCCTGACCAACATGGTGAAACCCCGTCTCTACTAAAAATACAAAAATTAGCCAGGCATGGTGGCACGCGGCTGTAATCCCCGCTACTCAGGAGGCTGAGGCAGGAGAATTGCTTGAACCTGGGAGGCAGAGGTTGCAGTGAGCGGAGATGACGCCACCGCACTCCAGCCTGGGAGAAAGAGTGAATGAGACTCCTTCTCAAAAAAAAAAAAAAAAAAAAAAAAAAGTTGCAAAGTCATACCTTTCTGCTCTTGTCAGACAATTAAGGGGTCTTTGAATACTTCAGCCCTAATAATTTCCTTCCTAACATATATATTGCAGTGTTTATCTAATTTTAAATATCCTTTTGTTTCAACACCTAATTTTCTATTTTGATCTATCTGTATATTTACAATATATTTTCCTCTGTGTTCATTCTTTGATTTCAGAACTTCAATCTTTCTGAAGCATGTTTTCAGAGTTTCCTTTGAGTTTCTTTAGTGGAATTCTGCTGGTGGTGTTTTGTTTTTTGTCTCTAAATATGTTATTTAGCCATAGGTTGATGAATATTTTTCTTGGTTGAGAATTTCCGAATGGCATTATTATTCTTAACAAATAATATTGTTTATTTTACCTTTCATGCTTTCAGATTTCAATATGATTAAAGGTAATTTGATTTTTCTAGTGCTAATTGAAATATTTTTCCCTTCCTGATTGTTTACTATTTCTCTAGGAGATATGTAGATGTAGGTTTATCTCCATTGTAGCTTGCTTAGCATGCATAGAAGTTTTGAATATGTGGATTAGTGTCTTACAAAAGTCTAGAGAACTTTCAGCCAAAATACCATCACATATTGTCCCTTCCCAGTTCCCTTCTTCTATGAGAACACTCACTAAACACATGCTACACTTTCTCACTGTATGTTCCATGTCTCTTCATGATTCTGTCCACATTGTGCCTTTATTTAAATTTTCTGTAATGCATTCTGAAATATTTATGAACTCTCACCATGGCCATGTCTAATCTGATGAGTTCATTTTTGAGTTTTTAATTTAAAATGCTATATACAAACTACTTTTCAAATTTACTACATCAATTTTTTAGTCTCCTAAATATATATTCATTTTTTTAAAATTTTTGAAAGCAAATGTGCTTTATAATCTAACAGTGATATTTCTACTAATGAACCTTTGTGGATCTGTTTGTACTCTTTTTCTGCTTTCCTTTCAAATGGTGGAATATCATTTCCTTGCGTACTTAGATGTCTTTGAATGACAAAGATTTATTTTTCTCTGAAAATTATTATTGTGCACTTTTGCATATTAGTAAGAAGAAAATTTGCCAAAGAGAATTTGAATTTTTTGTGAGTCTACTAAAGGCACCACCATTCTGGGACCACATTATATTAATTCTTGGCCTAAAGGTGTTTGGACGTATGTTTGGACAGCACATTTAAACAATTTTTAAATTAATTGCTGTAAATCATTAATGATTTTCTTTAAATCTGTCCAATCTCAAGTCATTTTTATTTGCCATTTCCAGGGAATGTGAAATGAGACTAATTTACCTCTGATTCTTCTTTAGACTGAGGATATAAATTTTGGTGCTAGCTTTAGGGAAGAGCTCCTGTGTGATGCCCTATCTTGGGAAACACTATGTATTTCTTTACTGTCCTATGTGATGTATGACAGTAGGAATCTGTACACATTCATTTTGCTACATGTCCGTAGGGCAAAATCAGTTTCAGTGTTTAGGTGTATTTTGTCTGCTCCCTGCATTCCCATAGTTTTGACCTTATATTTTACTCTTTTTTTTTTGTGAACATACCAATGCTTCAATTTTTTTCCAGTAATATAATCAACTATACTATAAGAGAAAAATTTTGATAAAACACAAATTTCATGTTTTCCTACTCTAATTGGCTTTTACGTAAAAATACAGGTAAAATTTATTTGTGCTTTTTTGCTATTATTTTTTGCTATTCTCTGTTTGTCTATGTCTTCACCACATAGACACAATTAGGGAATTTTGTACACTCTTGTGCCAACTGCTTTGATAGGAACAAAATGTATTTCTCGAACTCCTAGGTATAAAACTTAAGTATCCACGATTTAAATTCTTTTTTGCTCACTTCTATTATGTTTCCAGTCTCAATAGAAATCGATGCCAATCCAGAAATACAAGCATTATTCTAATACTTCTCACACATTACTGATATAGATTAAATTTTCTAGATCTCCTTAAATACTATCATTTTTCACTACTTGTATCTTAACTGTTAAGTTCAACATTTTCTGTAATATTAATATATTGTGAAAATTTCCTTACTTTCTTATTTGTCCCAGGTTCAATGTTTTGCAGTCTCTACCTCACCCTGTGAAGCATAAACATTGTACATGCTGTACAAATAATACATCGTTCATGTACTTAGTGATTGCACAATTTTTATTTGGTTGACAATAGCTAATGTTTTCTTCTTCATTTTCTATTTCCTGATTTTTCTTTATTTAGTATATACTACATTGTCATAAAAATAAGAACGTTTTACAAACTAAAGCAAAAGCAACCCTAGGAATAAAATGCACAAATAAAATATATAAACATACGTTTAGATGTACCACGTACCCTTGTAATTTATTTAGACTTTTAATTTTAGTACAATTTTAATTAAAGTCTGTGTTTTATCTGTCATCGTCTTAGTATTTTTTATATAACAAATTGTGTAAATCAAAAAGTCTCAATGTCATTATAAACTATCTTGGCAGAGGTTGATCTCCAAGGAATAATTTCTCTCCTAAATTATGCCAATCCAAATTTCACTCTACCGTAATTCTTTTAATCAGTTTCAGAGGAATAATAAATTTCAAAATTGTTCAAGGTACTTCTTTTAGTTCAAGTACCTTTTGACAGGTGTAAAACTGTAGACAGACTGATACAAACATATTCTAATTGACTCAAAATTATATGGGACCTATTTTAAAATCTAGATTTTAAAATGTGTCAACATACACATGTTCTCCTTGTGAAATAATTGCTTTTTATTCTCTGGATAGAATAATTTAATCTTTAAACCTTCCATTCACTCTTAGAAACAAAATACTACATAAGGATATGCTTATAAAAATAATTCCCAACTAGCTTTTCAGTTCAGAAATATATGTGAAGAATCATCAAACATCTAATGGATTTCAAGGAGAAATGGGTTAGTAATTTATTCCATATGTCTCAATTTTTCCTAGACTCAAGGCTTCCTTTTAAATAATTGTAGGCGTTTAAGAAACCATGTAAACTAAAAAGAAGAAGTTGTGACGCTGCCGCTTAGGCTTTTTAAGTCTTTGGACATGATTCAATATATTTTTTAAATTGTATCTTAATTAGACATTGTGAGTTCACCATCTTCCTGTCAATATAGCATCCAAGCTGATTATCATAGATTACAAGTTCAACTATCAACTGTGTTCTGAGAGTCTAAAAAAATAAATGAACATATTTGTTTGGGTATTCTTAAAGCAGGAGTGAGGACACAGTGAAAGTGAGACAAGGAAAAGAGAACAAAATAAAACAGGAAAGATAGAAAAGCCAATACCACACGTGTTAAGAGGTAAGTTCCTGTGTTAGATATCTGGGTTTAATTTTATGGGAAGCTATGTGGAGCATGCCTCAGAATTACATCACTGAATCCAGGGAGATTCTTCTTAGTTACCCTCACCTTTTCTTTCCACTTCATGCCCAGTAACAAGTTCCCGTGCTGCTAGAGAAAGTCCTCAGCTAGAAACTGGTGCAAATTCTGGAGATGAGACCTTGTAGAGTGTTAAGAATGGTTTTCTTCCCAGCAGCTACAGGTAAGGAATAGGGGCTGGGCTATTAATACATCTGCTACAAACGAATAAAGCCCTTATGCTCCTTTTGGTGATCGACAATGTATTTAAAAATATTAGATGATCAAGAAGGGCTGCAGAAAGGAGGAAACAGAAACAAACAGCACACCTCTTGGTTTATTTGTATTCATTTCATCAGTTTCAAGGAAAATATGTTGGGAGTTCCTGGCATAGAGATGTCACAAAGACATGTTTTCAATAGTAGTGCTATCCCTAGGGCAGAGACGACCCAGAGAAAGCCCAAGTGGCTGCTGGAACAAAGTCAGACATCGTGCCACCTGTCCACACTCCTTGGCTCTGCCATCATGCTGAAGATCGCTTTAAAGGACTGGCTTCCCTCCCCCCAAAATGAAAAGAGCACAAACTGAGAAACTGAATGTGGGAGACAGCAGTGGATTATGCTGTTCTCAGGGCTCACCTCATGTTTGGAAGCATTCTTTCAAATTAACCCATCTCAGGCCATCTGCAGAGAAGAAAGGTGGTACCTAACTTTTTTTCTTGTCAGCATTTGGTAGGGGTGTTTTATTGACCAAATATGTTCCCACAACCTAGTTTTTTGTGAGTAACTAAATATAGTAGAGTTTTAAATTTTATCATCAAAATCTATAGACAATTTTTGATGAAAATAGACTCCATCTCTATGTCCTGCTTTTCTTCTTCTTATTAATTACATTGCTGTATAAAAGAACAAGACTTCAGAATCAAGAATATCTTGTCTCTTGGCATTGAATTTATACAAGGTGCTCTTTCTTTAATGCTGTCTCAAAGGACATATTTTTACTCATTAAAAAGGAAGATCGGAATCTAGTTGTATGCGCTGCTCCAACATATTAATAATTAAAATTAGGAGGTAAATGTGGTCAAAACTATAGAAAGACTGAGATGTCATTTATATTGATTACTGTATAGCATTCTACAAACAGAAATTGTTAAATAAGTTTATATAAATATTTTGTAGCATTTCAAATATTTGAGTGCTTGACGTTTCTCCTCTTCTATGGTTCAGATTATCAATTTGAAGACTTACTCCGCTAGTTAATATGTTTTTAGTCTCGTTCGAGTATTATATAAAAGCAATTTTCAGTTAAATGTGTTCTGCTTACATAAAACATTACAAATTATTGAGGATTTAATTACTTATTCATGTTCCTGTAATGTCTTTAGAAGATTTTCTTATTATTACCTATCAATATATGTATGCTTTGTCAAAGAAAAATCAAACATATATATCATTGAAATTGAAACTTTTTAAAAGTACTTAATTCTATTGAAAAACCACATCCATAGGAACAATTACAATATAATATTGTGAACATGTAAACATATACCCTATGTCTATTTTATGTATAAGCATGTATGATTAAAAATATAGTGAAGAATTTTTAAACCTAGTATTATAAAGTAAAAATTAGTTAACTTCTGATGATTATTTGTTAATTAAGATAAAATTATTTTGATTTGGGTGATTTTAAATAAAGAAAAATATTAAATTACATGACAAAAATTCTTTATAAAATGTTTATGATTTTTACATTGGTTTTATCACTTTTTCCACTATTTTATTTTAAGATGACCTGCCTTGTTTAAAACACTGTATTCATCTTAATTAAATTAGATTCCATTTGTAAAATAATTAACAAATGATTTGCTCTATTTTACAGTGCGGTTATAAACTGAGTCAGTATCTCAAGATTTGATCCCCATTATCATCATCTGTGGCTCTATTTGTTTTATAAATGTATTGTCTTTTTCCATGCCTGTCACATCTCTATTGCTTTTTCATTTTTCTCTTTGTCCCTTATAGGGAGCATTGCCTATCTCTAGATTAAGCAAAAGTTGCATCATAAAAAAGCACAATAACCTGCTCAATCTTTCTCACACAGAGAAATGTTTGTTAAGTAATTAAAGTGTAGATGATGATACAAAGACCTTGATTAAATTAGATAACAAAGTACCCTTGTGATTCAGAATATGAATGGTATTTAATTTCTTTGAAATCATTAATTGCTGAGTGACATTAATTAATGCCAATTTTCCAGAAGATGTTCTAGTTAATGAAATGTATACAACGAAAAGCACAATAACCTGCTCAATCTTTCTCACACAGAGAAATGTTTGTTAAGTAATTAAACTGTAGATGATGATACAAAGAGCTTGATTAAATAAGATGCCAAAGTACCCTTGTGATTCAGAATATGAATGGTATTTAATTTCTTTGAAATCATTAATTGCTGAGTGACATTAATTAATGCCAATATTCCAGAAGATGTTCTAGTGAGTGAAATGTATACAACGTGCAAAAGATTCAGAACTCTGAAGGGCAACATTATTCTATAATTAAGAATTAAGAATTAATTCACATCAGTTATTGGGGAGAAATAATTTTTAAGAATTAATGACTGAGAAAATGTTTTTATTTTTTACTTAGAAAATTATTTTGTGCATGAGCATTACCGCAAGTTTTGCAAGAAACATAAATTTAAAGAAACAATTATGTGCACAAGATGAATTTAATAACATCTTGATATATTCCATGATTGCGGTTTTATTTGGTAAATCTTTAAATGCACACCATTTAACGATAATAAATGAATCTTGGAAATCTTGTAGGTAAGGGTAAATATTAGGATGCATCCAGTTACATTTACACACACATACATGCATACAGACTGATTCACGTGTGTATATATATATATGAATTTACCAATTGATGTTAACTAATATTTATAAGAGCCAGTTGGATTGATATATATTGTTGAACCTGAAAAATATTTATTATATACATGTTTAAAATACACACAGAAATAAATAGCAATTGCACTAGGTATTTGAAACTGTACTAAAATATAAGCTGTGAACATTTTGTGATCATTACAAATTCTTACACTGAATAAATATTTTTATTTTTACAATATTAATATGTTTGATACCTGTGTACATTTTTTACAATGTGTTATTTTATTTTTGTCACAGAGTCATGTCATGCATAATAACATTTTAGTCAAAGATGGATTACATATTCAAAAGTGGTCCCATGAGATTATAATATATATTTTTACATACTTTTCTACGTTTAAGTATGTTTAGATACATAACCTCTTACCACTGTGCTCTTATTGCCTGCAGTATTCAGTAGAGTAATGTAGTACACAGATTTGTAGCCTAGGAGAAAGAGGCTATACCATATAACCTAAACGTGGTAGGCTGTACAATCTAGGTGTTTGTAATATTCTCTGTGATGTTTGCAAAATGATGAAATTGCCTATGAATACATCTGTTAAAACGTATCCCTATCATTCAGTGATGTGTGACTGTACTAAAATGCTCAATGTAAGTTTCAATGCCCTCCATAAAATTGTTGTACTGTGAAATACAAATCTCTCACCCATGGCCTGAATATGTTTGCAAACTAAGCAGATCATGGGAAGGAGAATGTGCTGGCATCGCTGGGATGATTTTCTCACACTACATGAATAATATCTACAGACTTCGTGAATATGAGCCACTTGCATAGAGTTAAAGTAGACATCTCTTTGCTGGGAAATTTATCAAATGGGAGTATGAAGTGTTTTTACAAGATACTTGTTTGTTTGTAGCTGGTAGGCCTACAGTGGCTCATGGCAATGGTTGAGGTTGCTAAGATTTGGTGGAAGAAGGCAAAATGAGATGGCCACTTATATGGTATATGGATCACTTGTTTCTGTTGAGTTACAAACTCAGCTGGCTATTTCTCCAATGTTAGTTATTTGGAGAAAAAAAAACGTGATGGTAATTTTGGGGTAACAAATACAATATTTGATGAAAGCAAATTTATTGAGGGTTAGACAAACTACAAGATACTTTAGGCTGCAAAGTCAACACGAGACTTCTGGCCCAAATTGTGAAGAGTTTGCGTCCAGCTGCACAGTTCAAAGGAAGAGGCCATGTAAGAAGATTCTCACTTCTGACACCAACTGCCAGTTCAGGGGTTTCCCCTGAACACCCTCAGTTTCAAGAGTTTACTAGAAAGACTCACAGAACTCATTGAATGCCACTGTACTCATGGTTTATAATAGAGAAAGGGTAGAAATTAGGACCAATAGAAGAGACATATCATATAAGGTGGAATCTAGGAGATTTTGAATGTTAAGTTTCCATTGTCTTCAGGACATATTACCTGTCACTGTTGTACAGCAACAAACATGGAGTACTACCAACCTGGGGAGCTCACCTGATGCTAACAAGACACTATTTACAAAATGAAAAGACAAATGAAAGGATGAGATAAGATGACGTTCCACATTAAGGCACTGGAACGATTAGCAAACTAAACCTAAAGCAAGCAGAAGGAAGAAAATTAAAATTAGAGAAATTAATAATTTATAATAATAATATTTGTTAGTGTTGAATAATTGATATTACTTCTTGACTAGCTTTTTTAAAAAAGAGAAATATTCACTTCCCAATTTATTCTGTGGGGCCAGTGTTACCTTGATACAAAAATTAGTCCAAATAGCATAGAAAAATAAAACTACTATAAGTATAAATGCAAACTTCCTTTAAAAATACTAACAAATCAGATCTAGCAACATATAAAAGAATTATACACTATGACAAAGTGAAATTTATACAAGTAATCCCAGGTTGGTTTAACAGCCCAAAATCCATTAAGGTAATACACCTTATCCATAGAATAAGAAACGAGAATTGCATGATCATGTCGATAGATTCGGAAAAGACATTTAACAGAATCCAAATGCTTTAATGACTAAAAATAAAAATAAAAACTCAATGAACCAGGAATAGAGAACTTTCTACACCTGATACATGGCACCTGTGAAAAGCCAACAGCAAGCATGCAACTTAATGGTAAAGGATGCTTTCCCGCTATGGTCAGAGATATATACTTTGATAGGATATATACTTTGACCTCTTCTAGTCAACACTGTACTAAAGATTTTATGCAGGGCAAATCGGCAACTAAAAAAATAAGAGTCACCCATACTGAACAGGAAGAAATAAAACTTTATTTGAAAATAACATTCTTGTATATAGAAAATTTTAAGGAATCCACCGAACGATAGAACTCGTAAATTATTTCAGCAATATTACAGCAAACAAAGTAAATGTACAAAAATCAATTGCACACATCTGCAATGAAAACCCCAAAATGAATTTAAGAAAACACTTCAATTTAAAATAGCATCAAAAAAAGAAATAATAATTAATTTGGAAAATGTGATACAAGATTTTACTCTGAAAATTAAAAATTATTGTTTAAAGAATATTTAAATAATTAGCAAACACCTTACACCCATGAATTGGACTATTTAATATTGTAGTACTTTACAATTTGAACTACAGATTTGATGAAATCCCTGCAAGTATCCCAACAGACTTCTGTCTAGAAACTGACAAGCTGATTCTAAAATACACATGGAATTGTAAGGGACTCAAAATAGCCAAAATAATCTTGAGAAAAGAAAACATGTTAGGATAATTCACACCCCCATGCTCCAAACCTTACTGCAAAGTATCAGTAATCAAGACAACACAATACTGATGAAGGAAAAATATATAGATTGATGGAAGAGAATTGAGAGTCCATATATAAAACTATGTGTCTACAGTCAATGGATTCTTACAGTGGTACCATGTGCAATTCAATGAGGAAGAGACAGTCTTTGAACAAACTGGGTCAACAACGTACACATGGATCACCACTTGCAAAATAATAAATTCGAACCCTTACCCCAAAGCATACAAAAATATTAACTCAAATGAATTAAAGACACACATGCAAGAGGTAGAATAAAGCATATGGGAAAGTCTTCATGATTTTGGATCTAGCAAAGAAATAGCTGTAACCCCAAAAACATGAGCAACAAAATAAAAATTAGATATTTAAAATTTCTTAAAAATTAAAGACATTGGTGTTTCAAAGGACAAACAAGCAAGTCAAAAGGCAGCTCAAAAATTGTGAGAAGATATTTGAAAAACACGTATCTATATGTCTGTATATATATATGTATCTTGAATATAGAAAAATTGTTTTAACTCCGTCACAAATATCCCAACTCAAAACTGATAAATGATAGGAATAGATGTGTTTCCCAAGAAGATACACGAACGGTCAATAATCCCATAAAAATATACTCAATAGCATCACTCATCAGGCAACTACAAATCAAAACCACAGTTAGATACTCTATGGGTAGAACTGGCCACCTTGGAAAATAATTTGATGGCTTCTAAATATATGAAACATAGAATTGTCATATGACCCAGAAATTTATTCCTAGGTATACACCCAGATTATTGGAAAGAGGTGTTCAAACACAAATTGTACACAAGTATTTTTAGCAGCAGTATTTAAAATAGCCGAAGGCTGAACACAACTCAAATGTCAATAAAAATATTATTGGATAAACAAAATGTTATATCCAAGAAATTGAATGTTATACAGTTATAAAAAGAAAGAAAGTACCAATACGTACATGAACCTTGATAGCATTATGCCAGCTGAAAGAAGCCAGGCAGAAAAGGCCACCTATTGTATGATTCTATTTAGATGAAAACAGACTAGGAAAATCTATAGAGACAGAAAACAGATTTGTGGTTGCTTAGGATTGAGTAGGGGATGGGTGCATAGGAGGTTAACAGCTAGGGAAGGTGGGGTTTCTTTTTGAAGTGATGAAAATGCTCTAAAATTCATTGTGATGATGGCTCCACTTATCTGTGCATATACTAAAAGCCACTGACTTGTAGACATTAATGTGTGCACTCTACACTATGTAAATTATATCTCAATAAATCCTTTCAAAAATACACAGAAGAGTAAGGGGTTTTGGAATGCTGCAGCTGGGAGGCAGTTTGAAATACTGAATAGGCCTCATCGAGAATGTGAAGTTTCAGTAAAGACTTGAGGAAGTTGAATGAGCTGATCAATGGATATATGGAGGGCTATCTTTCCAAGCCAAGAAATTAACTAGAGTCTTGACCATAAGGCAGCAGCATGTTGGCATGTCCAGAGGACAGTGAGGTGGCCAGGACCACTGGTAAGATCAAGGGTGAAGATATAAAAGAATTTTGGCAGTTAACATGTGGCAGATGATGATGGGCTTGCAGATCATTGTAAGAAATGTTGTTTTTAGTGTACATGAAATGGGGAGACAAATCATTATCCCATTATCAATATTTTAATAAATTGGATCCATGAACCAAATCCAATGAGATCAAATCAATTAATAATAATATGCAAATTTGTATTAAAATTAAAAGAATTACTTGCACATTTGAGAACAGGAGAGACATGATTTTTATCAGCAATAATAAACATTATTAATTTTAATTGTGATCAGCTAATTGAGATTAATTGCAATACATC
The DNA here is from genome assembly GCF_000001405.40 of Homo sapiens. Classification (NCBI taxonomy): domain Eukaryota; kingdom Metazoa; phylum Chordata; class Mammalia; order Primates; family Hominidae; genus Homo; species Homo sapiens. The sequence goes on from NC_000016.10 coordinate 33,080,648, forward strand.
ATGCTTTATAATGTGACTTCCAAAAGGAAAATATGATTGTAATCTTATACTACATCTATCAATGTCTTTTATACATAAGAGTATAGAGTAAGCCCGTAGTTTTCAAAGCCAACCTATGAAGCAGTGACATCTTATGCAAGTTTGCTGCTTTCTGCCACAGTGATCCTTGGTCAGCGGGCACAAATTGTTTTACAAACGCCCCCTAGGTCTAAAAGTAGTTTGGATCACAATGAACACAGAAACACCTTCATCCCTTCAGAAATACCTATCAATTACTTCCAATACAGAATGAAAAATTGACAAAGGAAATATGTGGATTGTAAAAATGCCAGTTAGCTTGCAACTACATGAAAGAAAAATGCCATTTTTATTACATTAGGTCATTGTTTCACATGAGTTTTGGTATAGCAAAATGTTGAACCAAGGGAAAAGAGACATGAATTAATGAAGTCTTAAGATATCAAGAATTTGAAAGAAAAGGCAGGTCATCTTTGAAGGTTAGTGACATAGCATTCATCTTCTGTTGTCACCTTTCCTGTCATTCCCTGTATGCCTGATGGACAGGTTTCACTCAAGTTCAGAGAACAGCATGCAAAATTAGCTACCAATTAATCTTTAGGAAGTCAGCTGCATTTCTAGCCAGACTGAGCTTACGTTTTAGCAGGAAGCATTTTTGGGAAATGTTTATGTTAGAGTTGGCCCTTCTTGACAAGGTGAGACATAAATGTCTACGTTATAGACATGAATTAAGATGGGAAGATATTTGGGGGAATCATTTACTCAAACGCTAAATAATAAAGGTACACAAAGGGCAAATTATACTAGATTTCTTTCCCACTTGTTTTCTATGTCTCATGCAATTCACCTTGATTCCCTTCAGTTTCTGTTTAATGTAGAAAGTGGCATTTTCATTATTTTAAGCTTCTAGCACAATGAAAGAATTTCTCTTTTTCATGAACAGGATCATACATGAAAAGGAGGAAGAGTGTCCTATATCATAGTTATTGTTCAACAAAACACTGCTCCACGGCTTAAATTCAGTTTAAGAAAGAGAATTTGTTGAACATCTAACACATACATAAAAGGCAGTAAAGACACATGAGAAGAGGGCAGGATATTGAAGTATACAGACTTCAATGCTGAGTTTTATATCTTAGGGAGTTACTCCACCTTACAGAGGCTCAATTTCCCCTGATTTAGGAAGGCGATGCTAATGGGTATTGCATAGGTGTAAGTATAAAAATGTTGTATTGAAGAGAATCCCACAAGCTTGGTATAAGGCAGAAAATAAATTGATGTGACATGAATAAGTAGTTTATTACATTTGTATGCTACCTGCGGACTAGAGGAAGCAAGAAACACAGCCACTATGCTTGATTAGCATTATAGGGATGGTACAATGATTGTTGCCAGAAGCTGGGGGGAGGAAGAAATGGGGAAGTATTGTTTAATGGGTATAGAGTTTCAGTTTTACAAGATGAAACGAATTATGGAGATGGATGGTAGGGACGGCTGCACAATGTTATGACTATATTTAGTACCACTGAACTGTACACTTAAAATGGTTAACCGAGTACATTTTATGTTATGTGTATTTTACCACAATAAAAAAATAAAATACCTTAGGAACATTTTCATGAAAAAGCCCACATAAAATTCATTTTAATGCACGTGTTTATGCATAGCTTTCTATTTTTCTCTTTTCCCTTTACATTCCTAATTCTAATCAGAGAAGGGAATCCCCTCTGTACCTCCAGGATATTCAGTAAAGACCACTGGAGGTTCATGCCCTAGTGACAGTGCTCATTTAGCTCCAAATTACAGATGGCTCTAGACTAACTCAACAAAGCTTAAAGAGAAGATTTAAAACAACAACAGACAAATACTCATCCTGAAGTTACTGAACTGCCTGCCACAACATTGTTCAAAGGTAGCCAATCAAATCTAGATATTCAATAGCATAACATCAAAATACCCAAAAAAAACTCTGACATGCAAAGAAGCCGTAAGATATATATAATTAAGATATATATTAACAGGATAAAAATAAGTCATTTATAAATGACAAAAAAGAAGGAAATTTCAAGGTTCTTAAAGTAAATATATTTTATAAATACATATAGATAAATACATATATATGTCAAGGTACTTAAATGAAAATTAAACATAGGAGAAAAATAGAAGTTATAAAATGAAAAATGTGACATATATAGATGAAAAATAAATATTTGAAATAAAAATTCCATGACATAGAATAAGTAATGGATTTTACCCTAACATCAGAAAATTTATAGAACAAATTAGAAGCATTACAAACTAAAGGACAAATGGTAAACTAAAATAAGAAAACCAGAAACTCACTGATACGTCAGACAATATGCATCAGTGTAACATACATGTAATCAATATCTCAAAAAGGATGGGTGGGGTAATTATAGGTGAATAAAGAATGGTACACTCATTCCTGAGGGCACCGAGGAGGGAGGATAGCTTTAGATTTCTAAGGGAGGGTATTATCCATTCATGAAGGTCCAACCCCATGACCAAACACCTCCCAGTGAGCCCCACCTGCAACACTGGGGATCAAATTTTAACATGAGTTTGGAAGGGGCAAGCATTCAAACCATAGCAAGAGTTAAATTTCCTTTTTAAGAAAATCACTGATATGATTCCACTTCACCATAGATAAAAACTAGTATTTCAGCCTACCATTGAGTGTGCTTATAGCTCACCAAAAGGGCACTCTGTCTCGGGAATACAGATTTGCCTACAGGTATCCTATTGCAGTCAAAGAAAGAGCAATGAGGGATAGAAAAGGTTAGTGATGGAGACACCAGCGCTGCATTTTGCAACAAACAATGTAAAAACTTTACGGATTGGTTCTGCTAACTTACTACAGTTTACATGCCTCTCAGGTGGGAGAATTGTTGCGTTTTTTCTTAAGATAGAAAAGCAATTCAGATAATCTGAAATCTCCACAAGAAGGATAAGAAGCACAGCAGAAACTATTCTAGGCAGGAAGTCAATCCTTTCAACTGTCTGTGCTCCATAGAAACAATTGTCTGCACTGGGAGTCATATGAGGTACAGACAACAGCCAGACTTCTGATCCTCTCATTAGTGATTTCAGAAGAAATTACCAGTCGACTGAGTAACTCACTGAGTATAGTAAACATTTGGCACTGAAAGAGGTTAGACGGATAACTATTTGTATCACCATATTCATGAAGCTGGAATATTTTCCATTACTGGTATCACATCCGAATGGAAGATGTTAAAAGGTCTCTCATCATGTAAGATAGATATGAAAGAACATTTTCTGAGAAATGAAATTATTAACACACCTGTGAGGTGCATGGAAGAGAAAAAAAGAATAATCACCTTGAGTTCTTCTCCTTGATAAGAGAACTCACTAAAAACATAAAGAGAAAAATACAAGTTTAAAATAATTAACCAGAAGAAGACGACTCTAGAGATTTTAAATTGCTGATAAGATTTTAATTTGCTCCAAGTTGAAAATAATTATATTGCTTGTGTTTTAAGGCACATAATGAGCAATTATATCACACATGATGGTTTCAGCAGTAAAATATGATCCGTTAACAGCTGGAACTCATAAAAGCATAGCACAATGTGAAGATGGAATTTGCTAAAAGAAACCATCTGCTGAAAACTGCTATCCTGCAAATTTAAAAATAAAGTTTAAATGTTATTTGTCTTATTTAATAGGTCTGTGAAAAAAAATGCGCTATTTGAAAAGTAGCTGCTACCTTAATTAATTCTTTATATTAGACGGCTGGTTACAGTAATGCACAGTAAGGTGCTACATAGATATATTGCTAAATTTTCTGCATATACTATGAATTTGGCTTAAATTATTTGAAATTTTATAGTTAAAATAACAAATGTATATTTAAATGTTGTGACACAAATTGCAAATATACCTTTAAAAAGCGTCTTACACTCTAAATATTATTTGTCACCTGTATATTTGTCTTTTCTCTATAGGAAAGTTTAAATTCTTCCCTTGAAGCTTTAATTATTTGAGTCTATAAAACAAACTGATAATGTACAAATTAACAGGAAAAAAAGGTTTACAGATATGTGCACAAGTATGCACTTGGAGTTTACATAATATATATAAATATATCTATACAAATATTTGTATATTATAAAGAGATATACAAATATATATTCTTTATATAAAAACTCCAGGAAAGGCAAGGTAGTCAACACGCCTATGCTGTCTTGAGGTTACAGAAAACACAGAGCTGTAGGTTGGTAAATCAGGCTTTGCGGAAGACAGGTGACGACAAGGAAGAAAGAGGAGCCTGGCAGCAGAGGTGGTCTTGTTACATGGATGAAACCTCACAGGGAGCAGCCCTCCTCTTGGGAAGTATAGATAGGAAATGGTTTTTAGAAATGTAAACGTGCCAGGCTCAGTTAATCATTCCAAAACCCAGACAAGGGAGTATCTCAGGGAAAGCCTGTATATATCAATGCAGATTTTCTCTACAAATGCAAATCTCCCCAACAAACACAGCTTTTCAGCTATTCTTGTAGAAGAAGCTATCTCCAGTCTTCCAAGTAGCCATCTTGAAATATGTCAAAAAGCTGGCCAGGCGCACGCCTGTAATCCCAGCACTTTGGGAGGCTGAAGTGGGTAGATCGCCAGAAGTCAGGAGTTGCAGACCAGCCTGACCTACATGGTGAAACCCCGTCTCTACTAAATACAAAAAATTAGCCGAGTGTGGTGGTGCATGCCTGTAATCTCAGCTACTTGGGAGGCTGAGCTAGGAGAATTACTTGACCCTGGGAGGCTGAGGTTGCAGTGAGCCAAGATTGTGCCATTGCACTCTAGCCTGGGCAATAAAAACAAAACTCCGTCTCAAAAAAATAATGTATTTTAGGGTAATATTTTGAGTATCTTTACCTCCATATGTACAATAAAAATTATTGCGATTTTTAATCTTTTCTGTGGAGAAAACACAGTTGTGATTTCTAGTGTAGCTGAACATCGTTTATTTGACAATATTGCACTTCTGTGTGGGTGTGTGCATGTGTAGCTACTTTTTAATTTGGTTCTCACAAAATGATTAGATACTAACAATTAATTCAGTAAAATGTATGTTTTGCAACATTTCTCCATGTTATTATGCTTTAAATTAGTTTAATCATGCCCCTATAATGTGTACATTTTAACCTTTGACTACAGGTCTCAATCCTACTTTGGTTCCTGTATTTGAATTTATGCTAATAAAGTCCTACAGCTAAAAAAGATTACATAAACTTTTTAATATAATTTTTACTAGTATTCTGGTGTCATTTTAAATTATGTAATGAAATCACATTTTAATTTGGATTATTATGTGAGTTAAAGATCTAAATTTTTAATTTTCTTATAAATATTACATAATTATTTCTGAACCATATATTGACTAATCTGCCCTTTATAAGATGTGTATTATAAGAGCTTGGGATTGTTTCATTTGCAAAGATGAATGCTTGAGAAGTAGATATTTAATCATAACATTTCAAAATCTACTGGATAACCTAGAATTGAAAAATAGCCTATAGGTTGAAAACCTCCTGTAGTGAAGAAAAAAAATAACTAATATACAGTGACAATATAAATATTATAAGTATTTATTTTATTATCACCATGAAATTTGATAATACAAACATGTAATATCTACATATCATCCATATATCAGGTCATAAAAAATCAATACATTCTTCAAAAATTTAGCATAACAGAAAATGCACTCTCTCTCCTTGATGGAATTAAGTTATAAATAAAAGTAAAAATAAGTAGATAAGTAGATGGAAGTAGATGTTTAAAAACAAAGAAAAATATTTGTTTTGGATAACATAAAATCTCAATTGACAATTCCAATATTTCCAGAACTTTGCCTGTCAACTGGTAGAGAGTTTTCCCCAGGAGACATTTGTCAATGTCTAGGGTTATTGTGGGGATGTCAAGACTGGTGGAGGTGTGAAATTTAGAGGTCAAACGAAACACCTAACATTGCTAGGGCAGCCTCCCACAACAAAGAATCCTCTGGTCCTAAAGGTAAGTAGCACCAAGATTGAGAAACCATAATCTAGACAGGAAACACTACGTAGCTATTCCAAGTGCGCAGGAAAACACATCAGTGCCCTCGAGGGGAAAAGTGTAAACATTTTAATTGCTGTACATGGTGACACAAATCCATGTTGTTAATCTAAGTGGAAGGGGCTGAAGCACAAAACATAATTCAAAGAGTTTACTTGAGCCACAATGAGGACAGCTGCCTGGAAGAAACAGACCCAAGTATCCTTGGATATGAACTCCCTTTGGAGCTTTGCAACAAGCAGTTTCTTAAAGGCAAAAAAGGGTCCAGAAGTGGGATGATGCAAAGAGGTTTGTCACAAATTCTCATTGGCTTATGGAAATAACATTTATTAGTGACTGGCTATACACTGTTACACTATTTTGGGGTGTGGATTATAGTGTCTGGTGTGGCGTTATTGGTTAATTTATAGCTACTGTGGCAACAGCAAGCAGCCTAGATGAACACACAGCTCAAAGAGGAGCAGGACAGAACTGCTGTCTCATTTGAATAACTCTCTGGGCCTGATTATATAAAAGGACTTGCATTTCTCACATGAAAGTTATTTTCTTTTCTCAATGTCCATAAATGAGAATAAATAGACGTAAGATACATCTTTTCGAGGATGAGGTAAATGGAATGAAAAACAAAACCCAAGCTGACCAGAAATCATTGAGGGAAGAAAAGGATATAAATACATGGATTTTTTCAATGTGATTTTAAGCTATTAGGAATCAGTTAAATGTTGGGGGAATTTGTCTGAGAATGGGCTAAAGAGAATGTCGCTTTTGCCTTCTGAAGTTTCCCTGAAAATCACGAATAGGAGGCAGATAAATAGTAGAAAAGGCATACAGGTTTCTGCAATGTGTGTACACTGGAACCCTTAGAACGAAGACCCAGTCACACGATGCGAGCAGAAGCTTATCTACCACATGAAGTTTACAGAAAAATGGGGTCTTGGATCACAGGGAAAAGAAAGAAAAAGGTTATGTGAGAAAACGACCCTGGCTAGCAACAGTGGACTTATTACATTGGTGGAACCTCACTGGGAGTAGTCCTCAGAGAGAATAGACAGAAAATGTTTCTTTCAGACCTTTAGAGACCTCAGCCTCTCAGTTAAACTTTCCTAGATCCAGACAAGGGGGCAGACCTCAGAGAAAACCTGGCTGCATCATGGCAGATTCTCTACCGATGCAAATCTCCCCAAGACAGCTTTGCAGCTAACATTGCATTTGCAGCCCTTCTCAATAGCCATTTTGAAATATATCAAGGAAATATATTTAGGGGTAAAATATATTAGTTTCCTTCATACAGCTGTAAAACATACAGGAATAATTTTTGTCAATGTCTACTACAAATCCAATATAGCAGTAACTATGAAACCCACCAGATATTGATGAAAAAATATGTAGAGTACCTCAATTACAAATGTTGATACTAAAATGCCAAATAAAATACAAATAATATCCAACAATATTTGAAACAGTAAGACAAGAAATTGGCAAAAAAAAAAACCAAATATCCACATTTGGGATGAAAGTGTGTTTCCAAATTTGGTAAGCCAGTAATATTAATAATCATATTGATTAGCCCAAATTAAAAATAAATAGGCGATTCTCAGTACTTGCTAAAATATATTTGTTAAAAGGCAATATTCATGTCTTTAAAGATTTTAAATGCTACAAAGAGTCTGATATTCTATATGCAAACGTGTATGTCCATTAGAAGAAGAGAGGCCTGATTTTCATATGTTACTACATAGAGATAGAGAAGTGGATAGATTAATTTGCATATGCATAGAGAAAGCATAAAATAGAATTTACTATCATATTAAAGGAATTTTAATTCAACAATAAAATAATTCAAAGGTAAAATTTTAAATATTTTTAACAGGTACATTATTAGTATTAGATAATATTTATAATAATTGTGAAAATCTTCAGCGCTAAAATAAGATACAATGTCTAAACATCAGTATTAAAACTAGTATAAATATTTGCTTGTTTATACAAGGAAAATTCAAGCTCAACCTCAAATTATAAGGGAAATAAAAGAAAAATATTAAGGGAGCTCTTTAATGACATAAACATATATATATAAACACACACATATTACATGTATATATGTTATATGGGATAGATATAGATTTAACAGGTTATATCTATATTTGTATCTGTAACTACAGCTGTATGTATCCACATTTCTATATATTTACTCAGTGATATAAATGTAGACTGGAATAAATATAAAGACACATATGATTCTTGAATAAAAAGGATTTAGTATCATAAAGACAAATTCTTTCCAAATTCACTTATGAATTCACAACAATATACAGTTTCATTAGTATAATTTAATATTTCTAAATAAATTCCAAGATTCATTTAAAGGAATATACATGTATACAAGCAGTCGAGAAAGAAGCAAGAGGGCACTAAACTAACTTGCTATTAAAATACATTTTTAAACTTAGTCACTAAAACTGAGCAGTACTGATTTGGAGTACTGGAATTTAGGTGTATGGGATCTCAAAAGCACAGAGCTCAAAGGAAGCCCCTGTATGCACGAGAGCTTAGGATGTGCTTTAGAAGGCATTACCAAACCTCGGGCAAAGTTACTTTAGTGTCTTAGTCTTACTAGGTTTGAAAAGCCAGAGAAAAGACTCAAGACCACCATATAAGAGCAAAACAAAAGGACAGGGAGAGAATGTGAAGATACTGAAACATTTTACATAAAGTTGTATAAAACATCTTTTAAAGAAAATATAAACTTTAGGATATACATCAAAATCAGCAGAGCCACTATATAAATAAATAGGCATTGTAAAATAACAAGAGAAAATTTAAATGGATTTCTAAAAAATATTGACACCTATGATTTTTAAAATATGTTTAAGAAATCCCGTATTTCACAGGGCAGCCTTTCACAACACAGATATGTTAGGACATAAAGGTCCTTCTGTTTTTAATTTACTAGTGTTTATAGGGTTACAAATGTCTTCTACACTTGTCTTTTGTCTGATGGTGCAAAAAATTTTCATAAGCATGTATTTCTGAATGCCTGATGGATTGACATATATAATAAGCTGCTAGTATTAAAATATGAGACGGAAAACGCATCCAATCTTCTCACTGTTTACGTAAATTCTAGGTTTCTCCTCTTTACCTCAAGCACATATGGATCGAATTCTTACCTTTTAATATTGCCATGGCATTCACATTGAACATAAGTTGAACTCTCTCATATGGTAGCTGGGTTCGGATTCTCTTGACAATTTCCAGTTCTAACCTTCACAGTTCCTCAGTGTGGTTGGCCCAGATATTGACCCTACACAGTTGTCTCCTCGTGGTGACTACCAGCTATGGAATCGTTGGATACAACCTACCTGACTCACCCCACAGACTTCACAGCACACATGGACAGCACCCACATGCCACAGTAACCAGCTCGGTTGCAGCGGGAGTCAAGAAATGTGCCTGCTGGCACTCACCCCACTGACTAGTACCCCGTGGAAAACTTATTTGGGTAATGTTCTGGACCAAATAATGGCTGGAGTCCCACAGACCCCTTTTCTGTCTCCTGCTCCCCACTCATCTTCCCCATTTTGTTCAGCCCTATGAGGTGTGCTACTGTATCAGTCCATTTTCACACTGCCGGTAAAGACATGCCCAAGACTGGGTAATTTCCAGAAGAAAGAGGTTTAATAGATGCACGATTCCACATGGCTGGGTAGGCCTCACAATCATGCCGCAAGCTGAAAGGCACATCTCACATGGCAGCAGACAAGACAAGAGAGATTGTGCAGGGAAACACCCCTTTATAAAACCATCAGATCTTGTGAGACTTATTCACTATCAGAAGAACAGCATGGGAAAGACCTGCCCCCGTGATTCAATTACCTCCCACCTGTTCCCTCCCACAACATGTGGGAAATCAAGATGAGATTTGGCTGGGGACACAGCTAAACCCTCTTCTCAGCTACCCTCTTCTCTCTGGATCTGTGAGTAATAAACCTACTTCTGTGATTTCCCATGTTTGGTTCTGTGGCCTCCATGTGTCTGAGCTGACCTACACTGGAACCTAACTCTCCTCCTGGCCAGGGTCTCTGAGAGTGCCTCTTGTCAGAAATACACAGGACACAAGTCAGGCAACAGTCACTAGGCATCTCCTAGTCTCAACAGATGTTCTGTGAGAGGGAGGCCTGGCCGTGGGATGCACACCTGGCCACTGCTGGGGTAAGGAAGTGTCCTGTGAAAGGCACATGTTAAGCATCCACAACCCCCTGACCAGAACCCCAGAAAGGCAGGGCTCCAATTGACAGTCACTCTCCAGAGACAAACCTCAAGCCCTAACTGGAGGAAAAGAAAACAATGTAAAAAGTTCAATTTATCTTACTATTTTAATGATCCAGTAAAGACATTCTATGCCTGTACACCACATATTTTCTTCAATTGTGGATTTATTTTAGATAGAATTTTAGGTCTGGCTTTCACTTTAGCCTGGTCCCTACCTCAAGCATAAGGTAAAGATTTTCCATGCGTTCTTTTCTCGTACTACTACCTGCCAGTGTGGGGTCATGTCCTAGTCTATCTTGAGGGAATCCCCCTGTTCATTATTGTCAGAGTGAGACTGTTAAGTCTTGATTTCCCTGGACAACTTCACTGCATGACTTTTAATATGATTTTTTAATATACCCTTTACTGGACAATAAATTCTATAGTTATCTGAGTAAGAGATATGGTCAGGAAGAGGCATTGCCTCATTCAGCTTTTCTCTTTGGTGAACTCGCATATGTTCTCCTCACCCGCCAGTCACCTCTAAACCGTATTGTTCCAAGACAACAAACAGAACTCGAGTGTGTATCTTTCACCACTGGATTTGTGTTTGCTCCATAAAGCTTCATGCTTAACAGAGTTTCCGTTAGCATTTTCTCTATTTATTTTCCCATAAAATATCACAGGCCTTTTTCATATGGAATTATGGGTGATTTCCTTCAATCTGCATCATATCAAGTTGAGGTTCATGTTGATGAAAAGTAAAACATACATTGAAAATATCAGTAAGGATGTTTTCCCCTCCTTTTTAGCACCTGTGCTTGTGATACAAGCACATTTTAATACAACTGTACTCTCATGCTTTTATCATTCCTATGATGAAAATAACATTTTTAGATAAAATATCTGAGTTTTATGAGGCCTTTAGTATGTGATGTGATAGAATATCAGAAGACCATACTTTTTTCTAGTTGTCCGTGCAATTCTATCATTGTTTCATCTTTACTCCTACCAGAGTAATTTTCCAAAATACAGATCTTGTCATTCTTCCTGTTGTTATCAGTAAAAAAGTGAAATGAAAAGCTAGATTATATAATTTATCTACAACAAGAAAGTAGAATTGAATCTATATTCATTAATGAGTCTAACCAGTCAATTACACAGACAGGCATTTTACATTTTGAAGATCATATGGACCCACTGTCAGAAATATTATTTTTTATGTCTATATGGACATCACCTGTGCATATTTACATAGAAATCAATGAGAGTTGATTTTTATTTTTATTATATATATTTTTTGAGATGGGGTCTTCCTTTGTTGCCTAGGCTGGAGTGCAGTGGTGCAATCGCTACGCAAATCAATAAATGTAATCCAGCATATAAACAGAGCCAAAGACAAAAACCACATGATTATCTCAATAGATGCAGAAAAGGCCTTTGACAAAATTCAACAACCCTTCATGCTAAAAACTCTCAATAAATTAGGTATTGATGGGACGTATTTCAAAATAATAAGAGCTATCTATGACAAACCCACAGCCAATATCACACTGAATGGGCAAAAACTGGAAGCATTCCCTTTGAAAACTGGCACAAGACAGGGATGCCCTCTCTCACCACTCCTATTCAACAAAGTGTTGGAAGTTCTGGCCAGGGCAATTAGGCAGGAGAAGGAAATAAAGGGTAATCAATTAGGAAAAGAGGAAGTCAAATTGTCCCTCTTTGCAGATGACATGATTGTATATCTAGAAAACCCCATTGTCTCAGCCCAAAATCTCCTTAAGCTGGTAAGCAACTTCAGCAAAGTCTCAGGATACAAAATCAATGTACAAAAATCACAAGCATTCTTATACACCAACAACAGACAAACAGAGAGCCAAATCATGAGTGAACTCCCACTCACAATCGCTTCTAAGAGAATAAAATACCTAGGAATCCAACTTACAAGGGATGTGAAGGACCTCTTCAAGGAGAACTACAAACCACTGCTCAAGGAAATAAAAGAGGATGCAAACAAATGGAAGAACATTCCCTGCTCATGGGTAGGAAGAATCAGTATCGTGAAAATGGCCATACTGCCCAAGGTAATTTACAGATTCAATGCCATCCCCATCAAGCTACCAATGCCTTTCTTCACAGAATTGGAAAAAACTACTTTAAAGTTCATATGGAACCAAAAAAGAGCCCGCATCACCAAGTCAATCCTAAGCCAAAAGAACAAAGCTGGAGGCATCACACTACCTGACTTCAAACTATACTACAAGGCTACAGTAACCAAAACAGCATGGTACTGGTACCAAAACAGAGATATAGATCAATGGAACAGAACAGAGCCCTCAGAAATAACGCTGCATATCTACAACTATCTGATCTTTGACAAACCTGAGAAAAACAAGCAATGGGGAAAGGATTCCCTATTTAATAGATGGTGGTGGGAAAATTGGCTAGCCATATGTAGAAAGCTGAAACTGGATCCCTTCCTTACACCTTATACAGAAATCAATTCAAGATGGATTAAAGACTTAAATGTTAGACCTAAAACCATAAAAACCCTAGAAGAAAACCTAGGCATTACCATTCAGGACATAGGCATGGGCAAGGACTTCATGTCTAAAACACCAAAAGCAATGGCAACAAAAGACAAAATTGACAAATGGGATCTAATTAAACTAAAGAGCTTCTGCACAGCAAAAGAAACTACCATCAGAGTGAACAGGCAACCTACAAAATGGGAGAAAATTTTCACAACCTACTCATCTGACAAAGGGCTAATATCCAGAATCTACAATGAACTCAAACAAATGTACAAGAAAAAAACAAACAACCCCATCAAAAAGTGGGCAAAGGACATGAACAGACACTTCTCAAAAGAAGACATTTATGCAGCCAAAACACACATGAAAAAATGCTCACCATCACTGGCCATCACAGAAATGCAAATCAAAACCACAATGAGATACCATCTCACACCAGTTAGAATGGCAATCATTAAAAAGTCAGGAAACAACAGGTGCTGGAGAGGATGTGGAGAAATAGCAACACTTTTACACTGTTGGTGGGACTGTAAACTAGTTCAACCATTGTGGAAGTCAGTGTGGCGATTCCTCAGGGATCTAGAACTAGAAATACCATTTGACCCAGCCATCCCATTACTGGGTATATACCCAAAGGACTATAAATCATGCTGCTATAAAGACACATGCACACGTATGTTTATTGCGGCATTATTCACAATAGCAAAGACTTGGAACCAACCCAAATGTCCAACAATGATAGACTGGATTAAGAAAATGTGGCACATATACACCATGGAATACTATGCAGCCATAAAAAACGATGAGTTCATGTCCTTTGTAGGGACATGGATGAAATTGGAAATCATCATTCTCAGTAAACTATCGCAAGAACAAAAAACCAAACGCCGCATATTCTCACTCATAGGTGGGAATTGAACAATGAGATCACATGGACACAGGAAGGGGTACATCACACTCTGGGGACTGTTGTGGGGTGGGGGGAGTGGGGAGGGATAGCACTGGGAGATATACCTAATGCTAGATGACAAGTTAGTGGGTGCAGCGCACCAGCATGGCACATGTATACATATGTAACTAACCTGCACAATGTGCACATTTACCCTAAAACTTAAAGTATAATAATAAAAGAAAAAAAAAAACTTAAAAAAAAAGTTTTTTTAATACTTGAGTTGTTCAATAAAAAGTAAACTTCATAAATTCACATTTTAAAATAATTAGAACTACCTCATAGACGCACGGTACCTTCTAGGTTGCTAAAGCCCTCTTCATGTCTCTGAGGCTGAAAAACACAGGAACCACTGCTTTAGGTGCCCTGTGAGACAGGCCCTGCTCACCACAGAAGCGCAAGCTCACACAGCTTCCTAGAAGGCAAACTTGAAGTACCAGAATCAAGTTCTTTCAAGTGCTAATGTTGGTGCTGGGTCCTAGTGTAAAGCCAATTTCCCTTATCATACAGTAACTGAGCACAAGTTCACCTACTGGTTTCAGCTGATTCAATGGGCAAATGTGACACGTCCGCATGTCAGAGAACTGCACGGTGATTTTGCCCTTCGGGGTGATGCCAGTCACGGTGTCTTCTCCAAACTCATCGTGCACAATTTGGCCGCCCAGGCACAGGCGACCATCGATGCCTCCAATCACAGCCAGGACCGCCATGAGGCCCCCCACTTCAGGGTTCTCGGAGTCGGGGAAGTAGTCCTCTAACTGGGCCTAGTGCAGACCAAACAGTGAGCTCGACCAGGGACACTCACGGAGCTGCCCAATCCCTACAAGTTTACTGTTCAACTAAATTAATTCTGAGAACACAAACTCACCCCTTCAGAAGGCCTTCCCACAAAGCTGTGGGTGATGGAGCGGAGCTGGGAGTTGATGTACTTGTTGATGAGCCCATTCCACTGAGTCAGGGAGTGCAGCGTGCACAGCAGTGCCACCACCACCTCCACCAGTGTGCTGCTATGGGTGGCAGTCAGCAAGGCCTGCGGGCGCACCCTGCGCCACCTCGGCATGGACTCTGAGGAGGAAACAAGGGGAGAAGCTGCTGCACTGCTCTTCACCAGGACACAGGGAAGGGAGACGGCCACCGACCTCTGAGTGATGGCACTGTGCCACAATTCACCAGGGCACAGGGAAGGGAGACAGCCACCCACCTCTGAGTGATGGCACTGTGCCGCTCTTCACCAGGGCATGGGGAAGGGAGACGGCCACCCACCTCTGAGTAATGGCACGTCAGAGGAGCAGGTACTGAGCAAGCTCCCCAAGAAGTCAAACAGCTTCTCCACCGGGCATTTCATGTCCCTCGCCCTTTTGGTCTTGTCCCATGACGGAAGGACTGCTTGCAACAAATGCACAGCTAAGATCTGATAAAAGAAAATTTAAAATGACAAGCATTAAAAATCTGATTAAGAAACTACAGACTGTTACTTTCTCTTTTCTTTCTTTCTTTTTTTTTTTTTTTTTTTTTTTGAGACAGAGTCTCACACTGTCACCCGGGCTGGAGTGCAGTGGCACGGTCTCGGCTCACTACAACCTCCACCTCCCAGGTTCAAGCGATTCTCCTTGCCTTAGCTTCCTGAGTAGCTGGGATTACAGGCACCCACCACCAAGCCCGGCTCATTTTTCTTGGATTTTTAGTAGAGACAGGATTTCACTATGTTGGCCAGGCTGGTTTCAAACTCCTGACCTCATGATCCACCTGCCTCGGCCTCCCAAAGTGCTGGGATTACAGGCATGAGCCACTGCGCCCAGCCTCTCTTTATTTTCTGTTCTCATAATGCAAATAATCATGTGAAAATTTTGAGATTCGTTATTTTACAGCCAGGTAATTACACTCAAGTTGATTAGTGATTAGGATTGTCAGGGACTTTAGAAAAAAGCAACATTACAGATGCATGTGTTTAATTAAAAAAGAATTATTTTTAGTTTAATTCTTAAGACAATTATGCTACAAATTCTGTGAAGCAGATGAGCAAGTAGTTGCAGGATTTACCACTTAAAAGCAGGTAAACTAAAGGTTAGCAACTTACCAATTATCAAGGACCACTGCCCCTTGCCTCCAGAAAATCTACCCTGTTACTTCTAGACCCTTTCTGCACTCCTTACTGAATAAAGGCCCGACTCTAAGGGCAGGGAACTTCAGTACATGGATGCCTCTCTCAGGGAACTGGTTTTGCCTGGCAGCACGTTACCTGCCTCTGCAGCGAGGCGGCAGTGAAGGGTGTGTGCCCTTTCATGACCTTCATGAGCAGCGTGATCCACTGCGGGGAGCTGAGGGCGCTGCACACCTGCGGCGTGAGAGCGATGCTCCGCACAAACCCCAGCATGCACCAGCTCCGGTGTTGCTCCCTGTACACCAGCCTGTTTGGAGAAGCTGCGGAAGGGAAAATAGACATGCTTGGTAACAAGTCCCTAAAGACAAATCCCTAAAGATAAATCCTTATTTTTTTATCAACTTATTTTATTTTCTACAATAAGCTCCTTTAAAATATATTGCAGTTTGTAAATTAATTCAAACTAATTCAAAGTGAGAAGTGCAAGAAGGCTTTTAAGGTAGTTCAAGAAACATTTCCGCATTTTTTTTTTTTTTTTTTTAAGAGATGGGCCCTGCCCTCACTACGTTGCCCAGGCTGGTCTAAAACTCCTTCAAGTGATTCTCCTGCCTTGCCCTGCTGAATAGCTGAGACTACAGGTATTTTTAAAACCTTCTAAGTATGTGTAGTAAAAGTAGTTAGGGAATTTTAGCTATGTATTGTTTCTAGGCAATAAGAAAATGATCTATAATTCAAATAGCAGTAATTTGCAACTGCATTTTTAATTTTGTGTTTTAAATATCTCCACAATCTTGCTTATATTTAATCTGCACCACTTAAATACTTTTTTTGCATTTTTAGTAGAGACAGTTTCCAATCCAAGTTTAATACATCTGCATTAACAAAATGAGTTTTTCACTAGGTTTACACCATTGGATTCTGGCACCAGTGGGCCCACCTCTGCTCCGCCTGGCTCCAGGACTCCATTACTCCCTGAATGGAGGCTGAGGCTTGGAGGCTGGGCCCCCCTAAGGGACCCCGCCCACAGCCCCACAGGACCTGCTCTCGCCTCCCACCTCCCCCCCGCCCACCTCCCCCGCCCTCAGCTATCCAAGCTTTTGAGGACACCTGCCTTCCTTCAGCATACTCACATGCGCTCACACACACACACACTCTCACACCCTCACATGCATCCTCACACCCACACCCATACTAAGTTATTCAGACACACTCATGGGCACTCACACACCCACCCTCACACAGGTGCACTCACACCACTGTCGCAATCACTAACACACACACAATCCCAGTCACACGTATGCACACACAACCTAAGATGCAATCTGACACACACTCCTATGCACTCTCACATACACTTACCCCTCCCACTGCATACAAAAACTCACATATGCACTCACACTCAACACTAGTCACAACCGATTCCTCACCCACTCACACCTTTACCCACTTTCTCACTTTACACTCACACCTACACCCACTTTCTCACTTTACACTCACACCTACACTGTTACCTCCCACTGACACAAGCAAAATGCTCACATTCGCTCACACGCCTTCACAATAACGTCACTCGTGCTCACACTGATTCAAGGCACTCATACACATTTACACAAATGCTCACAATCGCACACTTACACTTGTGCTGCCACCCATACTTCCTCACACTCATCAAGCCTCACTGACTTACACTTCATCTCATTGGCACACCCAGTAATCCCCTCACACTCACACTCATGCCTCCCTCGTGCTCACCCTCACACACACACTGGCTCAATGCACTGACGCTTTCACTCCCACTTCACCTGACTGTAGTCACCTGCCCACTCACATGCTGTCACGGACATACACACCACTCACATAAATGCATGCATACATACACCCACACAACCACATGCTACAAACACACTGTCACACTTGCAACACAAACGCTCAGCCACTTGCCCATCAACCGCTAACACACTCTCACCAATATGTGCAGATGCTCCAGCACACCACTAATACATGCATGTTCTCACACACACTGGAGCACACCCACATACCCACCCACACTCACATGTGCTCACTCTCAGTCGCATGCACACTCACCCCACTCCCTCAGCTCACATTTCTCATACTTACTCTCCACACACACAAACACTTTATGGATTAAACTGTGCCTGTCCCCCAACTTCACATACATTCGGAACTCAGAATATGATCTTATTTAATGAGGTCTCTGTAGACGTCCTTAAGGTAAGAATTTAGGTGACATCATGTTGGATTAGAGTCAAAGAAGCTCAATGAAAGAGTCCTTTCAGAGACAGAAAAAGACATGCAGAACACAGGGGCAGGGGCCATGTGAAGATGCAGGCCTCTGAGACTGGCACAATGCGTCCCCACACCAGGGAAGCCTGGAGCTCCCAGAAGCTGGATAAGGTAAGGAAGGACCTTCCCCTAGAGCCTGTGGAGGGAGCATGGCCCTGCCCGCACCTGGATTTGGGACTTCTGGTCTCCAGAACTCTGAGAGAACAAATTTGTTGTTTGAAGCCAGTGTTATGGGTTGAATTCAGAATTGCAAAATTTGTATGTTGAAGCCCTAACCCCTACCATACCTCGGCAGGTGACCTTGTTTGGAAATAGGGCCGCTGCAGATGTAATCAGTTTGATGAGGTTGAATGATGTCCTTATGAAAAGGGGAGATTTGGAGGTGACTCACACACAGGGAGAATGCCATGTGAAGATGATGGCAGAGATCAGGGTGACCCCTCTACAAGCCGAGGAACGCTAAAGAGGCCAGCAAACTCCAGAAGCTGGGGCAGAGCCCTGAAGCAGCTTCTCCCTCACAGCCCCAGAAGGAACCACCCTTGATCTCAGTCTTCCAACCACCAGAATCATGAGAATTTCTACTGCGTAAGCCCCCAAGTTTGTAGTACTTTGTTACAGCAGCCACAGGAAATGAATCCACACACATCCACACCCACCCACATGCACACCCGGACACGACAAGCGTGCGGCCCCCAGCGCTGACTCCCTGGGCCCTCAATCTCTCATTCCATGCGTGTCTTGTCCGTCGTTCCGCTTTCCACTAATATTTGCAGCAGTCCGCATAAAGTCTTGGTGGCTTCGCTCTGCATGATCTCAGCATGAACTCTGGCAGGCA
Organism: Homo sapiens; assembly: GCF_000001405.40. Lineage (NCBI taxonomy): Eukaryota > Metazoa > Chordata > Mammalia > Primates > Hominidae > Homo > Homo sapiens. Next base: position 33,099,739 of record NC_000016.10, read on the forward strand.
GACAAAGAGTCTGCAGTAAGTTAATAGTGCTGGTAAACATCATTGTAGTGGGGTGAATGTTCCTTTCAGTTTGTTCAGCTTCTAAAAAAAATAATCAAAATAACAAATTATATTGGCAGCCCCAGCCTCTTGGATGGTCTTACCAAGCCCAGCCATGTGAAGCTTCGCATGTCTTTTAGGAACAGCTAAGAAATGTCATGAAACCTCCTCCCACAACCTGGATCTCCACAGATAGGATCTAGCTTTCTTGGTCCACCCCTAAATTCTCACCTCTGCTTCCCTAGAAGCAATAAAGTGCTGACTAACTCCACATTACTTGAAGAGTTCAGAGTCAGGGACCGCAGAGGAAAGGTAAAGACAGGTGGCAGGTTGGGTGTGCTCAGGCGGGGGCTCTCACTGGAGGAGGAGGCAATGGACCGAGACCGCAGGGCAATTCCACCAGGCCTCGGCTCACTCGCTCAGATGCAGGCTCAGCACCAACCACATGAGACTCACTGGTGGTGCAGCTGCCCCGACCTGGCCACCACATTCTCAAAGAGGGGCAGGTGCACACGTGAGAGGAAAATGCAGAAAGTCAGTTCCAGACAGATCGCCGGATCCCACAGCCACTCCATGCACCTGCATCGGAGGTGCCTGGGAGCTTATTTAAATGGCAGGTTCCGAGGACAGAGTGCCAGCTGCAGGTGCGTCCTGACATCCCATTCTAAGGCCCAGATGGCAGTGGTGGCAGCCAGCACCTGGACAGTTTGTGGGCTGTCTTGGACTAAAGGCCTTCCTGAGTCACCCACCAGAGTCGTCCTCTGTGTCCAAATCCTCTGCTGAGGGCTGTGCAGCGGCCGGCAGCTCTGCCAGCTTGAGGTCGTATTTTCCTTCTTTCCCCATCCTGTAGGAGTTGGTGCTGCCCGTGCCCCACTGGACTCTTATCCACCCGTCCTCTCCCAGCTCACCAATCACTTGGCCTAGGCCTGGAGGAGGCCCATCCTGACAAAGCCCAAGTAGAGATCAGTTAGGAGGGTGCGTGCCTTGCCCTGGTCCTTCCATGGCTCCCAGCAGACCTCAGTTAGGCGGGTGCGTGCCCTGCCCTGGTCCTTCCATGGCTCCCAGCAGACCTCAGTTAGGAGGGTGCGTGCCCTGCCCTGGTCCTTCCATGGCTCCCACCAGACCTCAGTTAGGAGGGTGTGTGCTCTGTCCTGGTCCTTCCATGGCTCACACCAGACCTGCCACACAGATGTCGCCATATGCCACCCTGTCTGTCAGGGGCTGTCCCCAGACACAGATTTCACCTCTCCTACAAAATGTGTGCTTGCATCATTTTAAATTAAATGGCATAAAATAACGTGCTCATGCTGCTTTACCAAGGAAGTAGGGGAAATCTCATCTCAATGAGGATCCTCTGAGTTAATGCACAGACAGGGCTTTGCAGCAAGTCCTGACCCCTCAATCCCTCACCGGCCTTGCAAGAGCAGAAACCTGAAACAAGTACCAGCACCTGCACATTCCCTTTTCTTCAGTTTCCTCCGGGCCCCAGGGGGAAGCTCTGTCTCTCACTTCTGTAGGAGAAAGCTGTTTCTAGGATGGATGCTGCTGTCTCCAGACACTGCTATTTCTAAGATGACTGTGACAAAGCCGGGGCTTACTAGCGTGGCTGAGAAAAGCTAGACAGACCATGGGAAGGTGAACGCTGCCCTAACTTAGCTAGGGCTGTGGTAAGTGACTTCCACCTGGGGGCACCTGGCAGCGATTTAGAAGACACCTGCGATGAGGGAAAATGGAGACATGGCCACAGGCCCATGAAGTATATCCCTAACTACTGGGTTCAGGGCACTTCGCAGCACGTGGCCATCAGCTCACAGGGGCAGAATCTGGGCTTCCTGCCTCAGAGCCTTCACTACACCAACTTTCAGAATGAGATTTACTCTCTTGCTCACTCTCACTCTTGTTCCAGTGACCCATCAAACTGAGCCTCATGCCAGTGAGTTTCCTGAAAAGAGCTGCCTCTCTTTCCAGACTTGATTCTGCTCAGATGCCCTACTTATGATTCCCTATTTGTGTTCACTCCCTTCAGCAGCTCGGGAACCAACACCTGTGTCATCTATCAACCGACACATCCTGGATTATTCCAATTTCCACCCACCAATATCGTACAGACCTGTGCAGAAGATAACTAATGTGTGGCTAATGTGTTCACATCAAATCTCTGAGTACCTGATCGCCCCATTTCCAGTCCACACCTCTCATGACCCTCGTTCCAATCTTCATCGTGGCAGCCAGTTCTGGCCCTGAAACAGGGAGATGCACAGGAGCCGTTTCCTTCCTTGTTGCTTCCAAAACTGTGGCAGAAGCACCTTGAGCAGAAGCATTCATATCTTCCTCAACATTGTCACAACTGGGGCCTGACAGAGCATCAAAAACAATAGCTGAGCCAACAAGTAGCTACAATGTCCCTTTAATACACACAAAACATTTAAAAAATACTAATGAAGATCATAATGTTTTGAAGAATCCATACTATATGTTTATCAATATAATACTATGAATATTTTACTGATATACGATAAAAAGAAGATAAACGGAAGGACAAAATACATAAATATCCTAGGAAGATATAAAAGATATTAAAATGCTCAGTAAAGCTACTTTCTCTACTTCTAGGAATTACTCCCCTGTAAAAAGCAAAATAACTGAGTTAGAAAGATAATCATCACATTTTTTATTAATAGAAAAACAAAGATAACTACCTAAATATCTAACAGTGGGAAACTGACAAACTTTAATCATGGTTCTGTGCAGAAGACAGCTAACAGCTGGCCCGAGATACAACCTCAGACAGGATTGCTGCAGGCTAGCCCTCGGCTGGAGTCTGGATTTCAGGAGGGCTCCCCAATTCCCTAGGTGGTAGTTGTGGTTCGCTGTGCCTGAATTGACTGTACAAACAACATGGTCTGTGCTGAAACCTGCTTTCCTTGTTCTGGAACTTGGTATGCACCAGGCACGGGGTGCCCATGTGGTCAGCCCTGATGGAAACCCTGGGCCTGGAGTCTCTACCCAGCTTCCCGGCAGACAGCACTTGACATGGCTCGGTGCCGGGGCAGTTATGCTCGTCCTGTGTGGATCCTGTGGAAGCTTGTACCTGCTTTCCTCTGGACTTTACACACGTCCTTTTTCATGATTTTGCTCTGTGTCCCTTCACTGTAATAAACTATAGCCCTGAGTACAACTACATGCTGAGTCTTGTGAGTCCTCCTGGCCAACCATCAAACCTGGAGACCCCTGACAATTGGTGCCCTGGGTGGCTACAGAGTCATCCATAGCATGAAACAGAAGCTGAGCTGCTGTCACCTGAGAGAAGTAAAACTTACCAATGGATTTGAAAATAGGAGAGCTAACCCTAGGAGAGTAGGCTAGATTTTTAACCCCCCTTTTCTCACTTGCTAAACTGAGAGCGGGTAGGAGTGCGGTTCTGGTAACTCCCTTGATTTTAGTTTTCTCCTCCAGGTGGGAGGGAAAAAGATCCAAACGGTCCCAAAGGTGGGCTTGGGTGAGCCAAAAAATGTAAAAAGTTTGTGTTTCTCTCTCTTCCAAGAGAACAAAAAAGGATATTCAATCCCCAGGGCTGGAGCAAAACTTTAGATAAACTAGCGGGGGAAACAGCCTTTCCTTTAGCCTAGCCGCTACTTTAGGGCTCCCAGGAAGGGGCCCCAAGGAAGGGACAGGAGTTGCATTCCAGGTGGATCTCCCAGGATCCCCTGGGCAGCTATACTGTTAACTCTGTAAAGACTGAATTTATTGCTAAGGGCTTGAATAAATTTGCAACCAAAACTGGGGGAAATTTTTTATTTTACATAGCTTTATGTTTTGTGGCTGTTACATGTGGATGTACACATTAAGCTGGTATAAAATATTATATGCTTATAATTTCTTAAATGATAAGAAGGATACCCTGATCAGGGCAAGCTGCAAATATAGACGGATATTCATGAGACACAACTTCCTTGCTTTTTGCAGCCAGTGGGCCAGATGAAATTTAAACACATGAATACTATCAACAGAACAAGTCCCCATACTTAATGATTTGTGCTGTGATTTTTACTTATTGGAACCTCTGGGGAAAAAGCAGACAACATAAAAAGGCCATTTCTCGATGGAGATATGCTTCTGTAATTTTTAAATGTAACTTTTGGTTGCTAATGAGGCCTCAAGAAATCAGATATAACTCTTACTAGATGATTCTTTTCAGCTGTAATACACATATTAAAATATATATTTAACATAATACAACATATAAATATAATATATAAATTAAAAAATAATTATATACATATATATATATAGAGAGAGAGAGAGAGAGACAAACTGACAGACAGACAGACAGAAAGATTCCCCCCACCCCCAAGACAGGATTTCACTCTGTCGCCCAGGCTGGAGTGCAGTGGCTTGATCTCCGCTCACTGCAACCTCTGCCTCCCTGGCTCAAGCAATCCTCCCACCTCAGCCTCCCAGGTAGCTGGGACCACAGGCACACACCACTATGCCAAGCTAATTTTCATATTTTTTATAGAGACAGGGTTTTGCTATGTTGCCCAAGTTGGTCTCAAACTCCTGAGCTCAAGCAATCCACCCGCCTCAGCCTCCCAAAGTGCTAGGATTACAGCCTGGCCTGATACGTATTTTTGAATGGATTAATTTGAACTCTAAGACTGATGTGATTAAAAGAGCTTGGGAAAACCTTGCTTTTTCACTGTGACTTTGACAACGGGCCCTGCAGCATCTCAGTTTTAGCCAAAGAACACCACCATAAACCAATCAGATCTAATAGACATATACAGAACATTTCACCAAAAAGAGCAGAATAAACATTATTCTCAAGTATACCACAGAACACTCTCTTAGACTGACCAGACCATATGTTAGGCCACAAAGTCTCAAATTTAAACAGACTAAAATCATACAAATTACCTTCTCCAACCAAAATGAAATGATGAGAAATTAATAACAAAAGGAAAAGTGGAAAATTCACAAGTATATGAAAATTAAACAACACACGGTAAACAATCAGTGGGTCAAAGAAGAAATCACAAGGGAGATTAGAAAATACTATGAGATGAATGAAAACACAACATACCAAAACTTCTGTGCTGCGCCAAAAGCAGGGCTAAGACGGGCAATTATACTATAGAAGTCTGCATTCACAGAAGATGATCTCAAATCAATAACTCTACATCTGGAAGAACTAAAAAAATAAGAACACAATAAAAACCAAAGTTAGGCCAGGTGTGGTGCCTCACACCTGTAATCCCAGCACTTTGGGAGGTTGAGGCAGTTGGATAACTTGAGCCAAGGAGGTTGAGGCTGCAGTGAGCCATGACTGCGCCACTGTACTTCGGCCTGAGGGACAAAGTAAGACCCTGTCTCAAAACAAAGACAAAAAAAAAAAACAAAAACAAAAAAATACAAAGCAGAAGGAAGGAAACGACAGAGATTAGAGCAGCCATAAATTAAATAGGGAATGGAAAAATAATCTACAAAACCAAAAGTTTGGTTTCTGGCAAGAACAAAAAATCTGATAAACTTTCCGCAAATTAAGAAAAAAAGAGGCCAGGCAAGGTGGCTCACGCCTGCAATCCCAGCACTTTGGGAAGCTGAGGTGGGCGGATCACGAGGTCAAGAGATCGAGACCATCCTGGTCAACATGGTGAAACCCTATCTCCACTAAAAATACAAAAAAATTAGCCGGGCATGGTGGCGGGCGCCTGTAGTTCCAGCTACTTGGGAGGCTGAGGCAGGAGAATCACTTGAACCTGCGAGGCGGAGGTTGCAGTAAGCCGAGACTGTGCCACTGCACTCCGGCCTGGCAACAGAGTGAGACTCCGTCTCAAAAAAAAAAAAAAAGAAAAAAAGAGAAAAGATGCAAATAACTAACATCAGAAATGTAAGTGGAGACAGTACTAGCAACATAAAAATAAAAAAGATTATAAAAGAACACTGTGAACAACTGTATGCCAACAAATAAAATAGCCTAGATAAAATGGACACATTCCTAGAAATATAAATTACCCAACCTGACTCAAGAAGAAATAGAAAATCTGAATAGACCCATAACAAGTAAAGAGATTGAATCGGTAATTAAAAATCTTTCAGGCCGGGAGCGGTGGCTCACGCCTGTAATCCCAGCACTTTGGGAGGCCAAGGCGGGTGGATCACGAGGTCAGGAGATCGAGACCATCCTGGCCAACATGGTGAAACCCTGTCTCTACTAAAAATACAAAAAATTAGCCAGGCGTGGTGGCAGGCGCCTGTAGTCCCAGCTACTCGGGAGGCTGAGGCAGGAGAAAGGCGTGAACCTACGAGGCGGAGCTTGTAGTGAGCCGAGATCGTGCCACTGCAGTCCAGCCTGGGCAACAGAGTGATACTCCGCCTCAAAAAAAAAAAAAAAAAAATCTTTCAACAAAGAAAAGCTTAGCTGGTTAACTCTACCAAACATTTAAAGCAGAATTGACACCAATCCTCAAACTCTTCTAAAAATAGAATATATGGGAACACTACCTAGTTCATTCTATGAGGCCATTATTACCCTGATAACTGTAAAACAATAAAATATTGCTGAAAGAAATTAAAGAGGACGGAAATAAATGGAAAGACATTCCACATTCAGAGAATGGATGTTAACATTGTTAAGATGGCACTATTCCCCAGAACAATCTACAGATTCAATCCCTAGCAAAAATCCCAATGGTCTTTTTTGCAGATATGGAAAAGCCAGCCTTGAAGTTCATATGAAAATTCAACGGAACCAAAGCAGCCAAAATAATCTTGAGAAAGAAGACACACTTCTCAATTTTAAAACAGTACAAAACTACAATGTTCAAAACAGTGTGGTACCTGCATAATTATCAACATATAGAATGTAATAATGTAATTGAGAGTCCAGAAATAAACCTAAATATCTACAGCCAACTGATCTTTGCCAAGGGTACCGAGAACTTCAGGGAAAGAATAGTCCTCAACAAGTGGTATTGAAACAATCAGATAATCAAAAGGAAAAGGCTGGACTCTTACCACACACTGTGTAAAAGAAATTACCTAAAAATGGACCAAAGATCTAACTATAAGAGCTAAAACTATAAAACTTACGGAAGAAAACATGAGATGAGGATAATCTTCATCAGTCTTGTATTTGGAAATGGCTTTTTGGGTATGATATCAAAAGCATAGACGACAAAAGAGAAACAGATAAACTAAACTTCATCAAAATAAAAAACTTCTCTATGAAAGGAAATACAATCCAGAGAACAGGAGAAAATACCCACAAATGATATATCTGATAAAGGTCTACAGATCTGTGAAGGTCTAGTATACATGAAATTTTTAAAGAGTCTGAGGACTGGTGTTAATTCTTCTTTAAATGTTTGGTACACTTACATAGTGCATTTACCGGTACAACAACAAGATGACGACAAATAACCCTATTTAAAAAGGAGAAAGGGGCTGGGCGCAGTGGCTCATGCCTGTTATCCCAGCACTTTGAGAGGCCAAGGCAGGCAGATCACCTGAGGTCACGAGTTCCAGACCAGCCTGGCCAACATGGCGAAGCCCCATCTCTACTAAAAATACAAAAATTAGCCAGGTGTGGTGGTGTGTGACTGTAATCCCAGCTACTCGGGAGGCTGAGGCACGAGAAGCGCTTGAACCCGGGAGGTGGAGGTTGCAGTGAGCCGAGATTGTGCCACTGCGCTCCAGCCTGAGTGACAGAGTGAGATTCCGTCTCAAAAAAATAAAATAAAAAATAAAGAGAAAGGGACTTGAATAGACACTTCTCCGAAGAAGATATACAAATGGCCAACAAGCACAAACATGTAAAGAAGCTCAATGTCATTCATCATTAGTGAAATGCAAATCAAAATCACAATGAGATAGCACTTCACACCCACTAGGATGGCCTTAATCCAAAAAAAAAAAGAAAACCACAAAAAATAGTGTTGGCAGGGAAGTAGAGAAACTTGGACCCTGGAATCCTGCCCCCTGGTGGTGGGAATGTAAAAATGATATGGCACTGTGGAAAAGTTTGGTAGTCTCTTAGTAAGTTACACATAGTTGTACCATATGACCCTGTAATTCCAGTCCTAGGTGTATAATCAAAAGAACTAGAAACAAGTGTTCAAACAAGTATTTGTATATAAATGTTGCTAGCAACACTATTCACAAAAGTCAAAAGGCAAAACCAACCCAAATGTCCATCAACAGATAAATGAATAAACAAAATGTTATATATTCATACAATGGAAATCTTTTTCAGCCATAAAAATAAAGTACTGATATATACCAAATGAAATAACCCAGACACAAAGGCCACAAATGGTATGATTCCATTTATATGAAATATCCAGGATATGCAAATCCATAGACAGAGAAAGCAGATTTGTGACTACCAGGGGCTGGAGAGCAGGTGAGTCAGGACTGATGGCTAAATGGGGTGCATTTATAGTGATGAAAAAGTTCTACAACCAGACAGTGGTGATGACTCTAGAAAATTGTGAATGTATTTAATACTGCTGAATTGCGACGTTAAAATGCTACACTTTCTGCTATTTGTGTCTTACCATAATTTACAAAAAGCTTAAAAAAAAAAAAGAAATCAAAGCAAAATCTTGACGTTTTCCCAAAGGCTCTCAAGCCAGTGCAGACCTACCAATCAGGCGCAGTGCCGTCTGAGTGAGGGCCAGCGTGCCGGAATTGAGCAGGAGGTCGAGGTTGTTTGCGCTGTGCTGCAGGGTGAGCATGCTGAGCATCATCAGGAGGAAGCGGGCTTGCGGGATGCTCCCCAGGCTCGGTCCCAATGGGTTCTCACTGGTGATGGTCTGCAGGGGAACCGGCTGGATACCTAATAAGCATTGACACCCACTTACATTTCTTGTGATGGATACAAGAATAAACATAACGCAGAAAGCACGGGCTATTACTTTAAACATCTGACTAATAAGCATTGACACCCACTGACATTTCTTGTGCGTGGATACAAGAATAAAAGTAACACAGAAAGCACGGGCAATTACTCTAAACATCTGACTATTTTTCAGTGGTTTCCACAGAGTGGGCAGCTCTGTCATGCTGCACGATGGGCCTAACCCCTGTATTCTATGCACAGGTCGTTCCATCTGTCTACAGGACTTAGCATGTTGCTCTCTGAATACACTGGTGCCCTATTCCATTCCTTCCATTTCAAATATAAAAGTTATGTCTCACTTTTCCTCCACAAAACCAATCCAATCAACTCTCTGTAGATGCTCAGACTATCCAGGAAATAAATATTAATATAAGACACAGACACTTAGGATATGTGGTGATACACATATAAATGTCAAAATGTAAAAATGTTATACTAGAGTACTTCAACATTGTATCTCCTGCTAAATTTTAAAGTTTTGTTTAAAATCTGAGAAAGCTGACAGCAGCATAGATTATACAAGTACAAAGTACAAACTTATTACAGTCTTCTCAAAAGCAAAAATTGGCATTTGCAAGTTTCCACAACACATAATTAAAGGCAAACTATAAAATAACATTGATGCAATTGTTGACTCACCAAGCTCTTTAAATTTGGCACTGGCATCCATCAGAACATTTAGAATGTTCTGAACAGTCCAAGCATACAGCTTGCCAAAGGTGACTTCCAGCAGCATCCGATTAAAAGGTGGGATCAAATCAACATCCTTTAAACAATCAGTAAGAGGTTCCCTTTCAAATAAAGATAAAGAATTTGACTCGGGACACTGCCAGACTTCTAACTGTTACAGAACAACATTCTGTTGCCACAGCTTCCTTAGTTAAGAAAAAAATATGCTAACGTTTTACCCTATATCGATTCCTTCAGGAATAAGTCTTTGCCATCCACAAAACATCGCTTACTGCACAGATGGAAGTAAGAAATTCTTGCTCGCCAGATACAATTTCAAAATTGTATCTATCCCTTCCAGGCGAACCTCTGCTCTCTCCAACTGCAAAATATCAATGCATATACAGTTAAGTGTTATGTATATTACCCACTGCAGAGAAGCATTTCTCATCAAATGTTATCTGTTTTAGTAGGCACTATCTCATTTTTTCCACATCCACTGGCTCTTCTTTAAGGGCAAATTCAGCAATTGTACTGAGGAGTGGAGACTGCGGATAAAGATCCTGAACATTCTGCTTCAACCACTTGTATCTGTGAACCCCTGTAACAGTACTCAACAGTGGCTGCCATTTGTCCTAACAAAGGAAAACAATTTTCATCATTAGTCTACCCTATTTAATATTAAACTGTGCTCTAAAAGTTATTCAAGTAAAATATAAATAATGCTCATAGGTTTAAATTGGTTAAAATATGTTAAATTTAGTAATTAATACATGGTTTTAAAACTATGCTATAAATATAAGTGAACTTATCTCTATACTAATATATGTTGGAACAGGCTAGCTTGGCATACGAAGTTAAGTTGTGGTTCATATTAATAGCCACAGGGCCCAGCACTGTTTCTGGAACAAAGAATATATTTAAGGAATGAATGGTGAATAATTAATGATACAATCTAGTACCAAAAATAAAAGGAAACCCTTCTCCAGCTACAGCTCTGACCAGGACATCATAAGTCAAGTTCATGAACCATCACTGGGGCCGTATTTCTAACAACCGCCCGTCCCTCCCTCCGGATGCTCAGGTACAGAGGTACAAGACTGTGGATTCCTTTGCTACATGCTATGATTCTATTCAGCTAACCTCAGAATCACAGAAAACACTGCACCTTGGGTGATTTAATTGCAATGGGTCTCTTGTCCACATTTATTGGACTATGAGGCAAAATGCAGGCTTCTTCTAAATCACTCTCTTCGTTTCCAATTTTTTCTTCATCAGCCGTAGATTCTGGCTTCTTAGGAACTGTGTTTTAAAACATCATTCACTATAAAAAATCATACACTTAAATATTAATTTTAAATTAGGAAATACTTAGATTTACATGAAAGACAAATATTTCATTCAAATAAACATCTGAACAACATTATAAATTGCAAGGCTCAAACAACAAGAGTGAAATGATCACCATGGCAGAACAAAATGACAAAGTGAGAGTGTGACAAGGGGAGAAGCCCCGAAGCAGGGGAAGCCCAGCAGCCAGCAAGCTCTTCCTCAAGTGCCAGAGAGTGAACATTTGAGTCTTTCAGGCCACGCAGTCTGTTGGAAATACTCAACTCTGCTGCTGTAGCACAAAAAGTAACCACAGATAAAGCAACAGGTGTGGCTGTGCTCCCGTAAAACTTTATGGTGCTACAATTTTCTGTACTCTTACACAGCTACTTCCAGGAAAATGTCAGTAACTCTTTCAGCTTCCCTTTATAATTCTCCATGTATCAGAATACTCAATATTTCCAAACAAAAAACATTTCTTTAGAAGAATGGCAATAAGTTTAAATGTTCCCATTATATCTCATTACCAGGATAACTAATAAAATAAAAATACGTCCTTGTTCCCATCAATTTAGCAAAGATTATTTACATTTTCAACATCAATTTACTAGTAATCAAATCATACCACACTCAATTCCTAAACTGCCTCATTGTCTGATCGGTTGAAAAAATAGGAGAGATTTCCGTATTTAATCATAACTATACATAAAAATGATGGCAGCAGGTAGAAATGTCACATGGAATCAACAGTAGAGAAACTTCACTCTGAAATCACAGGTCCAGCGAGGCAGGGTGAAGCACATGCTTTAATAGTATCTTCTGTCCTTTTACATTCTTACTTCTCTTTTTCCTCCGTTCCCGAATTATCTTCTGAGCTATCCTCCTCCAACGGGGCAAAGAACTTAACAATTTAAACTCAGAGATTATAGAGAGGTCATTACCAACAGCAGGTCTCAATTCATTAGAGAGGAATCTCAAACGTTCGATGACAGGAGTGCAGACCTCCTTGTAAGAACGGCCCTGTTCTTGATGAGTCTGCAAAGTTAACCAGGAAAAGACAACTTTAACAACAAATATTTCTGCAACTGTCTGCAAAGCACAGAATAAAAAGAATTAAAATATATCACCTTAATGAGCGAACATTTTGCTTGGTAGACAACTCTACAAACATCCACCACTGACTTAGGCAACGTTCTGTGCTTTATTTGCTCAATATCAAGTGCACCTGCATGAACTAAAGATAATGCCACATGACCTGCAAAAAGACATTTAAAAGAAGGACAGGGAAGGAATGAATATGTACCACAGGTTAGTCGAGGAATCTGCAGTCTAGCTAAAGTACACAGATATTGAGCTCCTTACCTAAATCTTCATGTTTTAAGAAGCAACATAACAGCAAGCGACCGACCTCTTCCACGGGGTGCTCGGGGGGAAACATGATCGGTGTGGTCAAATGGCACTGCCTACAGTACCTTTCTATTTGACACAAAAAGCCCTGCAACAGAAACAGCTGGAGGTAACTTCAGGGCCGGCCAGTGAGTCTTCACAAATCTTAAACATGCCACAGCTTCTGATGCACTTGCAATCAGTAATGCTTCCGAAGCCTTGCTAGCATGTTAACACAATCAGGTTCTCACCTCAAAACCCTCCAAATAATACATGAAACAAAGTCTGTGCTATGTTAACCAAAGAGCACCTAAGTATTCCTATGTCAAAGTCCTCAGATAAACAGAGCACTGAGGTGACAGTGGGGACAGGCCTAGCTCACCTTCACGTTGTGATCCTGAATGTTATTGTCTGCAATGACTTGCAGAAATGCCTGAGAATGGTCCCCCAGGGCCCATCTGTGGGAGCAGTGGTGATTTGCTGGCAGGTGTGCCCACTGGGAGCTGCAGTGGTCCTCATCTTTCTCCTCGTTGTAGCTGTAGTGGATCTGGCTGGTCTGCAGCCTCCAGAGAAGATGGATGACTGAAGCCATTCTAGAAAATGCACACGCAAACATGAAAGAGAAACTCAAGTGCACAACTCAAAATAAATACTAAAAAAAAAAAAAGATGCTCAACTGAACACTCAATTTAGAAGGTAAAATTCAGCATCATTCATATGAAAGAGCTCCACCTAACATGTTTACACAGGTTGACTTGTAATTCCTCTATCTACGTGAATACACTTTCTGGTGATTCCACACACCTCAGGCACGGCATCAGAACTCAGGATTGTAGTTCCAGTCCAAAATTCTCTGGATACCTGTGCTCTGCCTGCAGCTGCCTGGTTCCACAGATACCGTGTGAAGACTGAGTTGCACACTCTAACAAGGAAGGCAGCAAAGGGCACCGCTGACACAACTAATCACAGGATTTCAAGTCCAAAACTGTGCAACGGATGACTATGGGGGTACCAGGGAGACCGGAGGACAGACCACCGCTATTCTGAGGGTCAGTAAGGGACTTGTGGAAGCAACAACTGAGCTAAGATGAGGAATAAGACCCAGACGCTGAGTATCCAGGCAGGGAACAGCATATCTGAAGGGTTTCTACAAAGAATTACATCCTCAGGGTAGGCTATGTATTCCTAGAGCACTTATAAAGGAATGAAAAGGAGAAAATATTTAACAAACACACAATCTTTAATGAAGGATAGATCCTTGGAGACGGGAGGGCCGATGGACTGGAAAGGAGACCTGTGCATGGTGCAAGGCATGGGATCAGCCAGTGCAAATGTTAATTACAACTGCTTATGGTCACTTGAGGGAGCGGCACATACACACAAAATTAGGATGTGCACCACTACAGATCTCTATTAACGATCTGTGTTATCAAATACTGCTCCAAATCCAAGCAATCAAAGCGGGGATGCACTTACTGTTCTTTTACTGGACATTTAGATTTTTAGAGCACTCAGGAGCATTCCCCAACCCACCACATTCGTTCTTCTGAAACACTAATCCAATGCCAACTCTCTCTGGCCCCCTTTCTTTAAGCACAGGACAGCCCCTCCTTACTGCTCCAAGATAAGCCTCTGATCCTCCTGTGGCTCGGACCCACCTGCCAGGGCTCATGGCACCCTCTGCTCTGGAGCTCGCCAGCCCTGCCCTCCTTGTCAATTTAAACAAAGCCCATCTTCTGGCAAGCAATGAGCCTTGAGGAGGAGGGAGGGAAGCAGACACCTCAGAGGGCACCACAGGCAGTCCAGCACCCAGCACTGCACAAAGGTCCACCCAACGGGGGGCTGTGTGGACACCAAGATCCTCCTTTCCCGCAAGCCTCTCCCACAACCACTCTCGCAAGCAGCAGGAAAGCCCTGCTCCTCTCAGCATTGCCCTTGACACTCCTGTGTTTTCTGCCCAGAATGCTCCCTCATGCAATTTCAGGACTGCTGCCGGTGTGAAGCCTTTCTTCTCCCAGAACCACGTATGAACGTCTCCATTTCACCATTCACCACCTTGTAACGTGACCTGCTTAGAATGCTGGCTCATCAACAAGCAGCAACTGAAAGCAGAGGCGTGTCCTATCCATCACTGCATCCTGAACACCTCGCATGGTAACGGCACCAGGCAACTGCTCAACAGAAGCTGCTCACACGGACGGACAGATAGACAGATGGGAAATGCACGACTACATGAAGGAAAATGTAAACCCATCTTAGGAGACAGGAAAAAGCTTATTATTTTAGGTGGTTACAAAGGCTGCCATCCTGGAATATAACTGACTTGAGCCTGGTCTGGTAAAAACGCAGTCCTCAAATAGAACGCTGTTCCCTGAGAGAACAGCTGATCCACATTCTGTGCAATTTCTGGGCATGCAGGGAGACAAAAGCCATGCTGGGCCCATCAGGCAGAGGCTGCAATACGTGAGACCACCACAGGGTAGACGGGTAGACACTCCTGCACACTTTTTAGCTTCCTCTGCAGCAACAGACCATGAGGGCAAATGACAGCCACTCACAGCTGTTTCTACCTGATTGAGTCTCACTATCCTTATTATTATTTTTTGTAGCATCATCAACTGTGTTGAATCCTCCTCTTTTTTTTTGAGACGGAGTCTCGCTCTTGTCACCCAGACTGGAGCGCAGTGGTGCGATCTTGGCTCACTGCAACCTCTGTCTCCTGGGTTCAAGCAATTCTCCTACCTCAGCCTCCCGAGTAACCGGGATTACAAGCACCCGTCACCACGCCCAGCTAATTTTTGCATTTTTAGTAGACATGGGGTTTCACCACATTGGCCAGGCTGGTCTCGAACTCCTGACCTCAGGTGATCCACCCGCCTCAGCCTCCCAAAGTGCTGGGATTACAGGCATGAGCCACCGCCTGGCCATCTCCTACTTTTTTAAAGAGAGAGTCTTGCTCTGTCACCCCGGCTGGAGTGCCGTGGTATGATCATGACTCACTGCAACCTCAACCTCCCAGGCTTAAGCGATCCTCCTACCTCAGGCTCCTGAGTATCTGGGACTACAAGTACATGCCACCATGCCTGGCTAATTTTTGTGTTTTTTGTAGAGATGGGGTTTTGCCGTGTTGCCCAGGCTGGTCTCAAACTCTTGACCTCAAGCAATCCACATGCCTCAACCTCCCAAAGTGCTGGGATTACAGGCATGAACCACTGTGCCTGGCCCTCTCCCACTCTTAATGGCACTTACAGTTCAAAAAAAATAATCTGCTAATCAGCAAAAAGCAAAGATTTTCTTACTGGCACATTCAATCTCGACAGGAGACAGCGGTGTGCTCATTGCTAAATAGGAAGTGTGTAATCCGAGAAGCAGGCCCAGATTCCTCTCTGTGTCTATCAGAGGTGAAGAGAGACTTCCCGGATCTGGTATGGTGACAACTTCTTGGTCAGGCTGGAAAAATAAACTTCATCATCAATCTGAGGAAACAGAATTAATTAAAAACATAAAACCAAAAGGACAGCTCTGTCCTGCAGCTGTACCGCCATGTGAGCCCAGGGGTGCCCTGGGTGTTCTGCCCCTCCATCCTGTAATGAGTTGATGCTGCTGTGCCCAAGTAACAGCAGATACCACATAAACCCACATGCCCTATAAAGCTGGCAGCAACCGTACACGCAGAAAAACTAAAGCACAGATACATGATTTGGCTAGAATATTCCTTAGGAATCAGTTTCCAAAGTGACTGTACACCATGCTTCAGAAAGTATAATGAATTGTTACATGCATAAAGAACCCACTGGGCAACAAAACTATGACAAGTATTCGATGACAAGTATTAGTGGACTGTGACCACACAGGTAGAGGAAATGAAATTTATTCTAACAAAAATCAAACTCTGAAAAAAGCAAGAGTTCAACTTTTCCAGTCACAGAAGATATTTACAGCAAAGTTAATTCTCCCCTTCATAAAATGCTTTAAGCCCTGCCCTAATGGCATTTAATACATTTTATTACTTGTGGATAGCTGGAAAGCTAATCCCAGTATATAAATTCTATGTGTTCGTGAATACATAGGAAGGACATATTTCTATTGTAAAGAATTACACTTCTACATAGTTCTTCCCAAAAAATACATACCTCAATATAATAAGCCATTCCAAATTTCTACATAAGACCAAAGTTTAACCTCTTTTCTTGTGGAACACTGTCTATATTTCTCACAAATTGATCATTTAAAAAACAATCTTTCAAGACCAGTACATCACAGATCCTAACACGAATAAATGTAAATTCATTTATGACAAAACTTCTAAAGGATCTTTATATTATCCCTAATGCCCCCCAAAAGACCCAGATATCAGTACTTCTAGATCCAAATATTCCTATCACAAACACACAGAGGGTGTCCCCTGCCATCCTCTGCATCACTCAAGGCATACAGCCTCACCTCCAAATATTGGCCAACACAAAATGCGTGCATGGATTCCCGGGTGACTTCAAACTCGAAAGCAGCTTCCAAAGCTACCACTGGGTTTTCCCCTGCAAACTGAGCTGAAAGAAAAAGGGAAAAAGCAACAGGAGTTCAATTCAGCTTGCCTGAAGAGCTATAGGAGAAACAGTGAGTAGGAAATAAGTTAGGCGCTTAACTCAAAAGTGAGGGTTACCAGAGTATAATGACCTCCCACTGTCTCCCAGGGTTGCCTGGGCCAACTCAGAACTTGAAATGAGTTCCAAGTATTAAAACAAAAAATGCATAATGAAAGGAAATTCTTCAAATGTGCTGAATTTGTTGATAAGACAGACACCAAAGCCACAGATACATTAAAATATGCGGGGGCTGGCACAAAACTAAAGAAATCATTTATAAGCCAAATACTCTGCTTAAAATGATACAGGCTGTAACTTTTAACCAGGAAATAAGAAGGGTAATCTTACCAAGAATACTATTTCCTGTTAACGACTGTGTCTGGAAGTCCTTTATATCATACACTTTCTCATCAATCACAATCCAGAAGCCTCCATCTTTATTATGGTTCTCCAAATCAGCTTTGCATATAAGTGTCACTTCCTCATTATTTCTACAGTTCTGACCTGTAAAAAAATGACTCTCTGTATACAGAAACCAGAATCAGTCCATTGATCAATCAACAGGTAAAATGAAAAGAACAAACTGTGTGAAAGAACTACAAGCAGAAATAAACAAATCCACAATCACAATGGGAGAAATACATACCTAGCTCTGAAACTAATACCACACATACAAATTCTATTAAATATAGAATGCTTTAAAAAAAATCTAGGCAGCATGAATATCAAATCAGGCCATGCCAGGCCATAGAACAAATCTCAACAGATTTCAAAGAAATAAAGTTACACAGCATGTGTGCTGACTACAATGCAGTTAAATTAGAAATAGGTTTTCAAAAGTTCATTCAAAATAAAATAAAAATGACTCTGTATATACAGAAAATGAAAATATTCATCCACATATTTGAAAATTACAAAATACACTTATAAGTAACCCAAAATTCTAAGAAAAAATGACTATGAAAATTAGAAAATGAGTTCAATTAATAATCAAAATATTGCAGATCAAAATTGGTGACATACAACTAAATGCATGCTTGAGGGCATTTACGCCTTTAAATGTGTATATTAGGGGGAAAAAGCTAAAAAAGAAAAGAAACACCAAATCAATAGAAGTCTATTAGTTCATAAAAATACTCAAAAAAAAAGAAAACCTGAGTGGTGGTCACCTATGCAAGTGCTAGGATACCAACTCAATATTATGAAAAATAGTTAAAGGGAGGTGGCAGTTCAAGAAGTCAAGCTTAGATTATGTCCTTCCTGTACAAATTGTACCTCCTGCTAACCAGACAGCAGAGGGCAAGGTTGGTAGGGGATTTTATAGAGGACACGCAACACATGAATTCCCTGGTCTAGCTTCACAGAACTAAAGCGGGGAGCCACTGAGCATTACAGGCCTCCTGAGCCAACAGAAAGCATGCAGCATGACTCCAGACATAACACCACCCCAACGAGACTGAATTCAAATCCAACCAAACCTCTAGATCTAACCAGCAGATTAATGTAACTAACAGAAGAATATGTTGGTCTAGAATAAGAGAATGCAATCAACCAAGTTCAGAAAATGTGAAGTTCTCCAAAATAACCAACTTGCTTCTTTGAAAAAGAAAATGGTATGATCAGAGACAGGGAGAGGAGGGCCTGGAGCCATGTTGTTTGGGGAAAGAGACTAGAAGCATATGTCAACCAATGCCAATACACAGAACATATTCAGGTCCTAATTCAAAATTACCACCTAAAAAAGGCATTTTTGAGATAGTCCAGGAAAATGTAACATGGACTACATGTTAGATTAAGGAATCACTGTTAATCTTATAGACAGGATAATGATATTGTAGGGTTTTTCTTAAATCCTTATCATTAAGAGGTAAAATGCCTTAAAATGTTTTAAAGACAGAGTTATGCTTTAAAATAATCCAATTGGCCGGGCACAGTGGCTCATGCCTGTAATCCCAGCACTTTTGGAGGCCGAGGCAGGCAGATCACGAAGTCAGGAGATCGAGACCATCCTGGCTAACATGGTGAAACCCCATCTCCTACCACGCCGTATTACCGCATTTAACAGGTATGATGAAGCAACTGAACAGGCTATTTTTCCATTTCCATTGCATTTCAACAGAACCCATTAAAAAGTAGTATAAATGGCCCTTAAATACTAATATATTTTAAAATGCTCAAACTATATCAGGGTCACCATTTTGTGCTTTAGCAGGCAAAATCCCAAAAGCCCACACACAAGGCTGGGAGACCAGCATCCCTATTGGTGGTGAGAGAAATCAAGATGTACAGGAGCGATCTGGTGACAACCAGCCCACACTAGGTGCATCCCCACCTGTGCATGTGCACAGGCACACACGCGTGCACACATGGAGGACACATGTTCCAGGTCAGGCCTTGCAGCACTATTTGTGTTTTTTGTTATTGTTGTTGTTGTTTTTTGAGACAGTTTCACTCTTGTTGCCCAGGCTAAGGTGCAGTGGCGCAATCTCGGCTCACTGCAACATCTGCCTCCCAGGTTCAAGCGATTCTCCTGCCTCAGCCTCCCGAGTAGCTGGGATTACAGGCATGTGCCACCATGCCCCACTAACTTTTGTATTTTTTAGTAGAGACGGGGTTTCTCCAAGTTGGCCAGGCTGATCATCTCAAACTCCAAACCTCAGGTGATCCACCTACCCTGGCCTCCCAAAGTGCTGGGATTACAGGCATGAGCCACCACAACCGACCCTCAGCACTATTTGTGTAGCAACACTGTGGCAATAAGCCCAAGTGTCCACCAATAAGAGACTCACTGAAGAATGATACATAAAAGACATATCTACACACTGAAGACTAAGCTGCTTTATAAAAACAAAGAGCGACACTCTGATAAAGTACTCCAGTATATATGGCTAGTAAAAAAAAAAACAAGCAACACAAGTAATGCAACATGCTACCACTAGCATACTCATTCCAGAGAACAAGGAGGTTACAGAGGAGACTGAAAAGCCAGAGAGAGCAGGTAGGAAAATGGGTGGAAGGGGTGGGCAGGGGAAGTGACAGTGTGTCTCTGCCTAGGTTTGATTTTTGAACCATGTGACTGTATTCCTCTTTTTTTTTTAACGACTGTAAAACAAAATAAACACTCTTCATACTAGAAATAAAATGTTAGAAAAATCTGGATTCAAAACTAGGATTACTGTTATACACTGGCAAAGTTCACTAACATTCCCAAAGGCAGTTTTCTCATTGACATAATGAGATACAACAGCGTGTATGAGGTCCTCAGTGGGCCTGCACCCTACAGGTGCTCCACACATGCAAATCACTACTATTACCATTACTATTACATAACAGATATAATATATAATTATACTGTCACTACTATAACCAGCATTACATACTAAGACAGCCCACGTTCAGAGTATAAAGAAGGCTGTGGAACCCTCTGTAGAAGGTGGGAGGGCCTGGGGCTGTGGGTAAAGGGGAGCTCTCTGGGGCTGTGCCACCTGAACCTGGAACCTGGGCCCCCAGGTTGGGTCCCCAGGCCTGTGCGCCTCAGCTTGCTCATCATTCACTCTCAACACGGATAACACCTTCAACTGCAAACACGTTTAAAAACCACAGGCCAGCTCCCCCTACCAATACCAGAAAAAGCAAGTCTCCACACGGGCCCAGGATGAGAACCTACAAGTGGTACTAGCTACAAAACCCATGGAGAACACGGTTCTTGCACACACACCTTATGAGACGTCGGACAGCTACACGGCAGAGGCATCTACAGGGTGTAGCCAGATCTTCTAAATGGGCCATGACAACAACCGCCGTTTGTTGCAGATCAATGGCAAGCTCGTTGTCTTGTGGAGGGTGAGGTACCTCAGGAAACTCACTGGGGCTCAGAGGGCCAGACAAAAGCTAGAAAGGAAAGGTAAACAAACATTCAGAAATGGTGGGAAAAATTAAAGTAATACAGTTAGCCTTTACCCACTCTTTATATTTTGGTATTGACTCATTTGACCCATCAAATGACAATGTCGATGATACAGTTATACTATACATCTATATATTTATGTAGCATACAAACTGACTGTATAAATGTCTAAATGTGCTGTACACATGTACACAACATTGACTGTGCATGTATACATTTATGACACCACAGGTAAGTTGAATCCACACAGATTACTAACATGACCAAACCACCCTACAGGCCTAGGACCCCTGGAGAAAGGCAGAACCACCTCTGTGGGAACCCAGAACAGCATCTCAAGCTGGCCTTGAAATCTAAAACCAAAACCTTTATTTTAATCTAAACATTGCCCACTCTGGAGAACACCTACTTTCATTTGCAAATTAAATCATAGTTCTAATTCTTCTAAAGGCAGAAGAGCCCTATTATCATTAGTTTAAAGACTAACAAATAATAGAAAAATTAAACCAAAGCATGATATTGAAATGCCTAAGACTTTCCCAAAAAGATGCAAAATTCAACTTGTACTTGACCTGTAAAGACCAGCACTCCTGGAGGTTTACACCCAGGGCCCCACATGCCTGCTCCTCCCCCAGCTCGGCGTCCACACCTGTTAAGGGGGGAGCTGGTACTAAACAGAGTGACAGCTCAGATGACATGCCCTGCACAGAGCCCAGTACATAGGAAGGGCCAACAAAGAAAGCCACTATTTTCGTTGTTCTTTTCTAGTATTGATTTAAAAGTGCGTGTTTCAAGCTTGGTTCTGTGCTGACAAGGAAGTCGGTGCTCACTGATCCAAGTCTTCTCCACAAACAAGTGGCCTCCCACACCTGTCTCATCTGACTCGCTGCTGTTACCACCAAATACACACACGCCAGAGAAAAACACTGCCGTGGACACACACACTGGTCTTGCGTAAAAAATAACTAGACTTGAGTACCACCTAAACACAACGTTCCATCATGACACTCACGTGCATGTTGCCCTCGGAGGGGGGCGTATCCTTACCACAAATGATGCTCTGGAACGTTTGCAGCAAGGGCAAAAGCAAGGTGCTGGTGCCCTGGGCAGAACGCTCATTGTCAGTTTCCTGTGCCCTGCTGTCCCACAGCTGAAGCAACAACAGGATGGCAGACAACATTTGGCTAAAGGAGAAAACACATTTATTCCTAGTAAAAACAGATTAACTTTTTTTTTCATGGTTGATCAAAAATAAAAGCAAACAGCTAGATAGAAGTGAAGCAATACTTGGGATATGAAAGGAAATGAAAGTAAAGCCGTGGTAATTAAATCACTGAATTGACACTAAGATTTTAGCACAAGTCATCGCCTTCTGCTGATAGGAAAGACCAGTTAAGAAGCTCAAAGAGCACATTCACATGGAAGTTCTAGGATCTTAAATTCATGGAATAAAAATAATTAAATGAGGAAAACTGAAAGAAAAAAAAAAAAAAGAACAGTTCCCAGGCTAGAAAACTGAGCATAAAAAAGGAAGTGAAGAAAAGGTAAAGAGAGAGCGAGCTCTGGGACATGGTGCTCTCTGCTGCAGTCAAACACGATTCAGTGAAATGCACACAATGCAACAGGTATTTGGATACAGAGGCGCTTCCCCAAAGCGTTCCCATTCTGCACAAGCCCTCACCTCAGCGTGCCTCTCTGCACAGCCAGCTCCAGCAGGATGGCCAGAGCCAAGTGCTGGTCCTGCAGGGGCATGCTTCTGGCCTTTTGGTGCCTGGCGTTCTGTGAACATCCCTGAAATGAAAACAGTGGATGCAGGAACACAGCGACCTCCAGAAAGACAGTATGCTTACAATCACACTAACATGTTTACTACATGCTCCCTCCCAAGGAAGGATATATTCTTAATATTTAGAACCAAGTTTCTGAGACTTGCTACTCAAATTTTTCAGAGATTTTTAAAGTATACAATTAACTTACAGAAATGTATTTTATTTAAAGTATTCATTCAGATACCGTATTACAGTAGATGACATACTCCAAGTGTGTGAAGCATAAAATATCTCATTATCCAAAACATGAGTAGAAGAATATCTAGCTACCTTTTCCAGTTTCAATGACGTGTAAGCCTATACCAGTATCAACCTTCTCCTACAGAATTAGAGAACCAATTTCTAAAACCACCTGAGGATCTGGAGGCAAAATGTCTATACTAATTTCTATCTCTGATCAAAGATTACCTGGTTGCTTACTCCCATACCCAGCTCTCCAGAATTGACTTGGCCCTATATACAGGTGCAGGAGTTTCATCTTTTTTCTCTTTGTCATCCAGATCTTCTTTCTTTGTTCCACTTGGTTTGACACTATCATCTGCAGAATTAAAATTTTTTTAATCTGTAACCGCTTTTCAGAATGCCATACCATTAGTCAGTCTCTGCAAATGTCCCTCCCTGAAAAGTTACAACACACATCATTAACTGAATGTTTGACAACTCAAAAATAAAATATATCAATCATACCTGTAACAGATCCAGTATAATTTTCATAAACAAACCAATATATCGGCCGGGAGTGGTGGCTTATGCCTGTAATCCCAGCACTCTAAGAGGCCAAGGCCGGTGGATCACGAGGTCAGAAGATGGAGACCATCTTGGCTGACACAGTGAAACCCCGTCTCTACTGAAAATACAAAAAATTGGCCAGGTATGATGGTGGACACCTATAGTTCCAGGTACTCGGGACGCTGAGGCAGGACAATGGCATGAACCCGGGAGGCGGAGCTTGCGGTAAGCCGAGATGGCACCACTGCACTCTAGCCTGGGCAACAGAGCAAGACTCCATCTGAAAAAAAAAAAGAAAAGAAAAGAAAAGAAAAGAAACCAATATATCAAATTATTTAAAGCATGTCTTCCAAAATGATATTTCATTAACTTCCTAGTAGATTTCACAACTGAGAAACTTAGTATTTGATATTTACCTACTTCAATTTCACACGAATTGCTTCCATCCATTGAGTCCCAATGCTTGCGTACCCATGGGAAAAGGGAGGGTGTAGAAAAGGAGTATGATTCAAAAATCTTTTAACCCTTTCCAAGGCCCTACTCCACTGCCAACTGGCAAGCACTGCTATGCAGGGGCGCTGTCACTGATAGCATAATTCAAGAGCACTGGGACACAAAGGAAAAGCTGGGAAAAATGACTTTAGGCCACTGACAATGTAACGTTTCAGTCAAAAACAACTGTCATAAAACTCCTGACATAGTAAGCGAAGAGAAGAGAGAACTAACCTTAACCTTGAAGTGTAAACACGGTCCATCACAGAAGGCTGTGACTAAACGTCTAAACAACATAATTAGAAAAATGTACCTCAATCGGTGAAAGACATGATATCCCATCCAGATTATAAATAATGAGTATCTAAAAATCCCTAAGGAAACAGTTCCTCTGTTTACAACACTTCTGACGCCAAATGTATGGACTTTTGCACCAAGCAATTCTCCAGTTCTTTGCGACACCCAGCTATGTGTCCCACAATGCAATTCAATTCTGAAACTAACTACCTAGAATTAGCACAGACCCCACAGGTTAATAACAGGAGAGAAAAGGTACAATGCTGGAAAAAAAATCTAAAGAACTAATAGCTGAAAACTTCCTAGGTTCAGCAAATGACAGAAACCTAGGCAGATTGAAGAATCTGTGCAAAGCCCAAACAAGATAAATCCAAAGGAAGCCATGATGAGGCACATCATAATCAACTGCTAAACACTAAGGACAAAACCTTTTGAAAAGTGCCACAGAAAGTAGATACAGAGGAATGTCTTGTGTGGCCTGAAATTAAGACTAAATATTATGTGCTGCCTTGACGTCAGTAAAATCAAGAAGGCCTCAAATAGCCTAACCACAAGGTCTCCTCCAAGCTCTGCTCCCACGGATAAGATCCCAGAGCCAAACAACCCTCCTTATCGCGGAGACCCGACCCCAGCCTGCTCATCCCTGCTGGTCCAGAGTTATTCCAACAAGCCAATCACATCTTCCCACGGAAGCAAGGTCATTTCACCCTCTTCTTACTACAAAATGTGCCTCCCACAGCCCCTCGTGGTTCACTCTGTTCCCAAGTGCAGCCCCCGTGTGACATGCGGTGTCCCCCACCCCCAGGGCTGTGAGCATGCGTGACTAATAAACTGCTATTTCATCTGTCCAGTGTTGGTGTCTTATGTTCAGCCATCCCATATCCCTAAGGCAGGAATCTTTTAGGATTATAAACAGAACTTTAATCAACCTCTCCTTGGTTATTTTACTGGTTCCATGATACAGCTTTTTCTGTGCAAAAGATCTGAACAGAAACTTCACAAAGGATACAAGAGTGGCAAAGAAGAACATGATATTCAGCATTGTTAGCCATTATGGAAATGCAAATTTAAACCACAATGAGATCCCACTAGACGTGTTAGAATGGCTCAACTAAAAAACACTGATAACACCAAGTGCTAACAAAGACACAGAGCAACAGAAACGTGACAGATTACCAGCAGGAATGCAAACTAAAACAGCCACTTCGGAAAACAGTTCAGCACATGACCCAATTTTCACACTACTAGGTCTTTATCCTAGGGAAATGGAAACTATATTCACACAAAATCTGTACAGAAATGCTCACAGCAGGATTACAATTGTGAAAGAAAAACGGAAACAACCACAAGGTCCTACAATAGCAGAATGGATAAACACAATGTGGTACATCCAAATGATGAAACACCATTCATCAATAAAAAGAACTATTAATACACAGAACAACAATATATCTCAAACATATAACTAGGAGTAAATGAAGATGGTTTCAAAACGTTACTTAAAATATGGTTCCACTCACATGACATTCTCAAAAAGAATACCCTATACTGATGGAGAACAGATCAGTGGTTGCCAGGGTATGAGGCCAGGGGATATGTGATAAAAAGCAGCACCTTAAGGGAGCTTTTGGGGTGATGAAACTTCTCCATCCTGATGATGGCGGGGGTTAAATGAATCTATAGGGTCAAAATTTACTGAACTAGATACCACAATAAAATAAATTTCATGTAAGTTTTTTAATAAAAAAAAAGTTGGCTGGGTGCGGTGGCTCACACCTATAATCCCAGCATTTTGGGAGGCCGAGGCGAGCAGATCACAAGGTCAGGATTTCGAGACCAGCCTGGCCAACATGGTGAAACACCGTCTCTACTAAAAATGCAAAAATTAGCCAGGTGTGGTGGCATGCACCTGTAATCCCAGCTACTTGGGAGCCTGAGGCAGGAGAATTGCTTAAACCTGGAAGGCGGAGGTTGCAGTGAGCCAAGATCGCCACTGCACTCCAGCCTGGACCGCCAAGTAAAACGTCATCTCAAAAACAAAAAACAAACAAACAAACAAAAAAACAAAGAAAATATCTAGGTCCAGGTAGGACAGTTGGAATACAGTCCAGTGGAATCATGTCAGAGCAGGGAGCTGGGTCTGGAAGGCTGGAGCAGGGCGTGGCCCCACTCTAGGAAGGAACTAGGAAACGCATCCTGGGTGAAGCAAGAGCAGAGTCCCGTTCTGCAACAGATGAGCCTTTATCCTGATCTGAGAAACTATATGCAAATTTAATACATCTCACTTAGCCTCTTATTTTCCTTAACAACATGGAAAATGAGAGAACAAACAATTCAGAAGGTTAAGACATGAAATACATTTCATTCAGAAATCATACACAGAAAGGTAGGAAATAAATGGGGGAAAATAGCAGCTAATGAAAAGTGAAAATGGGCCAGGGCAGTGGCTCACACCTACAATCCCAGCACGCTGGGAGGCTGAGGCGGGCGGATCACTTGAGGTCAGGAGTTTCAGACAAGCTTGGCCAACATGGTGAAACTCCAACTCTACTAAAAATACAAAAATTGGCCCAGCATGGTGGCAGCCACCTGTAATCCCAGCAGCTTGAGAGGCTGAGGCAGGAGAATTGCTTGAACCCAGGAGGCAAAGGTTGCAGTGAGCCAAGATAATGCCACAGTACTCCAGCCTGGGCAACAGAGCAAGACCCTGTCTCAGAAAATAAAATAAAATATTCATAGTCTTAATAATGGAAAATAAAAACATTTACTGAATGCCAAAAAATCTCCCTAAAAACCCCAATCAGTTGGGATCTACATAAAGAACAATTATGCTCTGCTTTCTAACCACAATTTTTAAAAGAACAAAGGACAAAAATATCCATCAAACGTGGGCCGGGTGCGGAGGCTCACGCCTATAATCCTAACACTTTGGGAGGCCGTGGCAGGTGGATCATGAGGTCAGGAGTTCAAGACCAGCCTGGCCAATATGGCGAAACTCCGTCTCTACTAAAAATACAAAAATTAGCTGGGCGTGGTGGAGGGTGCATGTAATCCTAGCTACTCAGGAGGCTAAGGCAGAGAACTGCTTGAACCCGGGAGGCGGAGGTTGCAGTGAGCCAAGATCATGCCACTGCACTCCAGCCTGAGCAACACAGCAAGGCTCCCTCTTGAGAGGAAAAAGAAGCAAACAACAAATTCATCAAATGTAATAAATAAAACATATACTTTGGATTTTTCCATGTGCTTAGCTTTTCTTAGAGCATCTTTTAGAATTATTGTTTCACAAAAAAACACTTTGGGAAATGTTTTAATTTATTAACAAATACTAGGGCTAGGAAGAGAGCTTAAAACTTTTTAAAATATACAGAATGAATTACAGATACGTGAAAGAAAAAAAAAAAAAAAGATTGCTGACTCCTGTCATGGAAGGCCCTATCATATGGACATTCTTAGCCTCAGCATCCGGAGGTCCAGAAAGGGACAATTTCGAGTCAGAGAGAATTCTATATATACCATTTATTTGGAACCTTCAGCCCTTAAGATTCCAACATCATGACCTCAGTTTCAACACAATTGTCCTTAGACCTTGTATTGCATACAAATACAAAACAAACACCTCGACTGAACTAACTCTTGTCTCTCCAAAAACACAAACACAAGACCTCATAAAATGAGTGCGTTTCTATTGGCCATAATTACTGCAACTTACTTCTCCAACTTTCCCCTGCACAGTTAACTAAACAGCTCAAAAACTATCAGTAACAAATAACAGTCACCATCATATGGTTAGGAGTGTGGCAGATTTCTTAACCAGTAATAAAAAAATAGGAAAAAATTTTTGCCTATTC
Source organism: Homo sapiens (assembly GCF_000001405.40). Lineage (NCBI taxonomy): Eukaryota > Metazoa > Chordata > Mammalia > Primates > Hominidae > Homo > Homo sapiens. The sequence continues at coordinate 33,127,749 of NC_000016.10, forward strand.
ATAGATCTCAAGTTTCGTGCACTTGCAAGAAACTAATTAAAAGGCAGCCGTGCACGATCTACAAAAACAGCCATAAAGACTGTTACATTTTAAGTTACAGGAAACAAACCTGCTCCTCTACTATAGCAAGAAACAACTGACTTCCCCTTACATACCCTAAAAAAAAAAAGACTTACACGAGAAATTTAAACATGGAAGCAGAAATACACCAAGAAAGAGACATGTCAAACCCCACCTGTATATCTGTTTTCAACCATTTGGAGTCAAGGCGAGCCTGGGCAGCCAAACACAAATATTCAGAGGGCATCTTTTCTCCAGCTTCCTCCCAGTTCTCAGGCCTGCAAGTAAACATACATGTTGAAGACCTAACGCTTTTTAATATTTTACAAAGACACTCCCGAAAAGTTTAATGCAGAAAAAAAAGAACAGAAAGATGGGAGAGAAGAGCTCGGGGAAGGGAATGAAGAGGAAAGAGAGATAGAGGGAAGAGATGGAGGGAGAGGGAGGTGGGGAAGGGAAAGCCTCCTTCCTAGATAGGCAAGGTATGCCGGGTTTCTGCACCACGCTGGCGAGACCTTGAGAATGGACTGTCACAGGAGGCCAAATCACAATGTCATACCCCTGCCCTCAAATCCAAAAGGTACACACACACATGACAGGAAGCCCATCATTTTTTGTTTTGTTTTGTTTGAGATGGAGTCTCCCTCTGTCGCCCAGGCTGGAGTGCAGTGGCGGGATCTCAGTTCACTGCAAGCTCCGCCTCCCGGGTTCATGCCATTCTCCTGCCTCAGCCTCCCGAGTAGCCTGGAGTACCAGCGCCCGCCACCAGCCCGACTAATTTTTTTTTTTGTATTTTCAGTAGAGACGGGGTTTCACCATGTTAGCCAGGATGATCTCGATCTCCTGACTTCATGATCCTCCCGCCTCGGCCTCCCAAAGTGCTGGAATTACAGGCTTGAGCCACCGCGCCCTGCCAGGAAGCCCATCGTTTGAACGACAAATGACAGCAGCGTGAATCTGCCGCTTTACCCAACAGCAGGGCGCCTGCATGAAACAAATTACTCAAAAGGCTCACCTGCAGAAAAACCCACAGCCACCACCACTTAGAGATAGAGAGAGGCAGGGGGCTGCGCCGCGGGCGGTCCGCGCAGCAACCCCCCCCCCCCGCCCCCCCACCCCTTGTGCCTCCCGCCAACCCCGCACCGCCTCCGACGCCGGACGCCCCGGTGCCCCAGGCCAGGACCTGAGGCGCAGGGCCCGGCCTCCTCGCCCCGCAGGCGTGCGCACACAGCCTCCCAGCAGCCGCTGGCTCAGCCGGCGCCCGCGATCCCGACGCCTCTCGCTACCCGAGGGGCGTGCCCGCGCGGGACTGCCGCCCCCTCCACCGACCCGCGCTTACCGCCAATCGCAAGGCGGCTCTGCGGGCGCAGCCAATGGGGAAGAGGAGCCCTTCCCTGCTCCTCCTGACTCTCCCGCTTCCCGCAATCCCGTTTATCTTCCTACTTGGAGCTCACCCACTGCAGCCAGGGCCAACCGCCGGCGCCGGAAGGCGGGATTTCCGCGGCACGCACGCACGCCCGCACTCCCACGGGAGTCAGTTTCTCACCAGCTGAATTATTTGAATTTAGCACCACTAAAAGTGGAGCAATCAGGTACGGAGTGCCTCCAGAGCTGATGTAGCAGAAATCACTGACACCATCTTTTTTTTTTTTTTTTTTTTTTGAGACAGTCTCATTGCGTCGCGGAGGCTGGACTGCAGTGGCATGATATCAGCTCACTGCAACCTCCACCTCCCGGGTTTAGGTGCCTCAGCTTTCCGAGTAGCTGGGATTACAGGCATCTGCCACCCACCCGGCTAATTTTTGTATTTTCAGTAGGAACGGAGTTTCATCACAAACTGCTGACCTCTGGTGATCCGCCCGCCTCAGCCTACCAAAGTTCTGGGATTACAGGTGTGAGCCGCCGTGCCCGGCCTATTTCAGATATTTTAAATATTAAAAAGTAGAACCTGGCCAGGTGTGGCTCACACCTGTAGTCCCAGCACTTTGGGAGGCTGAAGTGGGAGGATCGTTTGAGCCTAGGAGTTCAAGACCAGCCTGGACAACATAACAATACCCTGTCTGTTCAAAAAATAAAATTAGCCAGGTGAGGTGGCACGTGCCTGTGGTCCCAGCTACTCGGGAAGCTGAGGCAGGAGAATTGCTTGAACCCACGAGGTGGAGGTTGCAGTGAACCAAGATCGTGCTACTGCACTCCAGCCTGGGAGACAGAGCCAGACTCCGTCTCAAAATAATAATAATAATAATAAGCTTGGGCGGTGGAGGGCTCCCCCAGGCATTGGCCACCTGTGGAGTGACCTGGCTTTTGGCTCCCTGGCAGCCAACTTCTGGGTCGGGCATCTTCGTTGGTGACTGCCCCTTCAGCTCTCCTGGTGTGGCTGTGAGTGGTATGGCACTGCTGTGACCCATCATCTTGTCTTAAAGAGGCATCCTGACATCTCCACACTTGCACACTGAAGAACGCAACATCATGATTAACTTTTTAAAGGAATATTACAAAAATCACAGCATCCGAAAATTTTTTGGTCATTGCAATGATCTTGATCAGGCAATGAGAAAATAAATCCTTGAAGAATGAGTACATGGAAAAGAGGACCAAGAGCAGAGACTATGGCAATTTGATGCAAGAGACTTTTTTTTTTTTTTTTTTGAGACGGAGTCTTGCTCTGTCACCAGAGCAAGTGCAGTGGCTCAATCTTGGCTTATTGCAACCTCCGCCTCCTGGGTTCAAGCAATTCTTCTGCCTCAGCCTCCCACATAGCTGGGACTACAGGTGTGTGCCACCATACCCAGCTAATTTTTGTATTTTTAGTAGAGACAGGATTTCACCGTGTTGGCTATGGCCAGGATGGTCTCGATCTCCTGACCTTGTGATCTGCCCACCTCAGCCTCCCAAAGTGCTGAGATTACAGGTGTGAGCCACCGTGTCCAGCCGCAAAAGAGACTTTTTAATTCTCCAGAGGAATCTGAAAAATAAATTGTATTTTCACTGGATGCCTTGGCTGAGAGAAGACTGAAAGACTATGGGTTGGCCCGGGCACGGTAGCTCACGTCTGTAATCCCAGCACTCTGGGAGGCCGAGGCGGGTGGATCACCTGAGGTCAGGAGTTCGAGACCAGCCTGACCAATATGGTGAAACGCTGTCTTTACCAAAAATACAAAAATTAGCCAGGCATGGTGGCGTGGGCCTGTAATCCCAGCTACTCGGGAGGCTGAAGCAGGACAATCTCTTGAACCCGGGAGGCAGAGGTTGCAGTAAGCCAAGATGGCGCCACTGCACTCCAGCCTGGGCCACAGAGCGAGACTCTGTCTCAAAAAAAAAAAAAAAAAAAAAAGACTGGGTTGATACCTGAGAGAATCCTGTCTTATTTGCTCTCCAGAATCCTTGTAATGAAAAGTGACCCATGAGAAATTGAACCATGGAGAAATATGAACATTTCTGGATTCTGAATATTTGTTGGGCAGTCTTTAGTATCATTTTTCCTCCACCAACAAACCTGACTTCACCCTGTTTCTTCTCTTTGCCTACTACCAGTTATCTCAGTAACTTATCTCCCTGAATAAAGGAATATGATAAGTTAAAATAAAATAATTTATTTTAAAAACTTGTTTAAATAGGCCGGGCACGGTGGCTCACACCTATAATCCCAGCACTTTGGGAGGCCGAGGTGGGCGAATCACGAGGTCAGGCGATTGAGACCATCCTGGCTAATATGGTGAAACCCTCTCCACTAAACATACAAAATTAACCGGGCCTGGTGTCGGGTGCCTGTAATCCCAGCTACTTAGGAAGCTGAGGCAGGGGAATCACTTGAACCCGGTAGGGGGAGGTTGCAGTGAACCAAGATCGGGCCACTGCACCACTGCCCTCAAGCCTGGGCGACAGAGCGAGACTCCATCACACACACACACACACACACACATACACACACACACACACACACTGTTTATAAATAAATTAATAATTTATTTTTAAAAATTAATAGACTGAATCTGTAGGCTTTGTAATATCTAGTTTATCTACTCCAATACCTCTTGGAGGCATACTTCCTTTACTTGATTTCTGAATTGGGGATCCTATCACTGCAAACAAACAATAGAAAATAAAGAAATAAAGGCCAGGTGTGGTGGCTCACACCGGCAATCCTAGCAATTTGGGAGGCCAACGCTGGCAGATCACCAGAGGTCAGGGGATTGAGACCAGCTGGGCCAACATGGTGAAACCCCATCTCTACTAAAAATACAAAAATTAGCCAGGCATGGTGGCACATGCCTCTACTCCCAGCTACTCCGGAGGCTGAGGCAGAAGAATCGCTTGAACCCAGGAGGCAGACATTACAGTGAGCTGAGATTGTGCCACTGCATTCCAGCCTGGGTGACAGAGTGAGATGAGAGAAAGACAGACAGACAGAGACGGGGTTTCACCGTGTTAGCCAGGATGGTGTCGATCTCCTGACCTCATGATCCGCCTGCCTCGGCCTCCCAAAGTCCTGGGATTACAGGTGTGAGCCACCGCGCTCAGCCAGGTATGTGATCTTGAGCAAGTTTCTAAGCCTCTTTGTGCCCCAATGTCCATTTCTTACAATAGGGATAATAATAGTAACCTTTAAGTGAGTCATTACGCATAGAGTTTAATTAGAAGAGCTCTTGACATACAGCAAATACTAAAAACATTCAGTAGCATCCACAGTAGAAAACGCAGGGCCGGGCGCGGTGGCACACGCCTGTAATCCTAGCACTTTGGGAGGCCGAGACGGGCGGATCATGAGGTCAGGAGATCGAGACCATCCTGGCTAACGCGGCGAAACCCCGTCCCTACTAAAAATACAAAAAAAAAAAAAAAAAAAAAAAAAAAATTAGCCGGGCGTGGTGGACGGTGCCTGTAGTCCCAGCTACTCGGGAGGCTGAAGCAGGAGAATGGCTTGAACCCGGGAAGCGGAGCTTACAGTGAGCGGAGATAGCGCCACTGCACTCCAGCCTGGGTGACAGAGCGAGACTTCGTCTCAAAAAAAAAAAAGAAAAAAAGAAAACGCAGAGTACATAGCACATGGTAGATACTGACACTGCGCTGAGTCTCTTACAAACATCGTCTCATTTTACTCTCACAAAACCCCAGGAGTTTGGTATCTTTATTCTAATTTTAAAGACGAGAAACTGAGGCTTGAAAATATTAGGGATATGTCCAAGGTCACGGCGGAGCTTGCAATGAGCCAAGATCACGCCACTGCACTCCAGCCTGGGCAACAAACAGAACAAGACTCCGTCTCAAAATAAATAAAAATAAATAAATAAATAAATAAATAAAAAAGATGTATTTGGATGGTTAATGCATTTTTAATGTATAATCATCTACTGTAGTTAAAAGATGATCAAATGTGCTGATTCACTCAGTGTGTTTCAAATGCAGGACTTAAGGAACAATATGCCATAAGCCACCAACTTATTGTTTTCTTTTAAATTATATATCTAACACGCATACATACACACACACACACACACATATATACAAAATGTTAATAATGATGAAAATTTTGAGCATCATGAAGAATAGTATATATGTAATATATGTTTTTTCACAAGAGTTTTCCAACTTCTGTACTTTTTTTTTTAGTAGAATACATTAGATACTACAAAAGAAATGAAAACAAAATGATGTGGAATAGCATGTAAACAATAGAAGGAAGTTTTTGAAGACTGTTACAACACAGCTTCCCTAGCTAATAATACCTGAGAAAACCTGCACATGTGGCATATATGTGTCGCTACCTTTTAGCATATATAATGGGTTTATTAATATTTCTTCATAGCATTGATGGGATGAATATATAAAATAGTATCTATAAATACCTAGACCTTTGCTGGGTGTATAGTAAATATTGTGTTAAAATAGAACTCTTCCATCTTTCTGCAGAAATACTCTATGCAGTGATTACTTCTGGCTGTGATACATAAAAACAGGAAAATCTCAATAGAGAAAAAATATGTATTGATGATACATAATCTGGATTTTTCCAAAGTACAAAAACTATGAATTGGGTTGCAAGGATTTCATGTTAAGACAACAGTAAGAATAAAGACATGGAGTAGAAGATACACACGTTGAGTAGGTTTAACAGGCCTGAGCAAAAGATGCATATAATGAAACGTCACAAGAACAGACTAGAAATTCCTCTAAGCCTGTTGCGAGAGCCAAAGAAAATACATCTGTATTTGACTGTTGATAATGAGGAATTTCTGAAAGGTTGACCTATAGAAGTTCTGAAAAAATGCTTCTAAACAAACCAGATTCCTTTGTCAAACAGATAAGGGAAATTATGGATATGTAATGCCACTTTAGAAATTTCAAATGCACATTAACAAAGCAACAGCAAAAAGCAAACCCCATTTAACATTGTTTAACCTAGATTTTATGAACTTATTTACCAAGGAAACTCTCCCATCTGTATTTCCCTACTTGTAATACTTATTAAGAATCACTATTTTGGTGTCGTTGGAATTTACTTAGAGAAATGCGGTCTAACCTCTGCTTTAAGAAGACAACTCTGGCAGAACTATCAATTGGAAAAAGAGAGTTTAGATGCTAGGAGGCCATTATAATAGCTCACTTGAGAGCTAATCTGTGCATGACTCTGATGGGAGAAAATAAAACTGAGAAAAAGGCATGCATTGGAGGCAACAATCCTTGGAATGTGATTGACTGTAGAGAATAATGAATGTGGAAGACCCAGAACAGACTTTAAAATGTTAAGCCCAAATGACTGTCTGACAGGTGGTATCTGTAACAAAAATTGGAAACTCTGAAGGAAGAACAAGATTCTGAGGAAACGACTAATTTTTTAATGTGTTGAGCTTGAGGGCCTGCTTTGGAACTAACAGGCAGCTGAAGATTTCATTTCATGTCAAAGAAACTTAATTTAAAATCCATCAAGTACTAAACTCAGAGCTAAATGTGAAGGACTGAAATACCAACTTGCCCACCATGTTAGGTTTATGAGAGCTCAATGCAGAAATGCCTCTGAAGTGGGAAAATCTATAATTTCTCCGAAGAAGCACTGTCTGTGCTCTGGAGGTCAGAAACTTTCTAGACTCATGTCTTCATTAGGGCAGATCGAGAAGCCTTTTAGAAATTAAATTTTGGACATGCCCATGTGTCCTCTGAGCCTGTCCTTTCTGTCAGAAGTCACGCAGAGACCCAAATGTCAAAAAGGGACACACTCTTTTGTTGATGCACAAGATTGTGGCATTCCAATCTCTTTCTGAAAATACATTATTGGATTCTTTGCAGCCAAATTCTTAAGAAAAGTTTGGTATTGGAGACTAATATTCCATGAAGAATTACCTGAAGCATGAGGAAATCATCCCTTTAGATCAGTGGATTTTTTGCTTTAATTTTTAAATTGACACATCATTGTACATATTTATAGGGTATAGGGTGATATTTTGATTAGATCAGTGTTTTATATAGCATGTTATGTAAAGCTTCTGAGAAGAGTCAGGGAGCATCTTAGAAAGCAAAATGGAGTCTGTAAACAGACATGTAATGAATACTAAGACATGTAATGAATCTTCATGCCCTCCCAGATATTTCAGAGACATCCAGTTATGTTGGGATCACGTGGAAAGATCTAAGAGACTCTGAGGTGAAGTGCCATGAATCACTCTGGGGCTGAGGCAGTAAAAAGCCCCTGCCTCCTTCCCAGGTTCTCTCCTTTTCCACTTCCAGTACTTTGAAGGTTACGTGCAATGTGTGTCATAGGTTAATGATAGAGGAGTTTATTCTGACTGACATTGAACTTTATGGGAGCAACCCACAAACTTTGGTGTGGTTGAGCCACTGAGAATTCAAGCTTAGTATCTTCTTGTTGCTGTTGCTGTTTACCAACACTGTGGTATTTCTACAGGGCTCAAGCGGGCAGAGAAATTCCATGTGAACAAGAATGTCTCATGTTGGGCTTCTGTATAAATTGTGCTGTTGAAAAATGTTAAGCAGATAAAAATTTTAGAAATTCATTGCTCCACACTGTATCGATACTATTTTTGTCTCAGTCGAAGCCATCCTAAAGTTATATATACTTAGATCATATAATCTTCAATAGAATTGTTTTTACCAAGTTGCTTTTTGATGTTATAGATGAGCCTTAAGTAATTCACAACTGAATTCATACACAAATGTTATTGAGTCTATTTCCCACCATGTTAGAGAGGTTTATGAGAGCTCAATGCAGAAATGCCTCTGAAGTGGGAAAATCTATAGTTTCTCCAAAGAAACTATTATAGTTGTAACAGAAAGAATGATGGAAAATAATAAGATAGAAAATCGTATGAAGGAGTACAGAAGATGGGGCACTATTGAAGGGATTATTTAACAGCAATAAGGATGAAAATGTGTCATTGAAATTCTTTAGGTTCCACATAGAAATTGCACCAGTTTATCCCGGCAGACATATTGTTTAGAAGTTTTTAAGAAAAGAAATTTTTGAATCATGGTTTTACACTGTTTTAGGTCATGGGAACTAGTAAACATGTTTCACTCTGCAGACTATTAGTCAACATTTAGATCATGCTTTTCAATAAAGAATGTCAAATTGTGAGAGGAGAATCGATAGATCTAATTGTTACAGTCACTCAACTGACATGTTGACGGGCCTGGAAAATTTCTCACATGAATAATGGGTGAAGAGTCAAAGAATGATTCTTTTGGGGAAAAGAAGACCTGCCAGGGTTTTGGAAAGGGTATGTGTATGCATTTAGTATTGTTTAGTGTGGTAGCTCTATGGTCCTGACTGTCACATATTTATTGGGCTGCCATGTGTTAGGTGGAAACACAAAGCTGTCATTTTTTTGTAGGACAGAAAAGGCTGAATACTGACAATTTCATATGGTTCCACCTAATAGAATAGGAAACACAGGTATCTCTGAATTGTTTATCTAAGGTAGAATTTGGGGAAGAACTTAGAACTTATAAAAATTAAATTTTAGACTAAAATATATAGATATATCTAGAGTTGTTCAAAAATGAAAATAGAGCTGAAATATCAAGTGCTATAATGGAGTTCACATAAGAATTCCATGCTTTATATTTGAGGTTGGATATGTGCTTTTTCTTTATCCCTTTCATTTATATGGATCTAATCTTCTATAATGTTTAAAACATTTTGATTGAGATGTTCTTTGGCATTCTTTTTTCTCTTGATTTAAAGATCTGCTTTACAACCAAACAGTAAGATTAAACAAAACAAAACAATGCCCATGGCTTCATGATCACTCTACCCATTTAGAAAGGCCTTGTGCATGGCCTATTATGGTCATCTTGAAATTCTTTGTAATTTTTTATCAAAGGGTTCTACATTTTCACTTTTTACTGGGCCCTGAAAATTATGCACCCAGTCCTCAATCCGTGGTCTTCTTAAATTTGCATGCAGATTAGAATTATAAAGGTACATTAATTCTAGGCCGTCAAAGCCTAGCTTATAACTTTCAAATTACATTTGGGAATTGTTCTTATATAACAGCATTTATTGCTCCAAAGATCATTATGTAATAACTACTAAATAATCTATATGATTGTACATTTGGGAAACCATGAAAACTTTCTAAAAGAGCTCTGCTGTTTTATGTAACAATCATGAAATATTTCCAAATGCATAAATATAAACAATTACAATAGAAAATCTGAGAGACAAAAAAAGCTATGATAGTATACCAATGCAATTTCTTGAAAACAGATACACATGAAACAAAGAATAAAGGAACAGCAGGAAAATGTGCCACTATTGTGGTTACAGCTTTGAGGCAACACATTAAAATGCCAACCAGACACAGGTGGCAACAGATGTATCTACCACCAAAAAAAAAAAGTTAAATCAAGTGAAAAATTTCAAATGAAGTAACTGTTCAATGAAAAGGAAAAAGAATAAAAACCACATCTGCTTACATGGCAATGAAACATGAAAGATTCTGCTAAACATTTATGTTGAAAATTAAGATGGAGGTAATTATGCACACTCATCCAAAAATAGAAAACAAGGAATTAGTGGACCAATGCCAATGTTAATTTTGAAAACCTCAAGAAGAAGAAAATTAAGATATGGTTGATAGGTTCTCTACAATATAGCAAGAAAACTCTGCCCAAATTCTAAAGGATACAAAGTCTACTCAATTTAAAAACAAATGGCACGTTTCTGTTTCTTAAAAGACATACGCATAATCTGTGAGTGCATTTTCTACTTTAGAGACCATTTGAATTAAAATCCTTAAGTTCTTATGAATGTTTTCAAAATATGTACAGTAAATGAATAAAGCCCACAGTTATTTAAGGATAACATTTAAAATTATTTACTAAATCTTTAATATTAAAATAATAGTACATGCCATCCAGTCATAATCAAAAAAGCCAAGGTGATTATGGAGTATTGAGGCTGAAAAGAGCAAGATCTAAACCAACCTATTCTGGACTTCACTGTCAAGGAAAAAAATTGAGAGGAAAATTTTCAGAAAATACTTATACTTGTGAGATTGGTGATGAGAAACAATCTGTGAAATATTGCCATTTCTCTGGAGTAAAAATTTTAAATGATTGGTTATCACGATGTCCCTTTCTCTTCACACTCAACATCTTTCTGATTTGCTCCTCACATCTCAGGCATGCTGAGGCTATAATGTCTTTCCGTCTACCTTAGGTTTACTATTTTAAAATTGATTTTTGATGTTGTTGTGAACATGAATTTTGTATTAATACAGGAGGATGGGGTGTGTATTTCTGAAAGTCCAGAGTTGTAGGGGCAAAGAAGAGATTTCTGGAGTTCCCCTGCGTGCCTGCTTACAGAGGTTTCCTTCCTGATATTGTCAACTTCTACAATTCTTGCTCTGGCTCCATTTTAAAGCCCTGAGCAGTTAAGTGTCTTTTCCCGACCCTCATTTATACTACCATGAGGCTCCTTTGTAACATGAAATGTACAATGTGACCAATTGTTGGCTGCCCAAACAAACATACGTTAGGACTTTTCACTCTGGCCTCCTATACTGAAACATCATTCACATTTAGTAAAGGAAGGGGCACTCTGTTAAACTCACCACATTCTTTACTTTATGGAGTCAGATAGAGATATTCCACTAAGTCCTTTTGCTTGATCCCATAGAGACCATCCTAGGAAAACTGAATTAATATGAAAGCAGGTAGAGTGAATATTCATTAAAGTCATTTACAACAACATCCAATAGTGTCTCCAAGTGGAACAGATATTTAGAGACCATTTGGCAGGAGATAGGATGGGGAAAGAGAGTGGCTGATGCATGCTGAGAAGTAGGAGGAACAATCCAGCTTTTAAAATATTGTTCTTGTTAAGAGTCTGTTTATCAGGTTAAACACAGTCAAGTGGTCAGTTGGGTCTAATAATTCAGTAACTGAGAACAGATGGAGAATACATGGATATGTGTCTGTGTGTACACTCACATGCAAAACCAGTTGCCCTGACTTTATCTTACTTACATCAATCTATTTACTGATTTTGATAGGAAGAGTATGTATTTTAGATACCTCAAGAGTATCTCCTGAAATACTTCCATATTCTTGCCTTTTGAAGAATCTTTTTAAAGGAAGAAAAATAATTATTAGCAAAGAATTCACATTCCCAATGGCTCCATTTTCATCTCCTTAATCAGGTGTTAAAATTCATGGCTTGGGAAAAGTGGGATGTTTACAAGGCCTATCTATACCATTTATCTATACCATTAGTTTTAATAGCCTGTTCACTTGAACAATTTCTAAGTATGTGGTAAAAGAAACTAAACTAAAATAATAATGCATTATATTTGAAAACATCAGTATCCTGTACACAAAACTTCCATAAGTAGTTCTTCCTAGATTGAAACTAGAACTAATCCATTTCCAAAATCATCTATATTTTTCTGAAGACAAAAAAAATGTTGCTACAGATAATTGCCATAGGCTGCAAATATTCTGATTCATCCAGTATTTCTCTCTTGTTGCATGTTGTATAGATAAATATAATGCATCAATATTAGGATAGCATATATTTTGTTAAATGTTAATGCAGAATTCTAAATTTTCTAGCATTCACAGAAAAGCAAGCTACTGATAGTAAGTAGTATTTAAAGAGAAATCTTATCTACTACAATGAATTGAGAAATCCAGGATATTAAGACCACAAAAATGATTGTTTAGATGATTTAATTATAGCACAACAGGCTTTTCTGCTGATAATGTTATAATTATGTTTTAATAACCCAATCTCAACAAACATAGCTAGAGTACAAATGATGAGCACAAAAATCCATCTCATCTGTAGCTCAGACTAGTATTTCAAATGTAATTTCTCTATTAGTAATTTAGTCTGATTTTTATAATTCATTAGAATAAATCAATAACTGACTTAGAAATCACTTCTGTGATTTTTTTTCCACAGAAACATTAACAATACCACAAGCATTAAAATGTTGAGAAATATTTGTATATGATGATGTCAGTGGATGTTCCTTTCCTCAGCTAATAAATTCTAGTATAAAGTTTTCAGATCTGTACACAAAAATGGATCATAAAAATATAATCATGGTAGAAACTAGCAATTTTATGAATGTGGAGAAAGAGTTCAAATAGTACTTTTGTACTGTACTGTGTCCATGCAAAGCTTCATTCAATCAAACAAAAACAATACTGAATTTATTATGTTAAAATATTTAAGGACACTCTGGTAGATGAGATCATTTTCCTGCATTTGTTCACACTCTCTCCTATCTCCATCTCTAAGGGACAGATATAATTCCCCACTCCTTGACTTTGATCCTTGCTGTGTGATTTTGCTTAAGCCAAAGGGGTATCTTAGAGGATTTCAGGCAACAGAAGCCTGGCATGTTTTTGCACAGGCAGGTTGCACTCCTGACTTTTGCCATAACAATAACATGCTTCAAGTACCCGGGAGGGCTGAGGAGAATCACAAATACGTAGAACAGATCTGGACACCAGCTGCAGCTTCAAGCCAATGCTAGCCAAGCCCAGCCTAGATCAGCTGAACTGCGTCTGACCAGAGGTGCATGAACAAGGAAGGCAACGCGGTGGACCTGGGCCAGATGAGCAGCTTCTACATTGGCCTGTGTTCCCGCCTCCACTGCAACATTTTCTCCTACCACTACTCTGGCTACGGTGCCAGCTCGGGCAGGCCCTCCGAGACGAACCTCTACGCCGACATCAACGCCGCCTGGCAGGCCCTGCGCACCAGGTGAGGGCGACCCCGGGCGCAGCTCAGCCTGGGCACACCCGAGAGGGGACCAGGCCGGGGGCCAGGGGCCGGGGGGAGGGGCGGGCTTCCCTGGGAGGAAGGTGGGCGGCCCTGCAGGAGAGGAGCCACAGTGGACGCATGCTGCCAGAGAGCCGGACAGGTGAGCTCAGGCATGCGGGTGCTGCCTCCACATGGCTGAGGTGTGGCCAGGAGGTCCCCCCACACCCTGGCCTGTGGAGCCAGGCTCCCTGGGATCCCCTGGCCTGAGGACAGGAAGGGGCTGAGCTTGTCACAGGGGCGTGGACACCACCTGGCGGGAGGGGGTGGGTGGTGTCAGGGGGTCTGTGCATGTGTGGCTGGGAGCCCACGGGCTGAGGCCGCACTTGGGGCCAGGTGAGGCGAGGCTGCTGCATCGAGGTCCCAAGGCCTGGCCCATGAGGCCCCGTGGCTGTGGAGCTCAGCCATCCCGGGGCAGGGCCTGCAGGGTCAGGTGCAGACCCCCAGCACACACCTGAGGTCTCGGCCAGCTTCGATTCCAGATCCAGCCCTCCTAATCATCCAGGTCCCCAGCCCTGCGCTTGCCTGGGCCCTTCACTGGTGTTTGAGCACCACCCGGGCCAGTGCTGCTCTGGACTAGAAGACCCGCGTGGGCCTCTGGGGGCCTTTCCTGCTCACCACCCGCTGGGGCTGTCTCGTCCTGGCCCTGCCCTGCCCAGCCCAGTGGTCTGACCCGCTCCTGCAGGGGCCAGGCGCAGCTCTGAGAAGTCAGAGGCCCTGGGAGGTGGGGTCCTCGTTGCCTTGGAGATATCCCAGGCAGTCCCTGCTGTGGGCGTGGGAGCTGGGTCCCCTGGCACCACCCTGGCTCTGGGGGCCTCCCGGCAGTGTGGGGCGCCGAAACCAAGCACCACTTCATGCAGCTTCCTGGACCCCCTCCTGTCTCTACTGCCCGGGGCACTGGCAGAGTCACACCCCCCATGGCCAGCTCTGAGCTCTGTCTACTCTGCCGTCTGTCCTGCTGTCGCTTTGTCCTGCAGGATCCTCAGCCCAGAGCCGTGAGGGGGAGGCCAGATAGCGCTCAGGGCCTCTATGGAGGATGTGTCTTGTTTGATTGTCTGAGTGGTGACATCTAGGTGGCAGCTGGGGGCTCCTGCCTGGAGCAGGTGACAGGGCTGGGCTGGCTCAGCACACTACTGGCCTTGGCTGCCAGGGAGCAGGCCAGGGAGGCTGAGGCAGAGCTGCAGCCACAGGCACAAGCCAGGCAGCATCCTTTGGGGCATGGGTGAGCAGTGAGCTGTGGAGTGCTGCCAGGAGGCTGGGATTCCAGGCCAGGGAGGGAGACAGCCCTGCTGGTGGAGTCCGAATGCCAGCCAGACGGGACGCACACCTGCCCATGCTCCTGCCTTGCAGGAGGGCATCTGCCTGGCATCAGAGCCTGGAGCTTGTGGGAGGAGAGTTCTGGGGTCTCGGCATCGACAGGGTGGCAGGTGGGTCCCGCGTGGTTGGGACTGGGCATGAGGAGGCCTTGGGACTGGTGCTGGGTCAGCTGGGCCAGGGGCCGCACACCAGTGACCTGGGAGTGGGGGTGGCCCTGGGTGGGAGCTGGTGGTGCTGAGGTGGCGGAGGACTTGTCCACTCCCAAGGGAAGGCACTGGTGGGAGGAGATGCTGCCCCCGCAGCCACCACCCTCGATGTTGACCTGGGTTGGGCTGGCAGCTCATTGGGCATGGGACTCTGAGAGTCCAAAATTGGGTGGAGACATCTGGGGACACAGCTGCCTGAATTCCTCATGGCCAAGGGGGTAGGCAAGGGCTGCAGGGAGGAAGAGTGTACCCTGTCCCGGCCAGTGCACCAGGAAGAGCTTTCTAACCTGGGCAGGAAGGCGTGAAGCATTCAGGATGTGGGAGGCCACACAGTTCCCAGTGTGCGCCTAGGGGTGACCAAGAGGAGGAGAGGTGCCAGGGCTTCCCCTACCCTAGCCCGAGGGGGACTCCCTAGCCAGGATCCAGCAGATCCTGGCTAGGAAACGCCAGTGAACCATAGTGGCAGGGAACAGGACCAGGCCGCCGGCTTCGCCCACCGCTGCGGTGTTGGGGGGCTTGGGGGTGGCCCTTGAGACTGGTGTGGAGCCTGGGCCTGACCAACTGACTTGGCTGAGCGGGGAGACTGGAGAGTCGCATCCGGAGCTGGGCCCGGGGACGCCCGCTGGCAGGAGGGGTGCGCGCGCGTTGGAGGCCTAGGCTGACCCTGCTCAGGTGCCGCCAGGTACCGCATCAGCCCGGACGGCATCATCCTGTACCGGCAGAGCATCGGCACGGTGCCCACCGTGGACCTGGCCTCGCGCTACGAGTCCGCCACGGTGGTGCTGCACTCGCCGCTCACCTTGGACCTGAGCGTCGCCTTCCGGACACCAAGACCTACTGCTTCGATGCCTTCCCCAAGTGAGCAGGCTGGGGCGGGGACGGGGGCGGGGGCGGAGCGGGGCGGGGCCCGGGCCGGGCGAGGTCTCACCCGCCCCACGCCCCTCCCGCAGAATCCAGAAGGTGTCCAAGATCACGCCGCCCGTGCTCATCATCCAGGACACGAAAGACGAGGTGATGGACTTCTCGCACGGGCTGGCGCTCTCCCAGCGCTGCCCCAACGCCGTGGAGCCGCTGTGGGTGGAGGGCGCCGGGCACAAAGACATCCAGCTCTACAGCCAGTACCTGGAGCGCCTGCCCGCTTCATCTCCCAGGAGCTGCGCAGCCAGAGCGCCTAGCGGCCGCCAGGGCCCCAACCGGCCGGACCTCAGCAATAAGGCAGCCCCCGGACCTCACCCCGCGCCGGCCCCCCCAGGGACTGCATGTGGACCCCCGGGCGGCCCGGGGGACCCCGCCCCAACCCAGGGGCCGTGGACGATGTAAAGGCAACAGAGCTACGCACTCCTTTCCTTTTGGAAGCAAGAAGAAAAATCGTGAAAACGGAAATTAAAGATTTAAATTTTTTTTTAAAAAAACACAATGTTTATTAATATACTCCAAAGTTTTTCTTTTTTTTTTTTTGAGACGGAGTCTCACTCTGTCTCCCAGGCCGGAGTGCAGTGGCGCGATCTCAGCTTACTGCAACCTCCGCCTGCCAGGTTCAAGCGATTCTCCTGCCTCAGCCTCCCGAGTAGCTGGGACTACAGGCGCGTGCCAGCATGCCCAGCTAATTTTTTGTATTTTTAGTAGTTACGGGGTCTCACCGTGTTAGCCAGGATGGTCTCAATCTCCCAACCTCGTGATCCGCCCGCCTCGGCCTCCCAAAGTGCTGGGATTACAGGCGTGAGCCACCATGCCCGGGCGTTTTGCATAGATTTTTTAATGCAGAATCATGGTGGCAATGGCTAATGGCTACCAAGGTGCCATCGTTCAACAATCCTGTTATTCAGTCATCACATCTACTAAGTGTAAGCCATAATATCTTCTAAAATGAATTATAACTATTTTCTAATTGAAATAAATGGTATCACAATATTTCACTAAGTAATCTCTGCTAGTTTAGTCTCTATTTCATCTCCACGGAATGCCTTCTGAGTTCCTATAATTGTGACTAATTCTCTGAGACGACATCAGAAATATCAGTATAAACTATGAAACCTACAAAGGGGATTCCTCTTTTTCCTTTTTATTATAGAGATGCTTTTCTGTTTGTTTTCTGCACGCAAGTATGGTCTTAATCAATTTTGTATGCCCGTACCTAGGAGAGCCCCTGATTCATAATAAGACCTCAATAAGATTTGTTGAATAAAGTGAAAATATTATTTTTAGCTTTCCCTCACCATTTTCTTCAAAACAGACTAGTTCATAACTGAAATAGGCATTGTTTCTAGAAAACAGTCACTCCAACTGATCCCCTCATTTAATCATTTTTGTACTCCCTGAATCTATCATAATACCTGGCACATAGTGGGTAAGTAATCAATATTTGTTCACTGAACTAATGGAAGCATGAGTGAATGAAACAATACAGGCATTTTAAAAGTATAATTCAAGAGTGAAAGCATATTACTTGTCATTAGAGTGATTTTAAACAGCTAAGTATATGATAATTAGGAAGATTTACTTTCCTGCTTCATTTAAATTTTAAATATAGTGATCGAGGTAATTATGATTTTCATTCATTTATTCAATAAATGAATGTTTAATATTTTTTATCTCACATGATAGATTGATACTGGTCAAAGACATTACAATGATATTATACATAAAGATTTGTTTTAAATTTACAATATCTTGAAATTTTTCTCTTGTTAATCTACAAAGTATATTTATAGGTTAGGAAATATACTTTTTAAAATGTCAGATAATGATATTTTTATTTTCTATTTTATATTATTATTATTTTTGATACAAGGTCTCACTGTGTCACCCACACTGGAATGCAGTGGCATAATCATGGCTCACCACAACCTTAACCTCCCAGACCCAGGTGATCCTCCTACCTCAGCCTCCTGAGTTGCTAGGACTACAGGTGCCCGCCACCTTGCCCGGCTAACTTTTTACTTTTTTTTTTTTTTTTTTGGTAGAGATGAGTTTTCACCATGTTGCCCAGGCTGGTCTTGAACTCCTGCGCTCAAGCAAAACGGCAGCCTTGGCCACCCAAAGTGTTAGGATTACAGGCATGAGCCACCACTGTGGGGCAGATAATGATAGTTTTTCAAGAATCGGTAAAACATTGTCCTTCAATGAATTAGTGCAGAAGCATGAAAAACATCTATTATGAGCAAATCTGTGAAACAGATGTTGAAATTAGTATTCTAATAAGGCTTTTGTGCTTTTTGATGATACAAAATAATTTTGCTATGACAATACAGTTACTTAAATGAGAAGTATGAATAACTTGCTTTGATATGTTTGTGGTATGTTTCACTTATTTTTTGAGAAGGGTAATTATTAAATTTAAACTATATATGTAAAGAGTGCACATCAAATATTTTAAAACCCTGAAGAGTTAGGTCTTCATTTCAAGAATTGTTAAGTGTCTTAAGAACATGTTTATTTTCTAGAAATGTTGAGCCTCTTCTTGGGTAATGTGATTCTTTTAAAAATTTTGGAAGGATTTCTTATTACATTAAAAATGAATGTATACAATAGGAAGTTACTAGGATAAAGTGAATTTAGCAGCTATCTTGCTTTGTTATATGTCTTATAAATTAAAATTACATTTTCATAATTAAAAGCCAAGCTCATTTGCTTTGATAAGACTAAGAGGAAAGGAGTATTAAATGAAGTTAAATTAGATTTTACCGTCTTTTTAATAAGTTTCAGGCCTGGTTTGATAATATATTCCCAGATGCATAATTTAAAAATGATCTTTTGGCCGGGTGCCGTGGCTCAAGCCTGTAATCCCAGCACTTTGGGAGGCCGAGGCGGGTGGATCACGAGGTCAGGAGATCGAAACCATCCTGGTTAACATGGCGAAACCCCATCTCTACTAAAAATACAAAAAATTAGCTGGGTGTGGTGGTGGGCGCTTGTAATCCCAGCTACTCGGGAGGCTGCGGCAGGAGAATGGCGTGAACCCGGGAGGCGGAGCTTGCAGTGAGCCGAGATCACGCCACTGCACTCCAGCCTGGGCGACAGAGCGAGATTCTGTCTCAAAAATAAATAAATAAATAAATACATAAACACATAAATATGAATTTAGTGAGAGCTGGTTATAGTTTGGAACCTCATTTGTGAAATAAACCATATTTCAAAATATTTTAAGCAGAAATACATTTAAGTTTTAGCCTATAAATTACCAGAATTTATCCTAGTCACCTAAATAAAAAATATAAAAGTTCTACATTTTAACGTCCTTTCAACATTTTATGACCAGAAAACCCAGCAGATAAACAGCTCAGGTCTTAATGGGAAATGATAACATAAGATCAGAGGCATCCACATAAATAAATTTGTATCCAACACAAAACAATTACATACGCTTTAATCAAAAAGAAATTACCAATGGCCAACCCCAATCCCACTACTTTCAAAAAAAAGTCCTCAAGCTTTCCTTTCCAGTTGAATGTACACTGATGGAAATGGTTGTTTTATGCAGACAATTGATGTTTTTAAATGAAATGTCTAATAGGGAAGTCAGTGCATTACACTACCCATTCGAGAAAGCAGCCTTCCATTGAATTTACTCAGACAAACTAATTGCTGAATTAGATGACCATGGAAAGTTATTGAGGGCATATCCAGCGCTTCCTTCTGAACCAAAACTAAATCAGTTTTGGTCAGTACTGCATTTCTATTCAAAATCAAGAACTGTTCGTCCCTCTGGAATATTAGTATCATAAGCCTGGGGAGGTGACAATGTCATGTAATGGAGTTGTGGGGAAAGGAGTCAGAGTGTTGTGGCAATTCCCCGACCAAGGGAAAGAGTCTGTAGAAGTTCATAGAATCAGCTGACGTGCTATGGTCAAAGAATTCGGAATTAGCAATTGACCAATCAATTATGATTAACTCATTCTGTATGACTATCATAGGCTATTAAAAATAGGAAAGGGTGTTTCTAAAGTGTGTTTCATAACAAGTGATTTAATGATAAAAGCTTGGACAGTTTTCAGAATACAAAAATTCCGAGATACTAATATCTTTAAAAACTCCTGTCATTGTGTGTGTGTGTGTGTGTGTGTGTGTGTGTGTAAACACTACCTGTGTAATCATCTATTGAGATTTAAATTAGAACTTTTCTCAGTGTATCACAGTTCTAAAGGTACTATTTATTATATTGGTATCCTAGGAACAGAGTGAAAAAAGGCAAAGAGGTAATTTAGCACAGTCTTTTTCTACTAAAATCAGAGTGTCTCTCATCTCTGCCTGAATCCACTACATTGTGATTACTGAAATACATATTATAGAATATCTACTTATTTTGTGGATTTAGGCAATGATTATGATTATTGCTTTTCTCACATCTAATTTATATTATACATGAAGACATTTTGTAAAGAAGTTTTGGTCTCTATAAAAATGAATGCTTAATAGAAACGTAATATTATTTTATGTTATTTGAATTGTTAGGTTTAAGAAAATAAAATGTTTTTTAAATCTATTACTTTTAACGACACTGTAACATTTATTGGTTTTGCAATAAAATAAATCCAGAAAATTGCTGTGATATTACTTTTTATGTTTCTTATTGAAAGTAGGTCAATTAATTTCTAAGCAATGGGGCAATATAATTGTCAACTAACAGTGCTCAAGCAGTTAGGATTTTAACTGCTGACATTATTTTCTTTGAAAAATGATAGATGTCATTTAGTGTTTAAAGATAAATTGCTGCATAACTGTGACTTTTTTGCTGATAACTTTGCCGTAAGCAAACATAATATGACCAAGAAATTTCAAAGTAAGTTTGCTAGGTGAGCAAATCTAAATTAAAAAGGGTCTCATATTTCCTCAATCAGATATACTAAGATCAACCAAATGTTGTTTTCAATCTATAATATTAAAGGGCAATTGAGTCTGACTCAAACATCTGGAAACGTTAATGTTAACACTTAGGAATATGTCTCCCCATAGGAAAATCTTCACTGGCCATGGGCTATACCACATTTATCACAGGTGATTTTCAAAGGGACAAATATTGCCTATTTCACAAACAGGTCTGGAATGCAGGAAACTGCCAGAAATTAAGTGAGAGTTTGCACAATGGCTGACCCAGAGGAAGATGTCAGAGTCACAGATGGAAAAGGGAGGTTCATGACTCCCCTCTGTTGCCAAGGTTCCCATTCTCAATTCAGAAGGATTTGCAGAGGGGGTGAAGGAATATTGAAGTTTCTGAGATATTCCTTATGGACCAAGCTATAATCCAGTTATCTATTTACATCAGATCTCAGCTTTTTTTTTTTTTTTTTGTGGAGGGTGCGGGAGGGGATGTGTGCAGAACATACATATAGGGCTTGTCCTAAAGGATGAAATAAAATTGTGTATGCTATGACCTCTCTAGGAAGCCTCTAAACTTTTCTTATAAATTGTCTTCTAACTAAAATATTTCTTTTGGTCATCCTTGGAGTACTCCCAGGTGACACACAGCTCAGGCTAACATTTCTACAGGACTGCTGCCTTGATCTCTAGAGAGTCCAGTGGTGTTCCATACCAATATGTCTGAGAGTCACTGCCAAGCTTCCACCCACAACCTTAACACACAGAGAAAGCTGACACTTTCTGTTATCTATAATTTTCCTTGAGAAAAACGTGGCAATATGTATCAAAATACAATTATTAGTTTCAATATGTAGAATGCATTACAAGAAAAAAAAAGATGCCAAAAACATTTTATGTCTGCTGATATTCCTATTAGTCTTTATTATCATGAAAATCTGGTCACAAGCTAAATATCCAACTTTAGGTGACTGGATGAAGTAAAACTGTAATCTTTCCATATGATAGAAAAATATGCCAGCACTGACAACCAGATAGCAGGATATTTAATGCCATGGTAAAATATTTGTTTTGTGTGGTCAGGTGAGCAGTTCAGATCATAAAATCAAACGTGCCCTACGGTCTTATTTTTTTAAGTAAAGTATTGATGTATTTATATGTATAATTAAGTATAGAAAAAAGCCTAGATGGCTTCTCTTATAAGTCTTTTCATTGTTTTATAAATGTATCAATATTTATTTTTCACTTTTTCCATCAGATTTCCTAGAATAATAAAATTCAATTCCCTCTGATGAGCATTCATTATTCTTTTATTTTTTGAGACGGAGTCTCACTCTATCTCCTGCAGCTAGAGTGCAGTGGCCTGATCTCAGCTCACTGCAGCCTCCGCCTCCTGGGTCATTATTCTTACAGTAAGAAAAAATGAATGTTACTAAGTATCTTCTCTGTCCTAGATCAACTAAGTATATACAAGGTGCCAAATACAATTAATAAAATGTTTTATCCATTCATAGGTTTTTGCAGTACAATTTTTTTTTATGATTCCATTGTCTTATAGTCTCCACTAATAATTTTGGTGTGAATTTATACTGTAAAGGAAAGGTGACAGCCTTATACAATCTCAGAGCTTAAGTACTATCCACATGCTAGTGCTTACAAACATACACTTTCAGTTGTGTGGTCTCCCTGAGTTCTGCACATCCCTCTTGGGTATCTAATAAGCATCTCACAGTTAACAACACCACTGATTTCTAATCAATCCCAGGGACCCTCCGCCAGGCCTGCTCCTCTCTCAGAGTTCCTTTTCTCACTTAGTGACACTATCATCCCACCAAACCTCGCTATCATCTTTCTTCTGTCTCCCAAATTTCCAATCCATTAACAAATCCCAATAACCCTGCTTCCAATATTTGTCTAAATCTATGCACTTCTCAGCTTATCCACTTTTATTATTCTAGTTCCAATTATGTGGTCTTCTGTCTGTATTACTTTCTTTTTTCATTCTTTCATGCAGGGACCATTTTTCATAGTGAAATCCTCATAAAACATAGATTAAATTGTATCAGCTTCTGCTTACAGTTTTTATTTATTTATTAAATTTGTGATGTATTTGTATTTATTTATTTATTTTGAGACAGAGTCTTGCTCTGTCACCCAGGCTGGAGTGCAGTGGCGCGATCTTGGCTCACTGCAAGCTCTGACTCCTGGGTTCAAGCGATTCTTCTTCCTCAGCCTCCCGAGTAGCTGGGATTACAGGCATGTGCCACCAAGCTCGGCTAATTTTTGTATTTTTAGTAGAGACGAGGTTTCACCATGTTGGCCAGGCTGGTCTCAAACCCCTGACTTCAGGTGATCTGCCCACCTCAGCCTCCCAAAGTGCGGAGAGTACAGGCATGAGCCACTGCGCCCAGCTAGCTCTGCTTACAGTTTTTAAATGACTTCTTAGTCTACTTAGGAGAAAATATAAACTCTTTACCAGAGCCTACTGGACTTCCCAAAACATGATGTATGTTTATCTCTTCCCTTTAGCTCACTTGGTTTTAGCCGACTGACCTTCTGTTCTCTGAGTAAAACAAACTTATTCCTGCAACGGGGCCTTTACGCCTACTTTGCCTTCTGCCCCAGAAACAGTTCTCACAGGTTTTCCCATGACTCTTTTCTTCTCCTTATTCAACATCACCCCAAACATCTCCCCCTGAGTGGCCTTCGCCAGGACATTCTTCTTAAATATCTTTCCTTACCTCATCCTGTTTGGTTTTGTTTATAACAGGTGTCAGCTACAATACTGGTTTTGTTTGTTTATTTACTTTTTCTTACAATGGAAAGCCCATGAGAGCAGGGTTGTGTCTGCTTTATTCACAACTTTAACCTCAGTGCCAGTACAGAACCAGGACCGTACTAGAAACTCAATGAACATTTGTTGAGTATTTTGAATGAATTAATTATTAAAACATTAAAAAGTGCCATTTTCCAAGTAAAAATCTTTTTCTACTTCCTTAATGACTCTAATTGCAGACAATTCTAGGTAGAAATGAGGTTCATATTAATGGCAGGCCGAGAAAGGCATTTTTGGGTGAGTCTATGCAGGCAATTTTTGCTTTTATGGCTGATTTCCTTCCGTATACTTCAATACAGGTATGTCCCTATTGAGAGAGATGGCATTTTTCATAGTATAAAGGTGGACAGTGAACTTAATATTATAATAAAAAATAAAGTAAATTTTATACAAACACTAAGAAGTGATCATCTAAATCTACAGTTTAGAATCTGAAACCTATTCCTATGTTGACATCTTCCATGGCCCTACTCCTAAATTAATAAATTCTGACTTACAGAAGGCTATTTTCTGAATCCTTTCGTAGCTGACATTGTGGTGGGTGCTGTTACCCATTCCTTGATACTGACAGTACAATGGCCATCCCTGCCAGGGCACGCGTACATTATCAGTAGTCAAAAGTTTGGCAAAGTAGGCCGGGCATGGTGGCTCACGCCTGTAATCCCAGCATTTTGGGGAAGGCCGAGGCAGGTGGATCACCTGAGGTCGGGAGCTCGAGACCAGCCTGAGCAATGTGGAGAAACCCCGTCTCTACTAAAAATACAAAAAAAAAAAATTAGCCAGGCCGTGGTGGCACACGCCTGTAATCCCAGCTGCTCTGTAGGCTGAGGCAGGAGAATCGCTTGAATCCAGGAGGCAGAGGTTGCAGTGAGCCGAGATCGCGCCATTGCACTCCAGCATGGGCAACAAGAGCGAAACTCCATCTCAAAAAAAAAAAAAAAAAAGGCAAAGTAAAACACTTCTCTTCATCTCCAGGAGAACAGTTTATGAAAGAGCATACTCTTACACATTAAAGGTGAATGTTTCAGTGACACCTGTGCAAGATAGGACTTTCTGCTCTCCTCTATAAAAATCTAAATTTCTATCATATAATTCTAGCAGACCTTAAAAGGATAGACCTCAAAGGCAGCGTTGCATTTGATATTCTCTTGCAACCCCAGAATGAAACTTAAGCATGAATAATTGGAGATCTGCACACTTCCATAAAGAAGAAAGAATGGGACTCAAGTTCACACAGAAACTAAAAAAGAAAGGCAGGATGACTTCCCTCTGCCACCTTGAAAAGGCTTTGAAACCTACAAAACAAGAAATGGGGAGGGGAGTTGCTGAATGGGTAATAAATATGTGAACCCTCCTCCTAAGGGTTTTTATAATCCTTTCTATCTTGGGTATCTACGTGTTCCTCTGTGAATGTGTTTACTTCTAACTGCACTTCTTATGGAACAGCTCCATCCTTATTATCCACAACAGGGTTTCTGTTCTGCTTTCATCTTGTATATATCTTAGAAAAACAACCTGAACAGATGTCCAGTTAATATGTATATTTATGTATTTATAAATTATATGTATGTGCTATTGCACTAGTATATTACATATTTTATATACCTTACTACAACCAAAGAAATATAAAAGAATGAGATGGAATACATATATACTTAAGGTCTAGGTTTTCTTCCTCCACCCTCTGTGGAATGCTTACCCCACTTAAGAAACCCCTAAGATTTCACCGTGCCCTCACAGTGAGATTGTACTCACTCCTCAATGAGAGGAGCTGATTAATGTTAAAGCTCTTTTGGTTTTGTTATCAATTATGCACTTGAATTTTCAAATAATCTAGCTGTACATATTATACTACAGTGGACGATACTATGAGGTACCAACTGGACCAGCTCAGCAGAGGCTGGGAGGTTTGACTCATCAGTAGTCATGACACCACTTCTCTCTTAGACTTTTCCAGTAGAATTTATTTTTGGTTTTGACAGCAAGGGTGACAGCTCTGTTCTCTATAGGTATCTATGGTAGAATAAGCATTATTACCTCGCAGAAGGGAGAAGTCTATGGTATTTGACACCAACCCCCAAGTCCTTCTTACACATCCTCTCCTTGAGATATAGGGACTCTTGTGAAAAATGGAAACCCAGGAACTGGCTCTGCATAAATTTAAGCTTCGTCTTGGCAGGACAATTATGAGAAGCCTACCACTGACTCTGAAATATGTTGTATGCAATAAAAACTCTGTACTATTTAGGTGTTGTTTCTGACCCACGATACTAGAAATAAGCATCAACTACCCATACAAAGTTTTGCTTAGGAAAAATGAAAGTATATTCAAATATAAATTTTTATAAAATGACCATTAACTAAAAAGAAAAGCCTTCCTTTCCCCAAACATCAATAGATGCAGAGTGGAGGATAATATTTACAACATGCAACATAATGTTTGGTTCTAATTAATAGACTATTTCAATGAAATATTATTTTGATAAATATGTTCATGCTTCATTTGCCATGTATTAAAAACAGCAATACACATTCACTTGATGAAAAATATTATTGAAGATAAGACAGAAGTATTTCATAAACAACCATTAGGTAGATTATAAGATAACATACGAAAGGTGATATTGTAAATCAATATTAGAAACACATATTCTTCATCTATGACCTAACTTGTATTGAAATGCTGCAAAAACCTTAGAGCAACATTCAGAGAATTACCTGAAAGATAACTCTGGCATCTTCCATGGCCTTACATGTGTTTTCTTTAATGGTCACAGTGATTCCCATGTTCAAAGTTATTCACTGAGGACAACGCATGTCCTGAGATTCTCATCATTGAAAGGCCGAGGCTGAGGCTTGCTTTTCACATATACAGATTGTCCAACATTAAATTACCGCTGCATATTGACTGCATACAAAAATCATTAAACTAAATCTTTCCAAAAGTCCTGATGCAAATAATGTGCTACAATATTTTAGGTAGGATTATCTGATAGGATTAACAAATTTATCAAGTATAACAGAAAGTAACCACTTATTATTTATTATTGGCTATACCAAAAAATATAGGATCAGGACTTACCTGAATAACATGCTTCAGTTTATCAATAATCTGATTTATCACAGGATCAGTTCCTTTGACTTTGACTTCAGGAGTTCCAGACTGGGCTTTGATTCCATTTCCAACCACACGCTGAGTATAACTAGCAAAGGGAAATGTGAAAGATATATGACTTAGTACCTGATCAGAGTATTATCTGCCACAGCTATCTGAACATAGTTGAGGTCAGAATTTCCTCCTTTAGAGAATACACCAATGTATTTTTTTCTTGGAACAGAAACTGGCACAGCTATAATGTTTTTCCAGGTAAAATGCTAGAATGTTTATCGTGCCATTAGATCATTCTAAAAATAATGTTATTCTCTCAATGGACCCAACCAAAAATTACTTGTTTTTTAATACTACTTAACAATATGCTACAAAGAGTTAACATATATCTCACTTTGTTACCAGTTCTTGCTGAAGTATCCGTATGTCTGTACCCCTATGGTCTGGGTCAGCTTATTTTAGGCAGTCCCAATCTTATGTTTTAAATATTAGGCTACTATATATGTGTGTGTGTGTATTTATATAGAATACATATATAGACTATATATAGAATTATATATAGAATATATAGAGAGAATATGTAGAGAATACATAGAGAATATATAGAGAGAAGACATAGAAAATATATATAGAATATATAGAGAATAAATATATAGAATATATAGAGAATATATATATATATAGAATATATATAGAGAATATATAGGATACACATAGAGAGAATATATATATAGGATATATAGAGTATATATATATATGGAATATATATATACACACACATTATATATATTTCCTAATTAAGTCCTTCAAGAAATAAGTGATTAAACTTTTTAATAATGATAGTATCAATTGGACATGATAAAAAATAATATTATTAATAAACTCTTTGATTTTTAAAATAACCTTGAGCCCATTTTTTGTAGGCATAGAGGGGCTTAGAGATAAGAATTTCAGTATCCATCAGGGATTTGGCAGTATACACCAATAACAAATAGTAGAAGGAAAACAGTTATATCTATTTTGTTAATGTGTAATAATATTCTTTATTTTAGAAAAATAAAATTATACATAGTATAACCATATGCAATATATAATATGTAAACATATATATAACTGTACAAGTCAATATCATAAACTATAACTGTACAAATTAAAATCATCACATTTATAAGCAACTAAAATACGCAAAGTATTTCCTAAGTAGAGGAAACAATCCGCTTTCACCTAGGTTCACCTAAACAAAGATCTGGTAAATCATGTGGTATGTAAAAGGGTCATTTCACAGGTGGTGAAAGCCATTTGAAATTTCACTACCTTCCCCAAATTACAATCATATGTCAACTTAGAATTAATAAAAATATTTAAATTCATTAGTCACAAAGATGTCTTAAGTGCATGCTATATTCCAAGTCCTGTACGAGGTCTTTAGGATTATAAGAAGGTGTAAGACTCAATTTTTGTCCTCATAATGCTTATTACTTAACCAAGAATATAATATATTAATTAACTCATTCATTTGTATGTTTATTCATTACATTTTATTACACTTAAAAAATACCATAGTTTTCAGCCATGCGAATACCCTTGTTTGCCTGACAGAATAGTGAAATATAAACACAACTGAACCGTTAAAATACAACATTATGAAAGTAGCTGGAAGGAACTGCACGTGCCAAGTGTGAGGAAAAATAAGACAAGTAGTAGATATTCTGGATATAGAGAAGTCCATTTGGACTCAGACACTAGGGAAAAACTAAAGGAGAAGTTATAACTTGAGGTAGCCTTGGATGTATTGAGGTAAGAAGAGGACATCTATGGTATGGTTAATGAGAACTTCAGGGCAAACGATGTCATCCTAGCAAGGAAAACGGCAAAGGTACGTGAACAAGGCAGACAGGGAGAACGGACCTCTATTTACAAAGCAGAGAGTACAAACGGTGGAAAGCAATGGATAGAGGGCCACATCCTGAAGATTCCACCGTGAATGTTGAAGACTCTCCACTGAGTGGTATAATGGGCTCTGGAGATTCGTAAGGGGGAAGTTGGCAGGCGGGTGAGGGATTAAAAAAGCTACATGTTTGGTACAATGTACACTACTCAGGTGACAGGTGCAATAAAATCTCAGACTTCACCACTATACAAATTATCCACGTTACTTAAACCACTTGTGTTCCAAAAGCTATTGAAATAAGACATTTAAAAAGTTAAAACAAAACACTATCATCTGAGTAATTTGTTTGCTTACATTAAATATCATAATACTTTTCAGCAAAAAAATATTTTAATGTAACTTTCATTCCCTATATTTGAGCAGAGTACTGCACTATCCATAAACACCCTCTGAATTTTCTACAGTAATGGAAAAAATCTTTGAAAAACATAAAAGAAGGTTCTATGTTTGAGAATATGGCTATATGAAAGGGGTTTCAAGAAATATCCAGTTCTTCCCAAGACGATGTACTTCCAGTGACCAGTTTTAAGAAGTGGAACAGGCCGGCAGCCGTGGCTCACGCCCGTAATCCCAGCACTTTGGGAGGCCGAGACGGGCAGGTCACGAGGTCAGGAGATCGAGACCATCCTGGCTAACATGGTGAAACCCCATCTCTACTAAAAATACAAAAACTTAGCCGGGCGTGGTGGCAGGCGCCTGTAGTCCCAGCTACTCGGGAGGCTGAGACAGGAGAATGGTGTGAACCCAGGAGGCGGAGCTTGCAGTGAGCCGAGATCGCGTCACTGCACTCCAGCCTGGGTGACAGAGTGAGACTCTGTCTCAAAAGAAAAAAAGTGGATTGAACATTTCCTAACTAGGTCCTTCAAGTAATAATAAGTGATTAAACTTTTTGATAATCATAATATCAATTGGACATGATAAAAATAATATTAATAAATCTTTCGATTTAAAAAATAACTTTGAACCCACTTCTTTTTGTAGGCATGGGGGGAGCTTAGAGTTAACTATTCCAGTTTCCGTTAGGGATTTGGCAGTATACATCAATAACAAATAGTAGAAGGAAAATAATTATACCTGTGTCTCATATATATATATATATATATATATATATATATATATGTGTATATATATATATATATATATAGAGAGAGAGAGAGAGAGAGAGAGAGAGAAACCGTTTCTTAAATTATCTGTAGCACTGCTATGTTATTCTTTACTCTCCCAATACCCCAAGTAGATTGCATATGTGGCTCTTTTATTAATGTGTTGAATATTCATAATGATAATGAATAATATGAATAAATAAATCGATAAGTGCATAACTATGATTTAGGCATTGCTTTACTCTATCTGGAGATTTCCATTCATAATAAACATCTTTTAGTGACCGTGAGTAAGAAACTCATAGAACTTCATTAGAGAAATGCAAATCTAAACCACAATGAGATACCATCTCACTCCAGTTAGAATGACAATCCTTAAAAAGTCAGGGAACAACAGATGCTGGAGAGGTTGTGGTAAAATAGGAATGCTTTTACACTGCTGGTGAGAGTGTAAATTAGTTCAACCATTGTATGGAAGACAGTGTGGCAATTCCTCAAGGATCTAGAACTAGAAATAGCATTTGACCCAGCAATCCCATTACTGGGCATATACCCAAAGGATTATAAATCATTCTACACATTCTCACGTATGTTTATTGTGGCACTATTCACAATAGCAAAGACTTGGAACCAACCCAAATGCCCATCAGTGATAGACTGGACTAAGAAAATGTGGCACATATACAACATGCAATACTATGCAGCCATAAAAAGGATGAGTTCATGTCCTTTGCAGGGACATGGATGAAGCTGGAAACCATCATTTTCAGCAAACTATCACAAGATCAGAAAATTAAAGTCTGCATGTTCTCACTCATAATTGGGAGTTGAACAATGAGAACACATGGACACAGGGAGGGGATCATCACACACTGGGGCCTGTGGGGGGTGGGGGGTGGGGGGTAGGGGAGGGATAACATTAGGAGAAATACCTAATGTAGGTGTCGGGTTGATGGGTGCAGCAAACCACCATGGCACGTGTATACCTATGTAACAAAACTGCAAGTTCTGCACATGTAACCCAGAGCTTAAAGAATAATTTAAATAAATAAATAATAAATAAATAAATAAACTCATAGACCTCAAAGTATGGGAAGCCTAACTGCCTACGGCCACTTGCTGCTTCACTCTAAAATCTGTTTCTGCATCTGCCCCTCAGTCAATGACTGAGGGCCACAAGGTGGCTAATGCACATCCCTCTTTAGGAGACACAGGGCTTCTCTGAGGACCAGTCTTGGCTCAGGATTCCTGAAGCCTTTTCGTACCCTTCCTTAGACTGCACATTACGCTCCAATGCTTCCACTCAACCTTCCTTTCCTCTTTCCTTCATTCTAGGTCAGACTTGCCTCATAGTTGAGAGCTCTTCCAGGCTTACTCAGCTTCCTCTCCATTTTCTCTCACAGGGATTTCCCTTAATAAAATCCTCTTGTGTATAACTCGTTTTCAACATCTACCTCTTGGAGGACCTGGACTAACCCACCATATAATATCTGTATTATAATTACTTCCATTCTACAGGTTGAGAATCTGGGATCTGGAGAAGTTAAGTAACATAAGTTACTCAAGTAAGGCCACACAGTGTATATAAAGTGTGCTGCAAGGAGTTAAACCCAGGGAAAGCGCACTCCAAAATAGAACCATCAATAAGTGTCAATCCTGAAACCAACTAATAAAAGGTAAAGATACAATTAGCTTGGTGCAAAAATGTTATTTTTTTCTCTAATTACATTTTCTAAGGCTTCACTGGTTGTAGTTAAGAAGGGATGAATGATTTTCATCAAAACTCTCCTCAACAAGCTGGGTTTGGTGGCATGCACCTGTAGTCCCAGCTACTCAGGAAGCAGAGGCAGGGCGATCATGTGAGCCCAGGAGATTAAGGCTGCAGTGAGCTGTGATTACATCTCATTGACCATGTGACTATGAGTATAAAACTCATAGACCTCAAGCCTGGGCAACAGAGCAAGACTCTGCCTTAAAAAGTAAAACTAAGCAAAACAAAACAATCCTCCTCAACAAATGGTTGCATATAACCAGCTAAACAGTAATATAACAGTTGTTGGCAGGGTGAGAAGAAACTAGCAGACTGTAGGTTTGTCATACTGTTTTTCTGTTCCTGCAGAAACACAGATATAATATAGGCAATGAAAACTGAGACTCATCTCTTAATTTCAGTTAAGCTATTAATTGATTTACATCATTTACTTACAGGCCAGAAAAGTTTCTTTCAAAAGGCAGGAATGTTGTTTCATGTTAATCTAAGGACTTGCTTACCTTTTGTTTCTGTTCTTAATGATCACAGTTACTAATACAGTAAAATAATATTTAGATAAAATACATTAGAATTATAGCTGATCAAAAATCTCATTCCAAGCTGTTATATTGTTGACTATCTCACAATCACTCTTCTTATGAATCATGTAAATAAGGGAAAATACTGCAAAGTAGACACACATTACTTCAAATGAAATATGATTTAATAAAATCAGTTATTCTTTGCCAATTTTGTAATGTTCAAAATAACCACAATTGAAATAGTGACACATACACATCAGAACAGTTCAAATGAAAAAGAGAAATGATACCAAGTGTTGGCAAAGATGTGGAGCAACTGGAACTCTCTCCCATTGTGGATGAAAATGTAAACTGACGGACACCACCATTTCCCATGTGTGCTAAATCTAACCATATTCTATGACCCTGAGCATATACGCAGCAATATTTACCAAAAGACAAATACATGAATGCTCAGAGAAGCACCGTTCAAAATAACCACGAATTGAACATTATATTTGTATAATGGTATAGTATATAGCAATGAGAACTAACAAGTTACAACTATATGCAAAAAGATTGACAAATCTTATAAACTAAATATTGAATGAAAGAAGCAAGATACAGAACATATTCTATGATCTAATCCACTAAAAATTGTAAAACTAATCAGTTATGTTCCAAATCACCATAGGAGCTACCCTATGAAATAGTGTCTAGAAGAAGTAATAATATAAAATTTCATGATTTGAGTACTGGATACGCAGAAGGGCTAAGTTTGTTTAAAAACAAAAAAAGTATTGGGCTGTACAGTTAAGATTTGGGTATTTTACTGTTTGTACGTATTTTCAGCCTTAGAAAATTATGTTAAAAAGTCTTTATGCTCTTTTTCTTAATATATTTACCATAGACAAATTTTCATTAAGCCACAGTATAAATAAAAAAGACCCACACCAGTATTTTTAACATGACGTGGATGAAGTGGTTCTGTCATCATTAAATGAGTACTTTCGGATCCAAGTCTGACATAAAAACTTACTTCCCTGAAGACTTTAATTTTGCATGCAAAATACACTGTTTCTAAATTAAATTTTTTTGTAACAAAGAGTTTTTGAGTTCCCCTCATGAAATTTTAATAAATCATTAATTTCTTCTTTTTCTCTTTAATGCACAAGCAATGGATAAAACATTTCAAAGATCCCTACAGATGTTTCTTCACTTGAAATATTGTTCACATTACAATGAGAAGGATGGAATAAAACATAAAAAAGATAGGCAGTTTTGTTTTGTTTTGTTTTGTTTTGTTTTTAAGATGGAGTCTTGCTCTGTCGCCCAGCCCGGAGTGCAGTGGCGCGATCTCGGCTCACTGCAAGCTCCGCCTCCCGGGTTCAAGCTATTCTCTTGCCTCAGCCTCCAAAGTAGCTGGGACTACAGGCGTCTGCCACCACGCCCAGCTAAGTTTCTGTATTTTTAGTGGAGACGAGGTTTCACCGTGTTAGCCAGGATGATCTCGATCTTCTGACCTTGTGATCCGCCTGCCTTGGTCTCCCAAAGTGCTGGGATTACAGGCGTGAGCCACCGCGCCCAGCCAACAGGCAAATTTTTCGTTGGGGAAGTAGTAGACCAACCATCTGTGCTTATTTCTTCTAAACAGAGCTAAGAATGAGTGACAGCAGTTGAACGGGAATACTTGCTCCCCAAGCGCGACTTGTTTTTCATGAACAAGGAAAAAAGGCAAAAGCCCTGCTACATTTCCATTCACAAAATTGTTTTCAAATGATGATTAACAAGATCTTAGTTCCCTCTCTGTTGAACACATAACATATTAAAAGGCAGTGCTAATAAATCTATATACGGCACGTAAGGAGGAAGGAGGAAGTCATTTCTCCTGACCTGACCAACTTGTCTTATTTGAAACTGATACCAGGCCCTATTGGCTGACAGGAATTTCACTTTATTTGGAATACAACAGAATTTGGCTCAGATTCACACTAAAAGTATAGTATTTTGATGTCATTAACATTACTTTAATAAAGGTATTATCATGCTTTGTACAGCAACCAACACGAAAATGTTAACATACCACTGCAATAAATAGAATAAAAACATGTTCAGAAAGACTTAGAAACTCATTAAAGAATGGATATTAATCACTTTTCACCCTAACTCCTCATTTGGCGAGGTATGAATCTATGCATTCCAGTTTAGTCAGGTGGCAAGTAAGTAGTCCCATTGCATTTCATAAAATAAGCTGCTGTGTGAATTTGAAAGATAATATTTCCACATGAAAAACTAATGACTGCACATGTAAAATCAGTAGTGTTTAGGAAGCTGTCATTAAAAAAAAAAAAAACTACCTAATTAAAAAGTAGCACAAATAAACTTTTGCCTATGTAAAAAAATAGAACATTGCTTAGCCTTTTCTTAAATCTCTCCCCAATTCTTACCAAGAAAGGATAAATACCTTTATTATAGTCAAAGCTCTGTTTTTATGGTTTTAAATTTTTTAATCTAAAATTCAAAGCAAATAATAAATCCTTAATTTATAATTATCCCAATTGGATTCAAAGTGATGGTCCAAACATAAAATGATCAGTCATAACTATAATCAATCAGATAATGCTATATGAGTTTGAAATGTTAATCTAACTTGCCTTTTCCAGGTATGCATTTTAAGATTAAACTCTTCTCAGTAAGATCAACGCTATCCTTCATGGATTTATGATGTTTGATAATCACCACGTTGTACTGATTTGCTGTCTCACTTCACTGTTTGATATCAACATATGAAAGTAAAAATGCTATTGAGGGGATAACTATTATCTGAGCACTAATAAATTAAATGCTATTTTAAGCCAACAACAAAATTGTGTAGGGTACAATTTTTATTTAACCAACTTTCCATTATAAACATTATAAAATTCTGAAAGATCCTAGAATCTTATATAGCTATTTTGTATTTTTTTCAAATGTAATTGACACCAGCAAGAATTAAATTTCATATTTAAAAAGCTTCTGACTACATTACAACATACTTAAAAATGACTTGCAAGATATGATAATTCTAAGATTACCAACATATCATGCAAATGAAACACCCAGGTACTTCCTACCAACACATGATATAATAAAATCCAGAAGAACTTCTGAATTAGAGTGTAGTAGTTGCCTAGGACCATCATACCTAATTATCACACACTTGGTGGGTTAAGAGGACAGAAATATATTCTCTCATAGTTCTGAAGCCTGGACCTCTGAAACTAAGATGTTGGTGGGGCCATACTCCCTCTGAAGACCCTAGGGAGGAATTCTCCCTCGCTTCTTCCTGGCTTCCAGTGGCTCCTGGCAATCCTTGGCCTTCTTTGATTTATGACTGCATAACTCCAATTTCTGTCTCCATCTTCACATGACCTTCTCTGCGTGTGTCTTTTCTTGTATCTTATAAGGACATTTACATTGGATTTAGGGCCCACCTTCATCCAGGATGACCTCATCTCAATCATTGGGTTAATTATATCTGCAAAGACCCTACTTCCAAATAAAGTCGCATTCTAAAGTTACTAGTGGACATAAATTTTGGAGGTACGGTATTTAAATCACTACACAGAACATGTAAAGACAAAAATCTGGAAGCTACCTAAATGAAAATGGATATTCCCTTGAACTTCGACAAAATCATACTCTATTTTTCCGTGAGAAACATTCTATTACTATAAAACAATATTCATATTTCACAAGTACACCTCTTAAATTATAGCTTGGCCTTAAGAGAAATAATTAGCTTTGAAAATTATCAGTACGTGATATCTAATATTTCCTGTATTTTTGATAACTTCTACCTCCTAGCAAAAATAAACAATGCAATGGACAATTTCTGTGTTCTAAATTCACACACACAAACAGGAAAGGCACTTTAAAAAATGATTTGTTCTCTTTGAAAGCAGAAGTCCAACCACCTGCTCTGAATCTAAAAGTTTCCTGAAAGCAATGAAGGGCTAGTTTATTATGAAGTTGTTGATAGCTGATTCTGTGGAGACTCACAAAGAAACAAAGAATAAATTTTAATCACACTGAATGCTAATGTGATAGTAAGGTTGTGATGATATTCAAATATGACTAATTTCATTAAATTAACTACACTCAGGCTTAGCTTTGTTGTCCAAATTTATTACAAATAGCTCAAAATAAATAATTCAACTCTTCTGTTTTCTATTTATTTTTGTTGATGCTTAAGAGTAAAAAGGTATTTCAACTGAATTTTTTTTTTTTTTAGCAATCAGTTCTCTTGTTTTATCACCATAAGACTGTAAACGGCCGAACAGGTCACTGCCTTCAACAAGAAATGCACCTAGAGCAGGAATATAGTACTTGGCACTCATCTCTAGACCTATAACCTAATAGATTTTTTTTTTTTTGTCTTTGGTGACAGTAACGTAAATTTAGAGCTGGAAAGGACCTTAGAGGTCATCTAGTCCCACTCAAGTATCTTTTAAAACAAAATAAAGAAGTATGTTGGCCTGGTGCGGTGGCTCACACCTGTAATCCCAGCACTTTGGGAGGCCAAGGCAGGCAGATCACAAGGTCAGGAGATCGAGACCATCCTGGATAACACGGTGAAACCCCCTCTCTACTAAAAATACAAAAAATTAGCCGGACATGGTGGCAGGTGCCTGTAGTCCCAGCTACTCAGGAGGCTGAGGCAGGAGAATGGAGTGAACCCGGGAGGTGGAGCTTGCAGTGAGCCGAGATCCTGCCACTGCACTCCAGTCTGGGCAACAGAGGGAGACTCCGTCTTAAAAAAAAAGAAAAAAAAAAAAGAAGCATGTTTATTTCATCATTTTGTACTTATACACTGTGTGTTTCCAGAAAAGCCTCTGAGACAGCTTAGAATGAAAGGCACAGACGCTATAAAACAAGGGCAAAATGACAGAATAATGAAGAGAAGGAGGTGACAATTACATGGGACAACCTAGGGAAGGAAACACTACCCTTCAGCCTAAAATTTAGTCCTAAGCCTCTTGTTCTTTAGGGCCAAAAGGAAAACCAGAATTCAAATAGGTGTCGTTAGTTAATAAAATAGTATCTGCATATGTCAGCAGCTATTTTTTGGTAACTCTAAACTCTTAAGCAAAATATATAAGTCTTTAAGCAACAGACAATGGACAATACAATAAAAATAATCTTCAATAGTAATTTCAAAACTTTTAAAGATGTAAGTACAAATGACCTTTTCTTACAGGATGCTTTTGAAAGCTGCCCGCATGATGGTATTTTAAATTACATGATGTTACATTGCCTCCATGATGGTATTTTATTGGGACCTGGTTATATGACTTGGTGAAGAATGTAACCTTTGAGAACTTAGAAGAGTGAATGGTTAATATTTCTCTGAATTTTTTTGTTTTTAATTGACATTTTATTTTATCCCTCATAGACAATATATGTTCTGGGAAATATACTGAAGTATAGTAAAAAAGAATCTCAGGGTTAAAGTGTTGAGGTAAATGAGAAAGCAGAGGTTGTGTCTGAAGAACCGTGTGGTCGGTCGCACTGCACCACACAGCAAACAAATATGCGTGAGCACAGGCCGGGCGCGGTGGCTCACGCCTGTAATCCCAGAACTTTGGGAGGCCGAGGAGGGCGGATCACGAGGTCAGGAGATCCAGACCATCCTGGCCAACAATGGTGAAACCCCGTCTCTGTTAAAAATACAAAAAATTAGCCAGGCGCAGTGGCGGGCGCCTGTAGTCCCAGCTACTCGGAAGGCTGCCGCAGGAGAATGGCGTGAACCCGGGAGGCGGAGCTTGCAGCGAGCCGAGATAGTGCCACTGCACTGTACTCAGGCCTGGGCGAAAGAGCGAGACTCTGTCTCGAAAAAAAAAAAAAAAAAAAATGAGTGAGCACTTTACCAGCAAATAAACACCAATGAGAGAGGGAACAGCAGTCACAAGATGTGTTTTAACAGAGATAGTTAATTAAATATTTTCTAATACACTTATTGAACCTAGATTTAATGGAATTTTTTTCCTTTCCTGACTTTGGCAAATGTGTGTATTTTTATAGAGAACATGGTTTTACATATGCAATTTTCAGACTTTAAGTCAGGCCCATCACCAACGCTCTATGAGTTGAGTGGCCTTGATATGTGGTCCATGTATTTTTGAATCAGGGGTGGGAGGCTATCAAATGAGTCAAAAGCTGATTTTCCTAGCTTTCATTATGAACACCTCTCTGGCTGCTCTTCTTTTTGACTTTACCAAACAAATTAGTTAGTATTCCTAAATGCAAGGTATATTAACATAAGAACTAAATAAATTTTTAAAATAAACACACACACAGACACACACACACACACACACACACACACACACAGCACTCTCCATATTTACTTCTACTTTGAATAGCAAACAAGCTGTGTTCCTGGGCCTGTGGAAGAAATATGAAGTTTGAAAAGATTTTTAAATAACTTTTTCTTAATGAAAATAACTCTGTAGTAATTACTGTTTTAAAAAGCCATTAGAATTTGAGCATAACACAGTTTCAATCTTGTCTCTATTCCAACTTAAAGTCCTGTCCAACAATCTCATTTTATGTTCTGTTGAATCACAAAATAAAAATTTGTATATTTTAAAGTATTTGATGGAGGAGGAGGAGGGAAGAAAGAAGAGGAGGAGGAGGAAGAACATGCCAAATGCAGCTGGAGAAGGCCATGAAAAGAGAATTCTCACGCACATATGCCTGATAACAAGAACTATCACGAAAGACTGCAAAAACCACAATCTTGCCATTGCAACCTTGTAAAAAAACACTTCTGCAAGGACATATGTCCAGCAAATGCCTGTCCAACCTTGGACTGGCACCACCCTTGTTATTGATCCTTGTAATCAAGGATAACTATGTCAAAACAATTGTGTAATCCTCCACATTTTTTCTTTAAATACCTTTGTCTTCCTTTACCTCCCTGAATGCATACATAGTTGACTATGGCACATGTATTCCTACTGAAATACCCTATCCCCAACCCAGTGTTCTTTACAGAGTCTCTCTCTCTGTTCGTTATTTAGGTTGACACCTTGCACCTATTGATTGATAACATTTATTTTCCAGGATGCACTTATCATTGTTGTAATTAAGTATTAATAGTGCAATCATTTGCTTAATGCTCATAACTTCCTTCTTGACTGTACATTTGTTGAGGTCAAGTAGTATGTCTGTTTAAATCATTCCCTAGTTCCAGGGCTTGGCAAATTCCTTGGACCAGATGAGCTCAATGCATATTTGTTATGTGAGTGAATATATGACTGATACTAAAGTAACTTAAAAAATAATTTATACCAATGATTTATCTCTCTCAGAGTTGGTCCTTATAAATGCTATATGAATCACTCCAAAACAGTACCGACTCTCGTAACAAATCCCATGAATGTGTAATTTCATTTTAATGCTGAATTGGCCCAATTTTAAACAGCATCTGGATGATCCTTTGTAATGGAGTCCCATCTAAGTTCCTATTAAAAAAGAAAGAAAAAAAAATCAGTAAAACAAAGCAAACAATGTAAACTTAAAACAACACTAATTAGTAAAACTGACACCCAATATGCAGACTAATCTAGAAGGAATTTTTACTAACTATAAGAACAATTAAGTTAAACTGGCCCATCCATATTTTGTTTTATGAAATGGAAGAATTTCCTCAATATAAAACTCATGTAAGACGGTAGTTGCCTCTTCCCAGCCTGTCCCTGAGTCAGACTCTCGGAGTGTCCCAGAAAATGGACACTTACTCCTTTACGGCTCCATTCTTACTTTTTGAGGGGACAGGTCCTAGCCACTCTCACATATCTTACATACTAAGCTCCTAGAAAGATAGAGGATACAATAAAAACCAACCAACCAACCAACCATGTGTCAGGTGCCTGTCAGGCCTGGGCACACAGTTCACTCAAGAAAAGCCCTGGGAGGGGAGGCAGCAGAATTGCCAGTCTAGCAATTTGTAACTCCAGTGGCCCAGGTCTTAGCCACATGACCTGGCTGGCATTGTTCTCTCCCTTCTTGCTTCCCTCCAAGCATGAACTCAGCCTCTTTTCTTTCCTTCCCTCCCTATGTTACATTGTTATTTCATACAATGGGATTTTAATAAGTTTGGGGAGCCAGTAGAGAGGGATTATAAAGCAAAACAGGAAACTACTGATAAGCAACTTGCATCATACCAACTGGCCGTTGAAGATTATTTTTCAAGTAAAATACAGCCTTCCTTTAGAACCTCTACCCAGAAAGCAGTAACATCAATAATCTATAAAGTAGCACTCATTCTTGCCACCACCAGCACGCTGCATTATCCGTGCATGCTAGGTATTGTGTATGTCTTGTACGACAAGCCAAACAAAATACTAGAGGTCTCCACTTTAGCTTAGCTGAGCTATTCCAATAAATACTTGCTCACTACTGAGAGGAGCTGTGCATTCCCTGCAGATCAGAGAAAGGGCCTTAGCCAATTTCTCAAAGGTAGAAGAATCATTTAAAAAATGATCATTTCCTGTTAGATATTAATGATATGGTTTTGCTGTGTCCCTACCCAAATTTAATCTTGAATTGTAGTTCCCATGATCTCCATGTGTCCTGGGAGGGCCCAAGTGGAGGTAATTGAATCATCAGGCTGGGTTTTTCTATGTGCTGTTCTTGTGATAGTGAGTAAGTTTCACAAGATCTGATGGTTTTATACGGGGCAGAAAGGGAAGTTCCCCTGAACACACTCTTGCCTGCCACCATATGAGACATGCCTTTGCTCCTCCTTCGCCTTCGGCCGTGATTGTGAGACCTCCCCAGCTACCAGGAACTGTGCGTCCATTAAACCTCTTTTTCTTTGTAAATTACCCAGTCTCGGATATTTCTTCATAGCAGTATAAAAATACACTAAGACAATAATTGGTACTGGCAGAGTAGGGTACTGCTATTAAGATATCCAAAAATGTGGAAGCGACATTGGAGCTGGGTAACAAGCAGAGGTTGGAACAGTTTGGAAGGCTCAGAAGAAGACAGAAAAATGTGGGAAAGTTTGGAACTTCCTAGAGACTTGGAGGGCTCAGAAGACAGGACAATGTGGGAAATTTTTGAACTTCCTAGACATGTTGAATGGCTTTGACCCAAATGCTGATAGTGATATAAACCCTAATATCTGGGCCGGAGATGGAGATGAGGATCTTGTTGGGAACTAGAGCAAAGGTGACTCTTGTTAAGCTTTAGCAAAAAAGACTAGTGGCATTTTGCTTCTGCTCCAGAGATCTATGGAACTTTGAACTTGAGAGAGATGATTTAAGGTATCTGGTGAAAGAAATTTCTAAGTGGGAAAGTGTTCAAGAGGAAGTAGAGCATAAAAGTTTGGAAAATTTGCAGCCTGATAATGCAATAGAAAAGAAAAACCCTTGGCCGGGCGCAGTGGCTCACGCCTGTAATCCTAGCACTTTGGGAGGCTGAGGCGGGCGGATTGCCTGAGCTCAGGAGTTCGAGACCAGCTGGAGCAACATGGTGAAACCTCATCTTTACTAAAATGCAAACAATTAGCCAGGTGTGGTGACGTGCACCTGTAGTCCCAGCTACTCGAGAGGCTGAGGCAGGAGAATTGCTTGAACCCAGGAGGCAGAAGTTGCAGTGAGTCGAGATTGCGCCACTGCACTCCAGCCTGGGCAACAGAGTGAGACTCCGTCAACGAAAAAAAAAAAAAAAGAAAAGAAAAAAGAAAAACCGACTTTCATTAAAGCCTCCTGCAGAAATTCGCATAAGTAACGAGGAGCCAAATGTTAATCACCAAGACAATGGGGAAAATGTCTCCAGGACATGAAAGACCTTCACATCTTCACAGCAGCTCTTTCCACCACAGGCTCAAAAGCCTAGTATGGAAAAATCATTTCCTGGAGCAGGGCCAGGTCCCCCTGCTGTGTGCAGCCTAGAGACGTGATGCCCTGCATTCCAGCCACTCCAGCCATGGCTTGGGTGGGAGACACCATGG
Organism: Homo sapiens; assembly: GCF_000001405.40. Classification (NCBI taxonomy): domain Eukaryota; kingdom Metazoa; phylum Chordata; class Mammalia; order Primates; family Hominidae; genus Homo; species Homo sapiens. The sequence goes on from NC_000016.10 coordinate 33,169,713, forward strand.
TACAGCTCAGGCCATGTCTTCGGAGGTTGCAAGTCGCAAGCCTTGGCAGCTTCCACAAGCTGTGGAGCCTGCAGATGCACAGAAGTCAAGAATTCAGGTTTGGGACCCTCCACCTACATTTCAGAGAATGTATGGAAACACCTGCATGTCCAGGCAGAAGTTTGCTTTGGCAGGGCGGGGGGCAGGGGCGGGCGCAGGGGCTCATGAACAACTTCTTTTAGGGTAGTAGAGGTGTGAAATGTGGGCTCTGTCCCCCATACAGAGTCCCTACTGGGGCACTGCCTAGAAGAGCTGTGAGAAGAGGGCCACCATCCTCCAGACCCCAGAATGGTAGTTACACCATCCTCCAGACCCCAGAATGGTAGATCCACCAACAGTTTACACTGTGTACCTGGAAAAGCCATACAAAATGCCAGCTAGTGAAAGCAGCCAAGAGGGAGGCTGTGCCCTACAAAGCCACAGAGGCAGAGCTGCCTAAGGCCATGGGAGACCACCATTTGTGTCAGTGTGACCTGCATGTGAGACATGGAGTCAAAGGAGATCATTTTGGAACTTTAATGTTTAATGACTGCCCTGTTGGATTTCAGACTTGCATGGAGCCTGTAGCCCCTTTGTTTTGACCAATGTCTCCCATTTGGAACAGGTGTAAATACATTGGGGGTACCCAATACCTGTACCCCCATTGTATGTAGGAAGTGACCAACTTGCTCTTAGTTTTACAGGCTCATAGGTGGAAGGGACTTGTCTCAGATGAGACTTTGGACTATGGACTTTTCAGTTAATGCTGAAATGAGTTAAAACTTTGGGGGACTGTTGGGAAGGCATGATTGATTTTGAAATGTGAGAACATGAGATTCAGGAGGTGCCAGGGGAAGAATGATATGGTTTGGCCATGTCCCTACCCAAATCTCATCTTGAATTGTAGCTCCCATAATCCCCATATGTCATGGAAGGGACCCAGTTGGAGGAACTTGAATCATGGGGATGGGTTTTTCCCTGTGCTGCTCTTGTGAAACAGAATAAGTCTCACAAGATCTGATGGTTTTATAAAGGGGAGCTCCCCTGCACATGCTCTCTCTCTTGCCTGCCACCATGTAAGACATGTCTTTGCTCCTCCTTTGCCTTCTGCCATGATTGTGAGGCTTCCCCAGCCATGTGGAACTGTGAGTCCATTAAACCTTTTTTTCTTTATAAATTACCCAGTTTCAGGTATTTCTTCATAGCAGTATGAAAGTGGACTAACACAATATCAAGCCCTGGTTTGGGGTAATAATCACTACCTTCTAGGTAACCAGAATGCAAAAAATATAACAGAAAAAAAATCCTAAAAATCATCCTGCATACAAGAAAAATGAAACCGCCATTCTCCATTCTCAATTAACCAGGGACACAATGCACTGCAGAAAGCCTCAGGGACCTCTGCCCAAGAAAGCCTGGGTGTTGTCCAAGGTTTGCCCCCACTGAGATGGGATAGAAGTCTCTGACTTCTGAACTGGACACAGGAGTTCTCAAAATCACCAGACAAGGCAGTGAGATGGCATGGTAAATGGTAAGGGAGGTCTCTTTGCGGTTGAGATAAGAGGAATGCTTTGGTCTCCTGCTCATCCCTGGGAATGGAATGTCTCAGTGTAAAGCTGACCATTCCTATTCATTCTATTCTGAGATAGGAGAAAACCACCCTGTGGCTAGAGGTGAGATATGCTGGCAGCAATACTGCTCTGTTACTCTTTGCTAAACTGAGATGTTTGTGTAAAGAGGAACATAAATCTAGCCTATGTGCACATCTGGGCACAGTACCTTTCCTTGAACTTATTCATGATACAGATTCCTTTGCTCACATATTTCCCTGCTGACCTTTCCCCACCTGTTGCCCTGCTACACTCCCATCACTAACATAGTAAAAATAATGATCAATAAATACTGAGGGAACTCAGAGGCCAGCGCTGGTGCGAGTCCTCTGTATGCTGAGCACCGGTCCCCTGGGTCCACTGTTCTTTCTCTATACTTTGTTTCAGTGTCTTATTTCTTTTCTCAGTCTCTCCTCCCACCTGACGAGAAATACCCACAAGTGTGGAGGGGCTGGCCCCCTTCGATGTCTATTATGGTGGAGTGTTTCCAGTTCTGTCTTTCCTAATACTGCCCAATAGAAACTTGACTCCTAGAGTTTGTGTAATTTTAATATATTTTAGCCATTTCCCTGTCAATTTTTATACCATACAATAACAAGGAATTTGACTAAATCTCTTAGGGTTTTTTAAAAAATTATATGAGAAGCTAAAAAATTTATTTTTACTAAGGTAAAAGAAAAAGGAATAATCACAACAATAGCCATAATTCTTCTGTCTATGAAGAGCCCTTCAGGTGGTGACATCAGAACTCACAACAACAGCATAAGGGAAGTAGAACAAATGCAGCCAAAGTCCCCCGTACACCTCCCTTTTCTCTTCTAACCACAGAATTCAATCGTGTATCCGTTTACTCTGGAATGAAAGTATCTGTAGAAACCATGAATGTTTCATCTGTTTTTCTTTTCTTTTCTTTTCTTTTTGAGACGGAGTCTTGCTCTGTTGCCAAGGCTGGAGTGCTGGTTGCTCTGTTGCTCTGTTACTCTGTTGCCCAGGCTGGAGTGCAGCTTACATCTTTGCTTCCTGGGTTTAAGTGATTCTCCTGCCTCAGTCTCCCGAGTATCTGTGACTCCAGGTGTGTGCCACTATGCCTGGCTAATTTTTTGTATTTTTAGTAGAGACCATGTTTCACTCTGTTAGCCGGGATGGCCTCAATCTCTTGACCTTGTGATCCACCCGCCTCGGCCTCCCAAAGTGCTAGGATTACAGGCATGAGCCACCGTATCCAGCCTCATCTGTTTTTCTAATGTGTAGTGTCCAGCCCTACGGGGTTTAGCAGGTGTTCTCCCTGTGTGCGGAGACGAGAGATTATAATAAATAAAGACACAAGACAAAGACATAAAGAGAAAGCAGCTGGGCCCGGGGGACCACTACCACCAAGACGCAGAGACCACTAGTGACCCCGAACAGCTGGACGGGCTGATATTTATTGCATACAAGACAAGGGGGCAGCGTAAGGAGGGTGAATCTTCTAAGTGATTGACAAGGTGAAGCAAGTCATGTGATCACAGGACAGGGAGCCCTTCCCTCTTAGGTAGCCGAAGCAGACAGAGAGAAGGAAGCATATGTCAGCGTTTCCTTCTATGCACTTATAAGAAAGAACAAAGACTTTAAGACTTCCTTCTACCATTATCTACTATAGACTTCAAAGAGGAACCAGGAGTATGGGAAGAACATGAAAGTGGACAAGGAGTGTGACCATTGAAGCACAGCACCACAGGGAGGGGTTTAGGCCTCTGGATGACTGTGGGAAGGCCTGGATAATTTATCCAACCTCTCACAAGAAGCTGGTGGAGCAGAGTGTTCCCTGACTCCTCCAAGGAAAGGAGACTCCCTTTCATGGTCTGCTAAGTAATGAGTGTCTTCCCAGACACTGGCATTACCACTTGACCAAGGAGCCCTCAAGCGGCCCTTATGGGGGCGTGAGAGAAGGCTCACCTCTTGCCTTCTAGGTCACTTCTCACAATGTCCCTTCAGCACCTGACCCTATACCCGCCGGTTATTCCTAGGTTATATTAGCAATGCAATAAAGAGTAATATTAAAAGCTAATGATTAATAATGTTTATAATAATGATTGATAATTGCCCATGATCATCTCTATATCTAATTTGTATTATGACTATTCTATTCTAACAATTTTCTTTATTATACTGAAACAGTTTGTTTCAGTCTCTTGCCTTGGCACCTTGGTGACCTTTCGCCCACACTAATGGTCATATAATATAGTTTAGATGTCTCCTCCAAATCTCATATTGAATTTTAATCCCTAATGTTACAGGTGGGGCATGGTGGTAGATGGTTGAATCATGGGGATAGATTTCTCATGGCTCTGTGCTGTCCTTGTCATAGTGAGTACTCACGAGATGTGGTGGTTTAAAAGTGAAGCATACCCCTCCCTGATCTTTCCTGTTTCAACTCCTACCATGTGAGATTCCTGCAGCTCTTTCATTTTTCATCATGATTATAAGCTACTTTAGATGTTAATATTGTTACAAAATTTCACTGAATTTTCTTGTAAAATTACCTGACAAAGTTTATGTTATTATACCATTAATGTGATAAATAAATATATTATGACATTACAACATATTATGATATCATAATTCATATGTATTATGACATCACAATATATTATGACATCATAATGCACACACAACATGACATCATAATATATTATGGCATCATAATTTATACTACAACATCACAATATATCATGACATCATAATGCACATGTATTATGACATCAAAATTCATAGGCATTATCACGTCACAGTATATTGTGACACCATCATCAGTATGTGTTATGACATCACAATATATTATGACATTATACTTCATATGTATTATGGCATCACAGTACATTATGACATCGTACTTTGTATATAATATGATGTATCATGAATTATTATGTAATTGATATGTATTACATATCTATTAGATGGCTCTGGATGTCTTGGGCTCTGTGGGGCAGGCTGGGGGTCAGAGGAGACACACATGCTGCAGATGGGGAGACTGGGGCACAGGGTCCTGGGGTTCCAGGAGCAGTGAGGAGGCCAGGATTGGCCTGTGGGGACTTTGATGTTGGCTCTGGGTGAGGTGGCTACTGTAGGTGTGAGCACAGCAGTGCTTGGGGGCTCAGGTGGCTGCCAAGGGGCAGATGGATGGAGGGGACAAAAGCTACAGCCCAGCAGGAGGGCAGGGTGGCCATGAGGGTTGTAAAAGTGATGCCAACAGCATTTGTGGGGGATTGGCTGTGGGTGTGAAACAGCAGCAGCGGAACAATTCCCAGTCATTCTGGCCTGGAACAGTGGCAGGTGAACTCTGCCCAGTTGTGGAGGGGTCTGTCAGGAAGATGGGGCTTCTGGTTTCAGAGGAGCCCAGAGATGTGCTCAGGCAGATGAGGGTCCTCATGGGATAGGCATGGGAGAGGCAGCTGCAACTTGGGGACCACTGGTGGTGGGCTGAGCCCCTGAGACCTCTGGAGTGAGCAGGAAAGAAAGTGAGGAGGAGCCAGCCAGGGAGCCAGAGGCAGAGGGAAGAGAGGAAAGTAGACCCCGGGAGGAGCAGACAGGAAAGGATGAAAATTTCCCCTCACCTGCCTCAGCAGCCTCTGCCCCTGCCCACACACCCTTGTGCACTCCCCCTGAGCCCCTGCTCACCTCTGCCTACCCAGCCATCCCAGGATGGTGTGGGCTCAAGCTCTGGGGGTAACTGAAGAGCCACTTTAAGAAGGCACAGTCTAGAAGTGAGCAGCATTGAGTCACTGTTGTCTCCCAGTCCTGGGAACATCCTGTGCCACAGTTTGCTGAGCTGTCTTAATCACCAGTGGGTCCCCATCTCCCACCCCTGGAATCCCAGAGGACAGCTCAGAGTTGTGATTGGTGCCTCTTCCCAGCGTCTCTCTACACAGCTCCCGGCTGTGCTTCAGCATCCTCCACCGAAAGGTGGGCCTGTCGCTGCATGTGAATGGCAAGGAGGTCACTGTGGGGAAGCGGCTGCCTCCTTTCTCTTTCCTGGGCCCCTGGTGCCTCTCTCCTGGGGGTAAGGCAGTTGAGCCTACCCACAAGTCCAGGCAGGAAGGCAGCCCCACCCCAGCACCCAGAAATTAGAAAAACTAGCTGAGGTGTGAGAGGGGGAATGGTGACAGCCCTGGAAGTCAGGATAAAAAAGAGACGAAGCCTCCAGGCCGCCATCCTCACCAGTGCCCACCGGGCCCTGAAGCTCTGCAGGGGGTGGCTTATGGGCTCAGAGGCTTGTGGACCAAGGCTTCTCAGCTGCTTCTGAGGCTCCCAGCTCTGCAAGGGGCTGGGTTTCTTCTCCTGGTAAACTGCTCCCAATGCCTGTCCTGACTCACTCACTTAGCTGGGCTACCTGCTGGGCCTCCTTCCTGGTGGGCCCTCCCCATGTGCCTCCCTGTGCAGGTGGGGTATCCCCTCGAGACTCCATTATTCTTTGAGGCTTTCAGGCCAGGATGAAGAACCCCAGCCTCTCAGCAGGAGCAGCCACTTGGGGGAAGCAGAGGGAATAGAAAGGCACACATTGCCAGCTCTGAGCATGACTGGGTGGGGACATTGTGTTGAAGCTCCTGGGAGCCTCATTCAGCCCAAGTAGATGTCCTTGACATGTCAACACTCTCCCTACACAGGAGAAAAACATGAGACTCGGAGTGGGCAGGGTGATCTTGAATCGGGGGTCTGGTCAGATGGGTCTCTGTTCCTCGCCTCAGCTATGGCCTTCATGTGTGCTTCCACCAGCAGAGACCCCTTCCTGGACTTTGCCCCAGTGGATGGACAGGAAACTGCCAGCCATGCTGGCCACCACAACCAACTTTCACTGCCTGGCTCCTAGCAACCCCACTCTCTCCATCTCCTGGCTGAAGAACCACAAGAGGTCTAAGGAGAGCATCACATCAGGATATTGAGGTGGGCCTGGAAGTTGGTGGGAGTGTGGGCTGGATGTGGAAGGTGGGACCTGTCTTTTGCTTACCTGTCCTTCCACCTGGAGCTATGGCACCAGAAGTAGACCCTGATCATGGAGTGTGGTGCCCTCAGACTGCTTTCATCCCACCTCTGTGATGAAGAACAAGTGCAGCAGCCTTCAGCAGTCATGCATGCTGGACAGCTGGGTGAGGACTGTGGCCTGTGGGCAGGGTGCAGGGAGCTAGGCAGCCTCTGAGCTCCCATCTATTCTCTCAATGTGCCCTCCTGACCAACTCTTTCTACCTGCAGGACTGCTGACCAACCAGATGCAGTAAGGTGAAATTCCACTGCAAAGTGTATGGCAACTTAGTATGTGGAGGTGAACAACAGCAAGGTGGGTGTCAATGGCATGCCCTATGTGACTGTGCTTAGGTTAGCTGCTGCTGCTTGTCAGGAGCATGGGGATGGCATGCCGATGCTCCACTTCACTAAACTCTACCATCATTATAGAAGTTTTGGAGTAGCCTATGAAAGACAGAATCATGTCATTATCCAAGAGACAAAATCCTCTAGAGTAAGCAGTTCTCCTGGATATAAACTTGGTGCTGGTTCATTTAGCATTTGCTACGAACCAATGTCTAAAATTAGAGGCAGTTTCTCCTAAAGTGAGATGACATGAGTCAGTTGATAAAAGTGTGAAGCACTCCTGTGAGTATTGTCCCTCATAATTCATTCAAAAACATTTGCTTCTGTCTTTGCAACTTCATGCTCTCTGAATTCCCACACTGAGTAAAAACCTCCTTGGTGGGCTTATAATCAATCTCACATATTTAACAATTTGGATTTTATCTTACGTTCCGCTATAAAATATGGAACAAAATCGGTTTGATTTACAGTAGATGTAAAATAGAAAAATTAGGATGGGCTATTCTGGACATGTAGAATTAGTTCCTTTCATGGGTTTTCTACAAACCTGTATTTATTACACTAAAATAATGCTAAAATATATTTTGTTTTATTGTGTGGAGTTTAAATGGATACACTGGATAATGGAATAACATTAACTAAATAAACATTGATGCCTATTTTTTTCAGTGTTTTAAAATTTTTTAACAAAGATTTCTTTTTACGGTAAAATTGCACTTCATTAAATCTACTCCTAAATATTTCTTTCTTTTTCATACATACACAAATGGATTGTTTTTTTAATTTTATTTTCAGGTTGATCATTGTTAGTACATAAAAGTACAATTGAACTTTGCATATTGATTTTGTATCTTGTGACCTTGCTGAACTCATGTATTGGTTTTAGTGGGTTTTAATGAGTTTTTTATAAACTTTTATATTCACTTATGTCCTCTGCAATGATAGACAATTCTAACATCTTATTTTCCCACATTGATGATTTTGTTTTTTTCTCTCATGTAATTTCTTTGGATGTTAACATTTTTGCCTTGTTCTAAAATGTCAAGACACAACAACCAGTATTTTACTATTATGGCGTTAGGTGTAAGTTTTTCACTGATGCTCTTTAGCAGATTTAGGAAGTTTGCTTGTACCCTTCCTTTCCAGGGAGATTGTGAATGAATATTGGATTGGTCAAATGCTCCCTGTGTCTGTTGAAAGGCTCTTTCTGTTAATTTCCTTTATCCTATTACTTTGTGTAAGGCACTGATTGATTATCGGATAGATCAATATTGCATCTGTAAAATAATTCCATTTGGTCATGGTGTACATTCATTTTGATATATTCTTGATTCATTTCGCTTTTTTGAGAATTTCTCTGTGTGTATTCATCAGGGAAATTCATCCATACACATATTTACTTCTGATGCTTTTGTCTGCCTTTAGTATCAGGGTAATACTGGCCTCACAGAACAAATTGGGAAGTGTTCCCAATAACTGTCCCATATTTTCTGGAAGGTCTTGTAAAGAGTTGGCATTAATTCTTCATTAAATGTTTAGTAGAATTTACCAGTTAAGCCATGTGGCTCTGGGCTTCTCTTTTTGTGAAGATTTTTAATTAATTGAATCTCTTTACTTGTTATATGTGTATTCATATATTCTGTTCCTTCTTGGATTTGCTTTTATAATTGGTGCCTATTGAGGTATTTATTTCTAATTTGTAGTATTTCATGTGTTTAGGTTTTCTAGACAGTTGGCACAGAAGATTCAAGAAGTTTAATGTAGGAGAATGTTTAATGTAGGAGAATGAGGCTTTGGTGTCATCAATGAATGACTTGAAGTTTCTTATGTTGTAAAGAAAGATATGACCGTAACTGCCATAGTTAATATTTATTGTGCAAGTCAAATAAGAAGGCAGGAGGAAAGGACATCCATCACTCAATCACACACCAGTGTACTCATTAAAGCCTTTGAGAAGGACCCTCAACATTTTCCAAGAGAATTCCTTTCCTGGAATCACCATTATAGAGAAACTGGCTAAACAGACAGGCATTTCAGAGTCCAAAATTTACATTTGGTTTCAGAACCAAAGACCTCAGCTCCCAGGCCACAGCAGAAGCGGGCTTGTGAATTCCCTGGCAGCGGGTCCAAGACCAAGACCTCATCTGACTGTTTGGCTGGAACAAAACATGTGCACTACCCCAGGCAGGTCTCATCTTCTTCCTGCCTCCTATTCTGTCAGCAGCCACCTGTCATTTGTACCAGCTCTTCCTTCACCTCCCACAACCTGTGATTTTTTGGATCCCTCTGCAGGCTGTGTGAGCCAGGCACCAAGGGTCACGATGCACATAGCACCCTGGCTGTGCAGATGGGAGAGTTCTCTCAACCTCTTCTGGCACTTAGGAGTCATATGTCAATGGTACCAACTCTAGGAGGGAGGCTCTCCCATACACAGACTTGTTTCTGGCCTCAGTCGAAAGGAAAACTTTAGGATGACAAGAAAAATAAGACACTGGCCTGGAAGTTCTGCCTTAAAGGGACAGCCACAGCCTGGTCATCCTTAGCCACAATTTTAGAGTCTGGGTCAACAGGACACATCCCACCTTCAGAAGTGGTGGAGCTTAGGCAACGGGTCCCAGGATGCCATGATTCAATGGCAACCTGGAGCAGGAGCACCTTAGTAGCCCATGCACATAGGTCTACCTGTGGCAGAAACAGGCACAAGCCATGAAAGAGCCATCTATCTGCTGGAGCAACCACACCAGTCATCTGCATGATCTTCTACAAGTCCCAGAGTTTCAGGAAAAGGCACAATCTTTTCGGAATGCAGATCCACAAGAGGAGGGCCCTCCGTGGTCTGAATCACCACTCAGTGAGAAAGAATTTCAGGCTCTGCTTAACAGGCTGCAGAGCTCACCAGGGGATCAGCTTTAGCAGGCAGGCATCCTTCTCAGCACTGCCATCCAGGACTCTTTCCCTTGGACACAAACAGCAAAATGCCAGGAAGACGGGACCAGGAACACAGTGTGGTCAGAAGCAAGACTGATGCAAGAAGCAACCACTTGGAAATCCAAAGGGAGCATTTTGGCCCTCTCCTGTGGGCAGCCCTCAACTTTGGTGCTCACTTCCTAACCTCAGTGACGGTTTCTGAGCTTCATCCTGCCTCTGGAGTCCACATGGGCTCCAGGCGGTGAACAGTTTCACTGAATCCTGATGCAGCAAAGCAGCATTCTCATGACAAACAGGACCTCTTCACTTTGATCATAAGCTCCTGGGCCATCTGGACAATGCACAAACTGGAAACCCAGCAAGGGGAGGAAAGTAGCTCTAAGGGGGACACATTCCCACTTCTTTCCCTTCTAGCAAGTTTGAAAGCTAATTGTAAATGCAGGTGGATATGTAGAAAATGAGGGCATGCTATAACTTCTCATCACATGAGGTTATGACCAGGAGTTTTTAATCCTAGCTCTGAGAGCTGCAAATGGGAATTGGAAGTTTTTCCACTAAGCATCTATCAATGACTGATTGTGCAAGCTTATCTTCATCATGCTGAGGAGTCTTCACTGAGAATTTTCCTATTGAACAAATAAACATAGAGATAGTGACAAGTAGGCCAGGCATAGAGGCTCACGCCAGTAATCCCAGCATTTTGTGAGACCAAGGTGGGCAAATCAGTTGAGGCCAGGAGTTCGAGACCAGCCTGGGCAACATGTCAAAACCCCGTCTCCACTAAAAACACAAAAAACAGCTGGGCATGGTTACTCATGCTGGTAATTCCAGATATTCGGGTGGCTGAAGCCTGAGAATCTTCTGAACCCAGGAGGCAGAGGCTGCAGTGTGTTGATATTTTGCCACTGTACTCCAGCTTGGGCAACAGAGCAAGACTCTGTCTCAAAAAAAAAAAAAAAAGAAGCAAGTGAGTAAGAGAGAGAAAACTATAAAATCACTGAACAAAGTGTAAAGATGTTAATTTTCCCACAACGTTAGAAATTTTGTGTATATTTACATGCATATCTACACATAAAGCTGATCTCCTTATATGTTAAATCAGTTACATGTTCAGTGAAAAATACATTATTTTCTCTGTTTTAACACTGAAGAGGGGTGCACGTGGTCCAGACATGTCCTGTTGGAGTTGAATGGGGCATGTTCTGGGAAAAGGGGAAAGGCAGAGTAAGGGCCTGGTGCATTTAGGTGGGGTAAAGTGGGACTCTAATAGAGAGGCATCCAGGGTCTGGGCCCTAGCAACACTGAGGCTCACGGGGGCTTCTGCAGGTGAGGGAAATGGTGCAGGGTGCTGAAGGCTAAAATATCCTGTAACAGGCGAAGATCTGGCCAGATCGTCCTGCATTCCAGCATCATTGCCAGCCAGGCCTAACTTGACCCTATATTGAAGACACCTGGGATGGACAGGCGTGAGCCTCCAGGCTTCAAAGAGCCCCCAAATGAGATCTGCCCTGCGGCAAGGGTCCAGACCGTTACGGCCAGGCCAATTTAAAAGAGCCCCATCTCCTCTGTTCTCAGAGGCTTAAGCGGGTGGAGAACAGATAAGAAGTGAACTGAAGTCTCCTTGAAAAAAACAAAGTCCCATGGGGTTTGCCACCCCCTCCCCCCACCCACCTAAAACTGGAACCAGTCAGCCACCTCTGTCTCTTCTCCATGCCAAGAACCTCTGTTCAGGGCTCCTGGCAAACCCCTCCTCCCTGCTGCCTCCCCGCCACAGTACGCTTGCCAGGAATGCCCGAGATCTGGCACCTGAGCATGTTGCGTGGCAGGCGGGGGAGCAAGCGGGACAAGGGCGGCGATGTGTCCTGCACAAAGGCCCAGGCTGCAGACCAACTCGCCTCGCAGCAGGTAGCAGCTGTGTGCCCCCTGCCAGGCCACTCCCCCTCCCGGAGCAGCAGCTCCCGCTGCCACTTCTGTTTGTTGAACACAGGATGTATGAATGACGGCTAGGGAGCCAAGGATGGGGATGGTGGCGACATCTGATACTGTTGTAGTAAAACTCCAGCCAAGGAACACGAAGAGACCTTTGGAGACCAAAGAGAACTTTTATTTAATTCAGGCACCTGAGCCAACAGCAGGCTCATGCCCAAAATGGCTGCCGACCCCTGCAAAGAAAGCAGGCTTGCTTAAGTGCCGTTTGAGGCGGGAAAACAAGGCAGGTTACAGGTTTCAGACAAAGACAGTAAATTATCCAACCCGTGACAATTCGGAGAGAACTTACAATTTAGTTATTTTGTCCAGTCAACTTTGAAGCTGAACAGAGCTGGGGTAAGGGAAAACACGAATTACAGGAATATGCGGGGGTCTGGAGGCAGGCAATAAGCTTGGAAGATTGAGATAAGCTCGCAGCTGCAACTTGTTAGCAATGCTGGAATGGACTGCTGAAATTTCTTAGCCTATGTATAACTTCTAAGTAACCTATGCTGAATGTTAACTATTACCTATGTTAGGTTTATTATTTTAAACTTTATTATTACTTATTTTATTTTATTTTCTTTCCACAGTATCTCTTACCATCCGGCCCAGGCAGCAGCCAGCCCTGCCTGGGCCGCGGCCGCCGGCCTCATGAGCCTGGCATTCCTGTCGCCCCCTCTCCCCATAGCTTGCCTCCTCCTTCTCACAGTCGGGCGCCCGGCTCCTCGAGACGCAGGACCACCTCAGATCTCCAGTCCTGCACCTGCCGGCTGAGCAAACGAGGAGACGGGGAGAAAAGCTGTCTGTCGTTCCTGAAGGAACAGGACCTCCGCACTCCAAGAAGGAATCCGGCGCCCAGTGGGGGCTGCAGGAGCAGAGGACCGTGGCGGCAGTAGCAGGAGAGGCAGGAGTAGGAGCAGTGGCTTCTCTGGAGGTGGCACTGTCTGCCCCCTTGAGCCTCTTCCTAACGCAGTCTTGATTCAAAATCCCTGCTCACCACGGATGCACAGTCACAGCTGAAGATTGTAGTTATCTAGGAGGATTCTTTCTTAGTTGTAAATCTATGTTTTATATAGGAGTTTTTTCGTTGTTTCTCTCATTCTTTTTTGAAATTTCATATTACTATTTTTTTTTTTTTTGGTAAGTTCCTTGACATTCGTGTTTTGTGAGTTTGGTTTTACCTACGTATTATGATTTTGGATGTAAATCTGCAACTCTATATACATGTTAAGTCAATGTGATGTTTAATCAAAATATGAATCAGCCATATCTACCACCAATAAAATCGTGTGTTTGTTTGCCTCTATAAATATAGTCTATTTCTTCTTAATTATCTTGCATATTTCTCTTCTTGGCTGGTGTCAAAAGTTGTTTTATCTTGTTCAGGACAGTAGTCATATAAGTAGTCTTAACTTACCCACGTATTTATTGAACAAATCTATATTTTCTTTGTGTGAGGAAAACACATTTATAATTTGAAGGTAATTTTCCAAAAAGTTTGTAACTCGGTATCTCTTTTATGTATCACTTTACAATATTTTAACTGTAATAAAACACAACAAAATTTACCAGTCTATACATTTGTAATTGCATAATTTATTAGTGGTACATATATCCACATTGTTATGCAACAGGCTTCTAGAGCTTTTCCATTGCAAAACTAAAACTCAATACCCATATACGTCAACTGCCCATTTTACCCTCTCCTGAGCCCTTAACATTTTACTTTCCATTTCTGTGAGTTGGACTACTTAAGATATCTCATAAGTGGAATCACACAATCACTGTCACTTTGTTTCCTGGCACATTTCACTTAACATCATGCCCTAAAGGTTTATTGTCATTGCAGCATGTGATAAGATTTCCTTTTAAAATCATATTTCATTGTATGTATATATCATATTTACTTATTTATCTGTCAAGGGACATTCAAGTAGCTTCTACCTTTTGGATTTTTAGAATAATTCTGTCATAAACGTGGGTATGTAAATGTTTCTTTCAGGTCCCGCTTTGCACATTTAGATAGATATCTAGAAATGGTATTGCCAGACCACATCATAATTCCAATTTTAATAATCTGAGGAAACTCTGTACTATTTTTCATAATGGCTGCATGATTATTTTTTCCACCACCCAGTGCACAAATATACCAATTTCTCTACATCCTTGAAAACACTTGTTATTTTCTCTTATTTGATAGTGGCCATCCTAATGAATGTGAGGTAATATCTCACTGGGGTTTTGCTTTTCATTTCTCTAAAGATTCATGATTTGCAGCATCTTTTAAAATTCCTCTTGGCCGTTTGTATATCTCCTTTGTAGAAACATGTGGGTGTGAAGGATTACCTAGGTGCCGAGGCAAGAGACTGAAGGTAAAAACTGTTGCAGTATAATAAAGAAAACAGTTAGAATAAAGAATAGTTATAACACAAATTAGATATAGAGATGATCATGGACATTATCCATCATTAGTATAAACATTATTAATCACTAGCTTTTAATATTACTCTTTGTTGTATTACTCATATAACCAAGGAATAACTGGTGGGTATAGGGTCAGGTGCTGAAGGGACATTGTGAGAAGTGACCTAGAAGGCAAGAGGTGAGCCCTCTGTCACACTCACATAAGGGCCGCTTGAGGGCTCCTTGGTCGAGCGGTAATGCCAGTGCCTGGGAAGGCACCTGTTACTTAGCAGACCATGAAAGGGAGTCTCCTTTCCTTGGAGAAGTCAGGGAACACTCTGCTCCACCAGCTTCTTGTGGGAGGCTGGATATTATCCAGGCCTGCCCGTAGTCATCCGGAGGCATAAACCCCTCCTTGTGGTGCTGTGTTTCAGTGGTCACGCTCCTTGTCCACTTTCACGTTCCTCCCATTCTCCTGGTTCCTCTTTGAAGTTCTTAGTAGATAGCGGTAGAAGGAATAGTGAAAGTCTTAAAGTCTTTGATCTTTCTTATAAATGCATAGAAGAAAACACTGATGTATGCTGCCTTCCCTCTCTGCTTTGGCTGCCTAAAAGGGAAGGGCCTCCTGTCCCATGATCACATGACTTGCTTGACTTTATCAATCACCTGGACGACTCACCCTCCTTACCCTGCCCCCTTGTCTTGTATGCAATAAATATCAGCGTGCCCAGCCATTCGGGGCCACTACTGGTCTCTGCGTCTTGGTGGTAGTGGTCCCCCAGGCCCAGCTGTTTTCTCTTTATCAGAAAGCTTACTACATTTGAGGTAGTCCCATTTTCCTGCTTTTTTCTTGTTACTTCTGCTTTTAATGTCATGTTAAAAAAATTATCAAGACAAATGTCATGATTTTTACCTTATATTTTAAGACTTTTATAGCGATCTTACTTACATTTAAGTGTTTAAGATAGTTTTCTATATGGTGCAAGTGAAAAGTCCAATTTTATTTTCTTCCATTTTGATACTCAATTTTAGAACACTATTCTGTTCTTCCCTGTTGTTCGGTCATGGCAGCCTGATTGAAGATTATTTGATGATATTCATAAAGGTTTATTTCTGGGTTCTCTATTCTGTTCCATCATCTATTTGTCTTTCTGTTTGTATTGCTATAGCTTTATAATATATTTTGGAATCAGGAAGTGTGATACCTCTAACTTTGTTCTTCTCCACAGCTACTTTGGCTACTCATTGTCCCTTGAGATTCCATATGAATTTTAAGACTTAATATTTCTGAAAAAAATGTAACATTGGGATTTTGATAGAAAATACTTTGAATTTGTGCTTCACTGTGAGTAGTATTGACATCTTAATAATATTAAATTTTCTGACCCTTGAACAAGAAGTCAAGAGTGTTCTGTTTTAAGTTTCACATATTTTTTCATTTGCCAGTTTCCTTCTGCTTGTGATTTGCAGCTGAGGTCTTTTTACGCTGCCCATGCTGGTCTCCAACTTTTGGGCTTAAGCTATTCTCCCTCCTCAGCCTCCTGATGTGTTTCAATTACATGGATGAGCCACTGCACCTGGCCTCTTTATTGTTTTTCTGATATTTTTAGGATTTGAAGGTAATTTTTGAAAAGATTGATAAATATGTATCTCTTTAGAAAGTTTTTCACTATTAATGTAGTCAAAACCACATAAAATTTACCATCTTAAATATTTTAAGTACATAGTTAAATAATATTAAATATATTCACATTGTTATGCAACATATCTCTAGAATGTTTTTATGTTGCAAAACTAAAATTCAATAGCCATGAAACAACAACTACCCTTTTATCTCCTCCCCTGAGGCTCTGACTGATACTATTCTACTTTCTGTTTCTAAGAGTTTAACTATTTTAGATATTTAACTGGAATCACACAGTGTCCTTTTATGACTCATTTATTTTATTTACATAATGTCCTCCAGATTTATCCTTAGTGTAAAAATAATCAGATCTCCTGCTTTTAAAAAACTGGATAATATTCCATTATTTGTATATTCCAATTTGTCTTTATTCACTGATTCATTGAGGGACATTTGGGTTGCTTCCACCTATCAGCTGTTGTGAATAATGTTGTGCAATGAATATGGATATACAAATAACTCTTCATTTGGCCATATATATGACAGTTTATTTCTGTGCTCTATTCTGTTCCATTTGTCTGTGTGTCTGCCTTTATGTCAGTACTAAATAGTTTGGTTACTGTAATTTTGTAATACATTATAAAGTCAAGGAGTGTGATGCCTCCAATATTATTTCTTTTTTTGAAGGTTGTTTGGCTCCTGAGAGTCACTTTAGATTCCATATAAGTTTTAGAAATGTTTTTTGTATTTCTGCCAAGTGAAATGACAGTTAAAATTTGATAGAGATCTCATTGAATCTGTAGATCATTTTGGGTAGTGTGGACATCTTCACAATATTGTCTTCCAACCCTTGAACGAGAGCATGCAGAAGAGTGCGTTGTTTAATTTCCACATATTTGTAGATTTTCCATATTTCTTCTGCTATTGATTTCTAATTTTATTCCCTTGTAATAAAAAATGATTGTAATATTTTAATCTTTTTTTTGAAACAGAGTTTTGCTCTGTTGCTCAGGCTGGAGCACAGCGGCTCAATCATGGCTAACCAGAGCCTCGATCTCCCAGGCTCAAGCAATCCTCCCCCGTCAGCCTCCTGAGTAGCTGGACGCACAGGCATGTGCCATTATGCCCAGCTAATTTTTAAATTTTATATTTTCTAAAGAGAGGGTCTCTTTATGTTGCCCAGGCTGGCGCCGAACTCCTAAACTCACTAATCCTCCCACCTCAGCCTCCCAAAATGCTGGAATTATAAGAATGAGCCACAATGCCTAGCCCATATTTTAACATTTTAAAATTTGGTAAAACTTGTTTTGTGTCCTAGTAGGTTATCTACTCAGGAGAATGTTTCATGACCTATTGGAAAAAGTGTGTATTCTGATATTGTTGTGTGAAGTGTTTTTTTTTTTCTTTTTTTTCACTTCTATTTGTAGCCTACACAGACCTATTGGACTGAACAAAGCAGGGTGAATGCAGGAATAAAAGACAAGAGACAAAGGGGTATATTTGGAAAAAGGGGTCAGGGGCACCTTGCCTCTAGTGGACAAGGTACCTGAGCTTTACACAGCCCTCCATATTTATTAGGTAAAAGAGATAGTGAGAAGGCGGGGGTGGTTTTCCACCAGCAGCTTGATTCACAGCTGACTCGAGAGACTGCATTCTTAGAACAATAGGCACTGGATTTCTCAGTAGATAACTTCAAGGAGCCTGGTGCCAGGGAATGAGGCCCTCAGCAAACCTTTTGGTGGCAGGGCAGTGTGAGTTTGCCCACATCCTGCATTCATGATAAACAGTTTGCTGTTTGATCATATAGCCTCCAGTGGAATGCTGAGTTGGTCATGTCCCATGGGCCTTCAGCTTCCTGAATCTATTCACTGTGATGAGTGTTTTCTATATGTCTGTTCGGTTTACAGAGTTTGCTACTGATAGTCGGATAATTATGTCTCTTACTATTTTTGCATAGCTATTTCTTTCTTCATCTGGGTCGATCTTAGCTTTATACATTTGGAAACCCCGATGTGAAGTGTACATATATTTATTATTAACACAGCTTCCCCAGTGAATCAACACTTGTATCATTATATACTATCTTTATTTGTCCTTTAATTCAGTTTTGACTTAATGTGTATTTTGCATAATTATGACCCCTCTTGCTCTCATTTGATTGCAATCTTCCTAGAAGATATTTTTCATACTTGCACTTTTAGCCTATCTGTGTGCTTAGATCTAAAGTGAGTTTCTTATAGACAGCAGAAAACAAATCGTTTTTTCTTTCAATCTCTTTAGCCAATTTACACATTTCTGTTGGAAATTTTACTCTATGTATATATTCATTTTAATTGTGAAAAGAATGGACTACTTCCATTTTGTTAATAGTTCTATTTGTTTCTTGTAGGTATTTTCTCCTCTTTTCTGCTCTTACTGCCTTCCTTTTTATTTAATTGATTTTTATAGTGACATATTTCTATTTAATTTGCCAAGGCCAAGTTGCAAGATAAAAAGTTTGCCTTTAATCTAGTCTCTCCACATCAGATCAAGCCTATGGACAGATCTAAAAACATGAGGTTTCCCTCTTCTGGGGCCCCACTTTTTGGACTGCTGTATGATCTCTGGAGGTTTGATGAGTCCACACCAAGCAAAAGTGGACAGCAGTGTTCCACCTGTGAACACTTGTTTCTTGTAGGCCCTACTGTCTCTCAGGGCACCACCTCTCTTATCCTTTAAACAGGAGTGATATTGGCAGAGAAGGGGCATTCACTCCTATCTGGCAGAAAAGGAGGATTCAGGCCCTTTAACCTCCCTAAGGTCAGAAAAGTCAGAGCCCTCAGAGATGCACTTGCAATGTGGCAGCCACTGGGCACAGGGGCTACTGAACAACTGTATTGTGCCCAGCATGAACTAAGATATGCTGGGGAGAAATACAAGAAAATATTTAAATATTTAGTTACATATACATATGTGCATAAAAATATATAATGCTGGGTTAAAGAAACATATGTCTATGTGTGTGTACGTATATATGTACACATATATATGTTTCTTTAATTATTTCATTCTGATTATATGTTAAAATATTTCAGATATATTGAGCTATGTTGTTAACATCAATTTCACTCATTTTTCTTTTTCTTTATGCTGCTACTAGCAAATTCTAATTGTCACATGTGGCTCACATTTTACTTCTATTGCACATTGGTGCAATAGAGGATTGCCTAATTTCAAAGCTCAGTTTGCCTCAAAAGCCAAGAGGCCAGAAAGATTGTAAAATCTAAAAATTAAAAATAATTGTAATTGGTTGGGCATGGTGGCTCATGCCTGTTATGCTAGCACTTTGGGAGGCCGAGGCAGGCGGATCACTTGACCTCGGTTCGAAACCAGCCTGGTCAACATGGTGAAACCATGTCTCTACTAAAACTACAAAAATTAGCTGGGCAACATGGTGGGTGCCTGTATCCCAGCTACCTGGGAGGGTGAGGCAGAAGAATCACTTGAACCTGGCAGGCGGAGGTTGCAGTGAGCCAATATCTCATCACTGTACTCGAGCCTGGGTGACAGAGTGAGACTCTGTCTCAAAAAAATGTAAATAAAAATAAAAATAATTGTTATTATTTTGTTTCTATTTTGAATAATACACACACACACCCCTCCCCCTTCACACACACACAAATAAGGCAGAGAAAGAAAGAGAGAATCTTGTTCTGTCACCCAGGCTGCAGTGCAGTGGCCTGATCTCAGCTCACTGCAGCCTCTACCTCCCAGGCTTAAGTGACCCTCCCACCTCTGCCTCCCAAGTAGCTGGGACCACAGACACGTGTGACCATGCCTGGCTAATTTTTTCATTTTTTTGTAGAAAAGTTTTGATGTGGGGCCCTCACATTCTGTTGCCCAGGCTGGTCCCAAACGCCTGGATTCAAGAGCTTCTGTCCCCTCAGCCTACCAAAGTGCTGGTATTAAAGGTGAGATCCACTATGCCTGGCCACATATATACAACTTATAAATAAAAATAACCTTATATACAAGGTTAAATGCAAATATCCCACAGTGAAGGCCGGGCTTCAGCATAAGGAGGAAGTCCTGCCTGAAAAAGGCTGCGGCTTGGAACATTTTACCCTGTTGTCATCTGGCTACGAGTTGGCTCACATCTTCTCTCATTCAGAACCTGAAGGGGTGGGGCCTGGGGCCGTATTATCCAATCACTAGTGCTGGGGTAAAAACTGTCTTAAAACTATTCTTTTAATGCTTAGCAATACTAATTTTTAGTGAGAAACTTAAGATTACTTAATTTAACATAACCAGACTTTAAGATTTTAAATTACTAAAAAAAAAAAAAAGAAACTTAAAATGATGACAGAGTTACTTCCTCTAATGTTTTTTGGTGAGGGTTTCAAATACCTATGTCATATATTGAAACCTACAGTTCTATAAGCCCTACCCTTAAATCAAAACAACCCTGATGCTATTGTGAACAGGTACTTAGCACAAATCCTACCCTTAGGCAAATTTATATAGTGATTTCAATTGTCCTTCACATTCCCTTTCCTGTGATAAGTGTCTGGGTTTAGGGGGTCACAGTGTGAGGTTCCACCATCTTCAGCTATCTGAGACATAGCTTCTATTAATAAATGTTCCTCTTAAATGTTTCTTTCTGAGAAACTTGATTTGTCAGCCTCATTCTTCAAACTCTCAGCTCCTTTGGCCTTTAAAGGTAGGTTTATATATATATATATACTCACAAGAAAACACCCTCATATATATAGTCTGTCAATTTCTCAAACATTGTTATGTGGTTCATGACTGTAATGTGTGCCACATGTAGTTTTGTACATGAATAGTATATTTTTTATAGCTACTTTCTATTACACATCACTAAAATACATGTTCAGTAAGTGCTCACTTAACATCATTGATAGGTCCCTGGAAACTGACTTTAAGTGAAACAAAATACTATATGCCATGGAAAATTAACTCTTGTTTATATCAATTAGCCAATGGTAAAATTGGTTTTATTATATAGTACATTGTTTTACTTAAAGTCACAGTTTCTGAGAATCTATCAAAAAAGGGAGAACATACTGTCATTAGTATTACAGTATATGGTACATTATAGCATTACACTATTATAGTATGTTATTGTAGTCTTAGCAATTGGTAGTATAATGTGTTTCAGTTTCTCCCAAGGTCACAGAATTATCCAGACCAACCAATAACAACTTCCTGTGGGAACCAGGTGCATCTCACCCTCTTGATACTACAAAGCCTTCCCCAACACCCCCTGTTTGTTCTCTCTGCTCCCAAGTGCAATCCCTGTGTGGGTCTGTATACCTTATATAATTTCCTTCTTCCATGATTATATGTAACGAATAACTGCTGTCAATCTCATTTGTCCAATGATTGGTGCCATGGTTTTAACTGTTCCAGTAGTACAAGGGTGGTAATTTATCCCTCACCAATGGGGTAAAGGGGAGGCTAATCAAACAATTCACAATACAAACTGGATTAACCAACTATGACTAAGGACATCGGCTCAACTTTAACTGCTTTTGGCCTACTGATTTCATGATACATTAAAAGTCACCTCAGTCAGAGCCACCAGTTTCTGGTGGGCTTTTGCTTTGGTCTAAATAGCCATTTGTGGCCTTTATCATGAGTTGCCTTCCCTGACCACATTAAAGCACACTCATCACCTAGACATATATGGTCAGTTGACTCTGCTGCAGCCTGATGTGTCATCATATTTAGCCTTTGTTTGGCATGCAGCTTGCAAGACACTTGCCTTTCAAGGCAGTGAAAACACAGAACCTTAATCAGTGAGTACTTCAGTCCTGATTACCAAGAGTCAGGCTATATCCCTGTGGTCACTTCATCTGGTCTGCTTACCATTACTAAATGCCCGGGTAGTCATATGAACATTGCTTATTATTGCACACTCTCAGGAAAGGCCCAGGGACGGTTTTTTGTAAAATTGCAAAAAACAAAAAGGACTTTTACTTTGGAGAGAATTATGCACGTCACTCAGTTGCTCTAACAAGTGCTACCGTCATGGGAGCAAGAACAGTGACCTTGTCTTTCCTGAGCTGCCGCTTCCTTTGCTCCTGTCACATGCACTCTCACGATGAGGGGCTCATTCCTTGTGCCTTATGGTTCAGGCACTGATGAGAAATAAAAAAGAGAAAGATAACTTAATATTAGTCCCTCCCAAAACTTACTGGGTAATTCTCTCATCCTAAATCCCCTACTCATCGTGTAGGCTTTTAGCACTGCTGCTTACCAGTATGCTAAAGGTGCAGACTTAGGATCAGAAGTTTGATGAACTCAAACAAAAAGACCACAATGCATATGGGTGCTAATCCCAGTGAAATGGAGTGGCAGTAAACACCTTCAACCAAAGAGAAAACAGATCACAAATAAACAAATAATGACACAACTCAAGAAACTAGAGGAGGAAGAACTTATCCCAACGTTCCCAGATAATAAAATTAGTAAAAAAAATCGGAGCAGAAATGAATACACTGAAGATTAGAAAAACAATAGAAAATGTAGAAAAATTGTAAGAGCTTGTTTTATGAAAACATGAAGTTGGCATATCTTTAGCTAGACTAAGAAATAAATGCTTAAATAAATAAAATCAGAATTAAAGGGAATACATTACAACTGGTAAAACAGAAATAAAAAAAGGTCATAAGACTGCTATGTACACAGACTCCTATGTACAATGATATCCCACCAAATGGGATAAGGGAGAAGACATGAATACATTTCTAGACAAGTACCACCCACCAAGACTGAAGCATAAAGAAATAGAAAATATGAATAGATCAGTAATGGGTAAGGAGTTTAGATCTGATGACTTTGTTGCTGAATTTTACTAAACATTTAAAAAGAACCAAATCTTTGAAAAAATTGAAGGAGGAGGAATACTTCCAAACTCATTTTATGAAGCCAGCATTACACTGATACAAAAACCAGAGATGGACATTACAAGAAAAACAATTACAGGCCAATATCCCTGATGAACATAGATGAAAAATCATCCGCAACGTAGTTGCAAATGAAATTCAAAAGCACTTTAAAAGGATCATTTATTATGATCAAGTTGGATTTATTCCTGGGATGCAATAATATTTTAATATGTGGAAATCAATAAATGCCATACTCCTTATTTACACAACAAAAAGATTAAAAATCATGACTTTTTTATGCATGCCTAAAATTATTTTGACAAAATTTAAAATCCATTCCAAATAAAATCTATAACAAATTAGGTATAGAAAGAATATACCTCAAAATAAAGAGATATGTTCTTTATAAGCTATAGGACAATCCCATGGTTAACATTATTGTCAATGGTGAAATTTTGGAATTGTTTTTAAGATTTATTATAAGAAAAAGATGCCCACTCTCACTACTTCTTTCAACACCGTATTGGAAATCCTGCTCAGAATCTAAGACAAGAGAAAAAAGAGCATTTAAATAAGAAACAACAAGTTCTTCTATTCATGGAGATTAACGCTCAGGTTTTTGCAGATTAGATTTAACAGCATGAAATCTGTACCATCCAGGAATCAAAGGATATAGGACTTTAGGGCATCAATTATTAAGAGGCTATAGGAAAGCAGAAATGCTCCTGGATGTTTCCATTGTCCACACACAAAATTTCAACAGACCAGCCCCAGGAAGTAAAGGCACATTCCTGACTACTGTTAGTTGATGAGCTTTTCACCAAAAGCAGAGATGTGAGACCTGGCAGGTTTCAAAGACCCCTCAAGTGCTCCATACCTTGAAATTCACTTCCACAAAGCTAGAACACCATCTGTTCCTGAGGGATCAGGTTATCGTCTGTTTCTTTTAGGCACTGGCCAGTCAGGCTTTAGTGGACACGAAGCCACAGATTTTTAGTGTAAAATGCCTAATCTATCATAATCTTTAGGTAGATATTTGGAGGCCTGCACACTTAAATGGGTTGGTGAAATGTCATACCAGACACATGGCTGGGAATTGGGTTTTTCTCCTCCGCTCTTAGCAGCACCTTTGTAACCCAGTGATTACCCCCCTCATGGCTCCACGGCCACATCCGCAAAAAGGGTACTGGTGAACGTGACATTTTCACGAAGCCACAGCCCATGGTCACTCCCTGCAAAGCTCTGAACTTGCGCATTCCCAGGCCAGGCCGTGGTTGTCTTTCCAAGGCGGCTCAGCTTGTGCTTTGCTTGGAGAGAGCGGAGGGCAGCAGCACAGTGACAGCGTCTGGGACCTCAGACCAGTTTCCACAGCCACTTATGAAAGCAGACGGCTCCATGGGCTGGAGGAGGTGGGACGCTCTGGAAAGAACTCGGGTGCGAGTGGGAAAGAAAATCGAGCTGAGCAGCTGGAAGTCGAAGTCGCGTGAGTGAGGACCAGACACTCTCGATTTAGGCAAAGGCGGGGTGCACTTCCCAACAACACATCCTCCTCACTGGCGAGACCAGGCCTGCCCTTCAAGTTCCTCTCCTGATTTAATCCCCTTGGCGAGGGTTTGGCATGAAATCAATGGCCAGCAAGCTTGGTAAACGAAGCCGCCTACACCGCCCTCCCCCTCCCTGCACGGCCGCGCCCCGCCTCCGCTCCTGTCTCAATCTGGGATTGTCCTCCTGTAGCCCCACCATCCACCGTGGGGAACGGTGGAGAGACTACAACTCCCAGTATGCACCGCGATGCGCGCCTCACCCTGCATCTCCCAGCCCGCAGCCAGCTGGCATCCTAGACCCTCTGCCCTGCGACCAACAGCCGGGAGCGGACCAGACACCAGAACTCCCGGAACGGTTGAAGACGGTTCCGCTCCCTGTCCCGCCTTTCGCAGCCCAGCAGTTTCGCCCTGCGGAGAGGAGCCTTGCTGTTTCCAAATCTCTCCTGCTGAAGAGACATTGGAGCTAGGGCGGCTAGTTTCACCTGGTAATTGTGACACCCTGTCTCCTCGAGCTGCAGGCTTTTATGCTTGTCATGTTCGAAGTTTGATACCTTGCAGATCAACAAAGGGCCGGTGGCCTCTCACTGCCTCCGCGGCAGGGTTGTCAAGGTAACGCTCCTCAGACAAGGGTGGGGCGCGACCCGCCCCTTTTCTCACCCCGCCTCCTCCTCAGCCCCACCCTCCTTCGCTCCTCCTCTTGTCACTCCCTTTCAGACATGCGCAGTGCGGCCCGTCCCTAGGGCTGGGTTAAGGGCCGCGGATGTGGCAGTTCTCAGGCCTCTTGGGATCGCCTCAAGAAGCCCCCTCACGAGTGTCTCGATTTCCTGTCAGCCAACAAAGGGCCGTTCGCCTTTCATGGCCTCCACAGCAGCGTTGCCGTGGTAACGATCCTCCGCCGGACGTTGGCCGCACCGCGCCCCTATTCTTGCCCATCTCCCGCTCCGCCCCGTCCCTTCTCGCTCCTCCCTCTTGTCACACCCGTTCAGACATGGGTAGTGTAGCCCGTCCCTAGCGGCGGGATAAAAGTCCTGCCCTTTCACACATGCGCAGTGCACCCATTCCTAGGGGTGGGGCTAAGGGGCCTGCCCTTTCGGAAATGCGCAGTGCAGCCCGTCCCTAGGTGTAGGGTAATGGCGGCCGACCTGGAGGCTCCTTGGGATCCCCTCGAGAAGCCCGTTCATGAGTGTCTGAAACTGTCACTTGACTGCCAGAAGTGAAAACATCGTGTCCCTAGTCACCTGCCATTTGCCTTTTCAAAACCATTTCCTCTGTTCTCTAGGCTGTCACAAATCCTCTGCACCCCAGGAGCGCCGCTTGGACCCCCGGGCTCGCTGCGTGGTCCATATCTAGGTCGGGCCTCTCACGGAGACTTTCCCACCAGTGTAATAAAGAGGAGAAAACGTCACAGCGGAAGGGCCTGACCCTGCTGCATCCACTAAGGAAACAGCTACGGGGATGGGACCCTGGGAGCTGCTGTGGAGCCTCATCCACCGCTTCTCTGACCCCACCCAGGCTGCTTCCCAGGCCTCAGGGTCTTAGTGTGGACCTCCGGGCCGTGATTAATGCAGGTCAGCAGGACCAGAGCGCCCCTTGGTCCCTCCCAACACATGAGGGTAGTTTGTGTGGTGAGGTCAGGGATAGTGTCTGCGCTTCTACCCTGAATAGGGCTCCCTTGGAAAATACTTTAATATCTCTTTTTAAATACCCCCTTGGACCACTTTTAATAGTTTTCTGATAGAACTAAACAGTGATCATTCTCTTAATTCATGTTTCCATTAAGTTTTTCAGGTTAAGTACTGCACGACTACTCGCTTCTGAAACTGATAGACACTGCCTCAGCTCCGTGCAGGGCAGACGCACAAGAGCAGAATCTCCGTGGGACATCTCTCTGGAGCATCAATATTACTGCAGTATTTGGAAGAAACAAATTTAAATAAGTTCTAAGGTGAAGAATGGAACATTTAAGACAAGTCTGGAAAGTCATCTGCCTTTAATAACTGTCGTTTGTCCTTAACGTCAGACTTTCTCCAAGACCAAAACTCTAAGAACTTATTTCCATTCTTACAAATAGTAAAAATGATAAATCATATCAAGTCAATTGAAAGTCCTGCCTGCTGCTTTCCTAAATTGCAATATGGCCTTGGTATGGTTTTATTTGTACTTTTGTGGGGGATTCGTGGATCTTTAGATTAAAAAAAAAAAAATAGGTTTTTGAACAATTTTTGCAAGTTTGCAGCTGTTAGTTATTGATTTATTTTTCCAACCCATCTAATTCTTCTGTCTCTCTCCTCAGGCTCAATAATTCCATGGGTCTCTAAGGCTGTGTTTATTTTCTTTAAATTTTGTTGATTTACTTTTATACTCCATTTGATTTTTTCTATCTCTCACCTTTTCTCAGACTCAGTCATCCCACAGGTCTGTAAGGCTCTGTTCATTTTCTTTAAACTTCTTTTTTTTTTCCTCTCCTCAGATTGGATAAATTATATTGCTATGTCTCTGTTTCTGAACTATAGAAAAGCTCAAAATTATTATTTTTATTTCTCATTTTTTATATGGCTATTTTTTCTCTGCTGATGTTTCACATCTATTCATTTATGAGAATATTTTCCTTTGCCCTCATGAGCGTGTTTATAATAGCTGCCTTCAAATTCTTGTCTGCCGTTTACATCTTGGACATCTTGGAGATGGCTACTGCCTGCTTTTTATCTTGTGTATTTATTACATTTTCACGTGTCTTCACGCATCCCTTGAATTGGAAATTGTGCCCTGGAGACTGTATACAAGACTGGATTAAAAAGACTGGATTCTGTTTTGTCCCTGTGAAGAGTGTTGTTTTTAAAAGATGGTGTTAAATGGGCTGGATTCTATCTTCAATACTTATCTCTCCTATGGAAGTCATAGCCAAAATATGCATTCAGTTTTTATATACACATATTTCATGTATGTATTGTATATAGAAATGTTTCTATAATGATATATAATAATTTACCCAGGATTCATCATTTTTCTGTGTGAGAGTGTTAGTTCAGTTAGCTACTTCATCATTAGTGGAAGCCAGAACCTCAGTTTTGATTTTTGAGTGTAATATAAAAAATTACACAGTATGGATACTTTTACATCAATTTTTTAATGCAATATTATATTTGTGATATTTATGCTGTTACAGATATCTACAGTTTGTTCATTTAAAAAAGTCCTTTTTTACATTGTGGTAAAATATACATAAAATTAACCATTTTAACAATTTTTAAAAGTGCAGGACAGAGGAATTAATCATACTCACATTGTTCTACAACCATCATCCACATTCATAGGGAAATTTGTTCATTTTGCAAAACTCAAACTCTGTTCCCGTTACCTTCCTTTTGGCCTCTAGGAACTACTCTTCTACTTTGAGTTTCTATGAATGGAACTACTGTAAGTACCTCATATGAGTGGAATCATACAATGTAGTAAAGAAGTCACGAGGAAGAATAATACACACTGTATAACATGCTTATTAATTTAAATAAACAGAGATCAGTAGTACATGGTGATTATAGAGAAAGACAGATAAAAAAGAAAAAGCAGTTAGAAGGGTGTGTAAAATTTATCACTATGGTGTCTCAAGTTTTAGAGCAGTGAGGCCCCGGCCCCAGACACATTACTGGTCATGGTGAAGCTGGGAGCCCAGTGCAGCTGTCTGACTCCCAAAGCCAACACTCAGGCCAAATGTCACTGAGCCCTGAGGCACTCTGCCCCTGCCAGCCCAGGCACTCAATGGCCCTGAGATTCACCATGGCCTGTTCTTGGTCTTGAGGGTGTTGCTGGCCTGCTGGAATAGGGGCCCGTCTGACAAAACAAGTAGGAGGAGCTTCAGAAAATAGTGGCAGCTGTGAGGCTACCAGGAGCCACACCTCAGGCTTCCCACTGCCTGCCCAGGGTCCCCATGCAGCAGGCCTAATGTTGACCAGGGAGCTATGGCCCCAGGTTCTCTGAAGCTGGCCACAAGATAGAGTCTTCTCCTAGTCTTTGCTAATCTGCTAGGCCCTCATCTTTTATTCTGACTGTGCAGCTTCATGCACTGGAACCAAACCCCAAATTCCTCCTCAGTCAGAAGATGACGATTATCTCTTGTCACTGAAGCAGCTGCATTTCCTGGAGGACTTTGATCTGGAGACAGAAGGAAGGGCAGGATTCTGACAGGTCCTGGGTGGAAGATGACAAAGGGAACTTGTGGGGGTGTGAAGGGGTAGGGACAATTTCTAGGGCCTTTCTTTTAAGGGGTCCTACCCTCCCCTCCAATCCCATGTAGCCCCAACCTGTTCTCAAGAGTTGGATATAAACAGTCCCTCCTCTAGGAGTTTATCATTGATTCTATTCCCCTAATCAAACCCTCCATTGGGATGGGGCTCCTGCTTCTCTGTGTATCAAACCTTCCCAATAAATCTAAGATGCAGAGGATGGAGCCAAGGAGTGTCTTCCTCAGGGTGGTGTCTGACTTTCACATCCCCACCCTCCCTCAAAGCGACAGCGCCAGCTGCTCACCTTCTTCCTTTATTAGTGTTGATTATATGTTCTTAGGAGGTAGACAGCCAAGATTCATGAGAAAGGCTTCCTGACACAGGACTAGACCTCATCCCTTATACTTCCTATGCTGCACCACCACCAGGGCCACCAGGGTCAGAGCATGTGCATAAAACAGGACTTAGACCTGCATCAGGTTCTGGGCTCCACAGAAGGGACACTGAGGCTCAGTGACCTTTCTCCCTGATTCTCTGTGATGATAGGGAGACAAAGGCCTTGGAAACAAAGAAGTTACTCAACAATTTAGGACCTGCCTGTCTTAGGAGGGGCCCAATTTCTCTCTTCTGCAATGGGTACCAGCTAAGGCAGAGGCTGAGACTTAGCTCTGCAGCTTTACTACTCAAGGAACAGGAAATGGTGTCTTTGCTGGAGGCTCCGTCACTCATAGATAAGACGGAACTGACACTGCCATTTACAGGGGCATCTGGTAGGCTCTCAGGAAAGGGGTTTGCTGAGTGCTGCAGTCTCAGGATTCAGTCCAGGACTCTGTCCTCGCAAGCTTCAGGATCCTGGTCCCCACCCTGCCTGCCTGCCCCAGTCTCACTCACATCTCTATAATCCTCTATGGCAATTTCCAGCATCTGCAGGTTGTTGAGAAGTGTGCCCGGGGTGGGGGGTGGGGGGGGAGGGGAGTGGGGGCACAGCAGCCTGTGTTATCAAGGTGGTAGCAGTGATGAGCACCAATTCTCAGCTAACTGCACAAGACCTCTCCTTTGAACTCTCACCAACCTATTTCTCCTTGACCCCCGTACCCAAGTCTCTCACTCAGAGCATCCAAGGACCTTTCACCTCCTTGCCCAAAATCTTTCCCTCCTCTTTCCACAGCTGACCTCCAAAGACGCTAAGCACTTCTTAGTTACCTCTATGGTGTGATTTTAATAAATCACAAAGTCAGATCGTCCCCACCCTCACTCTTCGTCTAATCTACTCTGAGCCTAGCTCTCCCAGGCCCTTTCTCTAGTCTCTCTAATGAAGGCATTCCAAGCATTGTGGCCACAGGAGGGCAGGGCTGGAGGAGGAAGACACCCAGGTCTCTTGATGTGGAGAACTCCAGCTGGGAGGGAGGAGCCCTGTCCTTGACTCTCTGGAGCCCCTCCCTACCATAGGCCAATTCACCTGCTGCTGCAGCCCCATCTGGACTCTTTAAAAAGGTTCCTACCTAGTAGAGTCAGAAACAGGGTCAGTGAGACTGTGCCTGTCTCACAGTTACACTCCAGCCCCAGCGACCTCAGATCTTGGATAACTGCCTGAGTCAGCCGGTGTAATGCTCCCACCAGCTCCAGTGAGTCCTGATTCTAGATTTACTCCCAGCTTTAACACTCACTGTGTGTGTAACCTTGGGCATGCAGCCAGGCCTTCCTGAAACTGTTTTTTCATCTAGGAAGTGTGATGAGAACAACACCTTCCTCACAGTACCTCCTGAGGACTCAGTTGCATGTGGCTATCACCATTGTTCTCACCATCATCCCTCTCAGGAAGAGGTGGGCACAAGAATTCTGAAGTTTCCTTCATCCTTTGCCCCTTATCATGACCCTGTGAGGCCTGCACAACAGGCTTTCTGCATTTTCCAGTTGAGGAGACAGGCCCAAAGAGGGTGTTGACTTGCCCAGGAGCCCACAGGAGAGGCTGTCTTCTCCTCCCACCTGAAGAGTCTGCCCTACCTGGCTTCACACCACACACCAGCACCATCACTGACCAGGGTCCCATCCTCTGGACTCTGGGATAGATGTTCACATCCCAATCCAGGCCCAGCTGTGGTGGAAAGAAACCTGGTATCTTGGGAGGCCTGGTTGAGCAGTGCCAGCTTGTCCCAGCTTCACTGGAATTGCTATCCCACAAATTGGGTTTGAGGCTATGAAGAAGACTTCACCTCTTCGATGATCCACCGAGAGAGATTCCCACACAGAGCTCTCTCTTTATCCACTCCCTGCAGTTGGCCTGCCAGTGAAATCACACCTGTGCAGTAGTCAGGCCTCCTGGCCCACCCGCCAGCTGCCAGCCTCCAGTGTCTCTGATACCCATGGGTAATCATGCCTTCCTTGGCAAGGCTGCTGAGATTCAGAAGGACCTAAACAGATCTTTGGCTCAGATGGGTTGCTTCAGCCTTGTGTCCTTGGCCATCTTCCCTTGCCTTCCGAAGGTCCCTGCCAGCCTCACTGTACCAAGCCCTGACCCTAGCGGTCTCTCCGTGGGGACCACATCTCACCCACCCTCCATTGCCAGGGCTCCTGCTCAGCTCTTCTCACTTTCCCAGGACAAGCCTGGCTTCACAGACACATCTAGATCCAGCGCTTTTCTCTTTGTGGTGTTCAAAGAAAGAGTATTATTTTTTTCTCTAAATTGACCTATAACCTACTTATTTTGAAGATGTCCAGGCTGCAGGAGATCTCTACCCATCTACCCAGAAGGCATCAGCCCTTGCTTCAGTACCTTCTCATTCCACTCTGTCACTAAATGTTTATGACCTCAAGAAAATTTGAAGAAGCATAAGCAAGTGCAATTCCATTGGTACCAGGGCTGTAAGGGCGGGGCCAGATGGGTGAACCTCACTGGGGATAAATAGAAATTGTGTACAAGATGGACATTTCAAGGTTGGTTTCAAGAAACGCAGGGAAAACTAACTTTCATAGGTGACAGTATGCACAAGTTAAGCTTCCTAACAGCCACAAGTTCACAGGTTCTTCTATCTAAATGTGGCAATGTGTGACGATGTCTGAATGGCCATAATACACATACATAGAGTAATTTATAGCATTCATTTTTGTATTAGAAATTGTGCATTTCAGCCACAAGTTTTTTATACATGATGGATAGTCCCACATTGCTTGAAGATTGGAAGAGAGAGCACTTTATGAAATGTCCTTTTGGACACATTTTCATTGACGTTTCTATGTCCCAAGAGGCAATGAGACAAGTCATGATAAACTGGCCGTGTCTTCTGGGGTTACACCTGAACTTCTTGGTGTCAGGACCGAGGAAACCAAGGACACAGATATGCCAAAGGTGAGGTTAGAGCAAAAGTTTAATGGGTGAGAAAAAGAGAACAGCTCTCTGCTGCAGAGAGGGATCCAGAAAAAAAGAGTTGCCATTCTGCAGTGAAATACAAGTGTTTTTATAGATGAGCTAGTGGGAGGGGGTATGTTATCCACATAGGGCATGAAAAAGTGGTTAGGACCAGGTGTGTCATCTGCTTAGAGCATGAATCTCTGGCAGCTCACACCCCAACCTTTTATTATGCAGGCAGATTCTCAGCCTGAGCTACTCCAAGTTGCTTATCTCTTTTCTACTGTGCATATGCTACAAAGAGGGGTGGGGCCCCCCATGTTGGATATGTCTGGCCCAAGGTGGTCATTTCTACCCATGCAGCTGCAGGCATCCCTGCCCACACAAGCTTCCAGCTTCCTTTTGTATGATTGCAGCCCAATTTTCCAGGCTGCTCTTTGTTAAAGAGAAGTGAATTCCTGGGTTGCTTTCTGTTAGAAGGGACGTTCTGTTGAGAACTCTTTGCTCTATCTGCCTAGCTAGTTTCTTTCTACATCTGCTCTCAATGACAATTATTCAGTTTTAATGGGGTCCTGGGGGTGGGAACAGATAAATTTGAGACCACAAAGTACCTTAGAATAAGAATTCACCCTTTAGTCAGCTTTAGTGTGAGTTGCACATCTATTATAATATTGGCTTCATGCACTACTGAATATAACAAGAAGGGAAAATGTGTATCTTTTAAAAATCTAGATGACAAATGGACTTTCCACAGATTCTTTGTGTGTTCCTGATTTAGAACTTGTTCATTCCACTGTAGTTTGTTTTCATTGAAATCACCAACTGATGAGGAAGCCTAGGCTGGCAAGCAGGACACGGTGGATTATTTGCAGGAAAGGTGTTTTTGTGGGGACCCTAAAGGGTCAGGCACTGCAGCCCACAGGAAAGCCTCAGCCATGATTCTCTGTGGCGTTGCCCTGGTGGGGTAAGGCAGCCATGCAAAGCTCTGATTCCCTGTCCTGAAGGGTGACATTGGCCGGGCAAGCCCCAGCCTTCAGGAAAAAAGGACAGACAAGGGAGTGCTTCACGTTCCGGCCTTGTTCCGGCCTTGTCATGAGCTCCACCGGCAGCCTGCAGTGGGGCACAGCTTCTAGGTGCCTGGTCAGCTCTGGTCCTTCAGGAGGTGAAAATGACTTTTCTCCTGGATTCTCTGCCCTGTTGGCTGGGCCTGGGAAGGACTCAAGGTCTGCATGGCAGTTTCTGAGTCTCCAGCACCCAGCTGTCTCATTGTGATGATGACAGGGAGAATGGCCAGAAGTACCGGGGTGGGGAAAACGAAGAGCCAGCAGGAGAAGGCGAGCTTCCAGAAAGCCCCACCACAAATGCTTAGTGCCTGGGTAGGCACAGGGATTGCTGGGTTTTGCCTGGGAGCAAGTCCATAGGCCCTGCTGGAGATTGCCAAGATAACCACCCCCTGCCAGAGGTCACCAGGGATTGCCTGAAAACCTTCGGAAATGGTGCATGCCCCTATTGCTCAAAAACTGGAAGAAGCTGCAGCCTCAGCAGGTTATCCAGGCCACTGAGTGGGGCAGCGGGCCTACACTGAGTGCACTCCTACATTGGCAGTAGGCAGCTCTCCTGACCCATCCACCAGCTGTCTGCCTCCAGTGAGCAAGATCTTCAAGGCTGATCAGACCTCCAGTTGGCAGGGCTGATGAGATTCAGTGCGACCTGGTCAGATCTTTGGCCCAGATGAGTCACTTGAGTTTCAGTGTCCTGGACCAACTTTCCTGGACTTCAGAGGGCCCCTGCCAGCCTGAGTGAGCCAGGCTTGGCTGCATCTTCCTGGGAGCCCCATCTCACCTGCCCTCCATCCCCAGGGCTCCTGCTCAGCACTTCTTACTTTCCCAGGACAAGCCTGGCTCCAACAGACATCTCTAGATGCTGTGTTTCTCTTTGTGGTGAGCAAAGAAACAGAATGAGTTCCATTTTTTAATTTTTTTCTAATTTTACCTATAACTTATTTATTGTAAAAAGGTTTGGGCTGCAGGAGACCTGACCCACCCACGCAGGAGGCCTCAGTAGCCTCCCAATCCACCCTGTTACTAAATATTTCCACTCCTAACAATATAGGGGGAAGCAGGAGCAAGTGCAGTTTCACTGCACCAGTGCTGTGAGGATGGGGCCAGAAGGGTCCTGCCCAGTAGGATTCAATAGGAATTATATAGAAATAAACATCTCAATGTTTGTTTGGACGGATTGACATGGAGAAATTTAATTTTGATAGGTTCTAGTACACAGAAGTTAAGCTTCCTAACAGCCATGAGTTTACAGCTTCCTCTTTCTGAATTTGGCAGTGTTTTTTGATGTCCAAATTGCCACGATGTCCACACATATTTACAATAGTTTATATTATTCATTTTGTATTACTAATTGTGCACTTTGGCCAACAGTGTTTCATACATCATGGTTGGTTTCCAACCTTGCTTGAAAATTGGAAGTGACAGCCCTTTATGGAATGTTGCTTTTGACACTCTTCCATTTAAGGCTCTGTGTCCCCACAGTGCTACGAAGACAAATAGTCATCACTCTTCCATTTTGAGGGGGCCAGGGTAAGCAGGTGCAATTTGAGAATACAAAGTACCTTGGAAACAGAATCATCTTTCAATCAGTTTTAGTGTGAATTTCATTTACATTAGAATAGCCTGTTCATGCACTCACAAGATTTCAGGGAGGGACAATTGTCACCTTTGAAGAATCAAAGTGACCAACGGGCTTCCCTCAGTATTTTGTTTATTTGTTTCTGGAACTTAGTCATGCCATTGTAGATCGTTTCTTTTGGAATCACTGGGTGATGAGAAACCCCAGGCTGGAGAGCTGGACACCGTGGAGTCCCTGTGGGAGAACTGTTATTAGGGTGGCCTAACTTGGAAGGCACTACAGCCTGTGGGAAAGCAGCATCCAAGATTCTCTCTGGCGTGGCCGGGTGCTGGGTGAGGTAGCCAGCCCAACAGCTTATTCTGTTTCTGGAATGGTGACTCCCAGCCTGGGCATGGCTTCAGTTTCCAGGAAACAGGCATGGGCCAGGGAGCGCCTTACCTGTTTACTGCTGCGATGTGTGGGGCCTGTATCCGCCACTGGGCACTCCACCTCTTCAAGTGGGGTCCTGTGCATTCCTTTTGGAGGCTTCAAAAGACTTTCCTCTCTGACTCCCGGCGTCTTCACCTGGACACTGTAGGACCCCAGATCTGTGTGTTTCCCAAGTGTCTATAGCGCCAGGTGCCCCATTGTGACAGGGAAGATGACCAAATTAAGTGATTAGGGCCGTTTGAAAAAAAAGCAGGAGAGATGCTGTATGGAGGAGGCCTGACATGACTGCCTCTAGCCTGCGGCTGCTGGTGCCATGCGCAGGCCGGACTGGTCTCTGCCAGGGTGATGTGATCCGTTGTGCTGAAGATTCTCACCATTTCCTTCCTTTCCCCATCGGGGACACCTGGGTAACCAGCTGAAGCAGTAGTTCCCCATCCGGAACAAAGACTGCAGACCCTCGCATGGGCTCCAGCCTGCAGGACACAAGCGTGAGCCTTGGAGGACCCCACATACCTAGGTGGTTGTGGGCTAGACCTGTGGCCTTCGCTGGGTTCTTGACTCATTTCTGGAGTGCGAGGGTTTTGTTCTTTTTCAACTGGAGGTGGCAGATGACTGTCCTTCTGGACTTCCTATATGCTCACCTGACCCCTGCGGGACCTGAGATCATTGGGGTTCCCAGGTCTTTATGGCATCACGCCCCCATTGTGACAACAAGGAGGATGACCAAAAGTATGCCGGTGGTTGAGGAAGAGAAAAAAGAGGAGTGGAGTTGCAGGGAGGAGGCTCGAAAGGATCACCTCCAGCCTGGGGCAGCTGGATTGGCGAGTCAGGGGCTGGCTCCTGCCTGGGCAAGACAATAAGCCATGATGAACAATGCCATTATCCTCCTTTTCAGTTGGGGGTACCTGGGCATATCTGAAAACCTTGAAAAAGTGTTTGCATTTTCACAGCTTAAGAAAAGGAAGCAGCAGCAGCTACAGTGGGTTTTTCATGCCTTCCAGTGGCATTGAAGAACCTGCACTGAATGCCACCTGGAAAACAGCCTGGACCTGCACCTTTGGGCCGGGGCACCCGTGGGAGCTCAGCCCTTGCCGCCTCAACCCTTTTTGGATTCTTTTCTCCCCAGACTGTCCCAGAGTTCAGGTCTTCTCATCTCTTGTCTGCCCAGTGAAGGCACAAGGGTGGAAAGGTGAGGGTGTGGAGTCAGGAGCTTTGTTCCAGTGCTGGGCATAGTGAGAAGTCAAAAGAGAGGTTATGATCTCATTGTGCTTGAAGGGGAGAGGCCAAAGCCTAAGACATTCTGCCTTTTTAGGGGAATTACCTTTCAAGGCTTATTTGGTCTTCACTAGCCTTTACATCTGAGGATGAAGGAGTTGAGGCTCTGTTACATGGATGTCTAAAGAGATCATAACTCTCACATTGAACGACACAGAGACTGATAGCTCTAGCACAGTACCTAGGTAATGTGACTCTCTCTTGCTACGTGTGCCCTTCCTACATAAGGAAATGTGACATACCACTGGGCCAAGCACCCAGGAAATGTGACTCTCCCGCCTGTGGCCTGCCTGTATTGGGCAATGTTGTGACACATCTCAGAGCTGAGCACCTAGGTGATGTAACTCCTTTTTTGGGAGCTGTCAATGGAAGGGATTGTGACATATGTTTGGCCAATCACCTAGATGATGTGACTCTCTTGCCTATAACTCAAATTGGGGAGAAATTATATCTTGACAATATTGAGATTTTATGATCATGCACATTAAATGTCTTTCTATTTATTAAGATCTTTTGTGATCTTTCATGGCTCTTTCATTAGAAATTTGTAGTTTCCATTGTATATAGATCTGTGTGTCACAAAGGTCTATATGACAAAACTGAGACAAAGACAAACTGACGGATTCTTCCAGTTTTTGTGGATGGCTCTGGGCTGGGGCGTTCCTTTAACACATGTGCAGACTGTTGAAAACTTTGCTTCAGTCTTCACTTTCTGCTGAGCTGAGCCTGAAGGTCAGCCAGTGCTGAAAATGAGGGTCTTCTTGGGTCTTTAAGAAAATGTGTTTTTCGTGGTTATGCACAGAGTGCTTTGTCAATTTGCCAGCATACCTGGGTGCTTTTTAATAGCCTAATTTGTAAAACAAAACAAAATCTCACGTTAGCTTTTTATTCTTGGCTTTATGTGACCTATTGTATGTGTCGTCTGTAATCTGTTCTCCAGGGGGCTGCTGGCTTTCAGTTTCCTTAAAATACTCCCAAGTAACTCGTGCCAATTTTTTAAACTGATTTTTTTTTCTGACTTAGAGAAAAAAGAGAGCCTTGTTTCAGACCTCTGGATAGCCCTAATACAGATTTTAATGTAACAACACAATACTTTGCAAGTAAGACCTCCTCTTTTCCCTCTGGAACCACTGAGCAGAGGCCCATACTGGCAACTCAGGATGTTGTTTTTAAGACTGCCATCAAGTAAGGGAAGGATTTGGGCAAGGACGTGTAAAAAGTCCACGAGGCTTTTCTCCTGTTCTTCATTGTTTTTCTTGATTTTGTAGTTACATGGTTGCTGTACAACTTGATGGTTTTCAACAGGTTTTACAACATCGTTTCTGACAGTTCTGCTTGGTTTTCCCTGTTTCTGTGGAGGAGCAGGTGTTTGGAGCTGTACATTCTTGACATTTTGCTGATTTTACTCTCTCTGGGTTCTCAGTTGTATTTCATTGATCTAAATGACTTTCCTTGTGTCGTTACTACACCATCTTGATTAAGGTTGCTTTGAGGCAAATTTTGAAGTTGTAATTTGTGAGTCCTTTTATTTGGCATCTTTTTAAAGATTTTTAAAGATATTCTTAGTCCCTTTTAATTTTATATGAATTTCAGCATCAATGCTTCAGTTTTTACATGGTAGTCACCTTGAATTCTAATTGTACTGAATCTAATTGTACTGGATGTAGACTGTTTGGGGAGTTATTGTCATCATAATGTATTAAACCTACTGATTCATAAACATGGAATGGTTTCTCATTTATTTAGATCTTCAACCTCTTTCGATAAGGTTTGTAGTTTTCAGATTATAAGTTCCTTTCACATTTTTAAAAATTTATTTCTATGATTTATTATTTAATTGCTATTGTAAATGGATTTGTTTTTGCCTCAACTGCATTATTAGATATTTCATTGCAAGTGTATAGAAGTAGAATTGATTTTTGTATAATAATTTTGTACCTCTGACCTTGGTGAATACATGATCTTGGTTGCTTCCAAGTTTTGTGAAAACTACAATTAATATTGCTGTAAACTTTTTTGTGCAGGTTTTTGTGTGGACTTACATTTTCAATTCATTTGAGTAAGCTAACCTTTAGGAATTTGTTTGGAGTTCAGAAGACACCACCCTGCCACATAAGATCGAGTTAAGAAAAACTCATTTTGTGCAAATCAAGTTTATATGGGCCTATGATGAGGTTCATGGAAAAGCACTGTGTATAGTTGTGTGAATTTGAGCCCAGTGATTTATTATGTATTAATCTTGCCCTGTGTAGCAGATGTTCTAGGAGGTGCTGCAATGACTAAAACAAAACAAATAATTCTGCCCACTTGAAGCTGATATTCTAGGAAAAAATAAATATATAATACAAGTAAAATAAACAATGTGTAAGATAGTGGTTACTGCTAATGTGGGAGGAGAGTGTGGTAAAGAGAGCAGAGGTCTAAACTGGGTGTCTCTCTGAGCATTTATTTATGTGTTTCAGCTGCTAACTCTGACAGTTAACAAGCTTGCGTGTCTTTGTCTGCGTGTATCCACCTTTATGTGCAGTGAAAAGTCTGCTTTTGTATTTATGCCTGGGTGCTATGTGTGTATTTGCTTTAAAATCACTAATACTTTTATGTTCTTGCCTAATTTCCTAGCTAACAGCTTTTTTTTTACCATGTTGAATAGATGTCGTGAGAACAGACATCTTTGTCTTATTTCTGATCTTAGGTAGAAAGCATTTTGTCTTTTAACATCAAGTATGATGTTAGCTGTGGGGTTTTTATAGATGTCTTACAATATCTTTTCTATTTCCAGTTTATTTAATGTTTTTATCATGAGGAGTGTTGAAGATTTTCAAACCTTTTTACTTTGTATTTTCCCTATATTAATACCTTGCCAGATGTATTATTAGAGTATTGTTATGGAGTATGTTCTATTATTCAGAGTTGTCCTGTTACTCTATTGATAGTGTCCTCTGAGAGACACTATTTTATTTCATTTGTTTGTAGTCTCTATCCCAGTACCACACTGTTTTGAGTAACATGACTGTGAGTAACTTTTGACGTTAGGAAATTTCTCATTATGAAATTAGAGCTCTGAACATTTTTATCTCTTTTTTTTGCGATCGTTTTGACTATTCTTGGTTCCTTGAGATTTCACTTGAATTTTAGAATGTTAGTTTCTGTTTCCATTTAAAAAAAGTTATTGGGCTTTTGATTGGGATTGCACTGCATTTATAGATAATTTTAGGAGAAATTGCCACATTAGTACTTTTAAGAGAGTTTCCAAGATGGCTTACTGGATGCAGCCAGCAAGTGTTGCTCCCAAAGAGAAAGACCACAATTTTGACTACATCAACATAGTTTGAATAGATATTTGGAGAGAAAATGGATAGTGTGGATGGAGAAAAGGTGCGTTTTCTAAGACTGAAGAGCAAGGAAGCTGGGGTGCCCTTATGGGGTGCCTGAACGCTATGACTGCTTTTTGGCCCTGAGTGGCATCTGGGGAAGAAGTGAGTAAAGGGACTGGGAGGCTGCTCACTCT
This sequence comes from Homo sapiens, assembly GCF_000001405.40. Taxonomy (NCBI): domain Eukaryota; kingdom Metazoa; phylum Chordata; class Mammalia; order Primates; family Hominidae; genus Homo; species Homo sapiens. The sequence continues at coordinate 33,209,468 of NC_000016.10, forward strand.
CGCTGCAGACCACTGGGATCCTGGCTGCAGGAAACTCCACACCCCCATGGACATGTGAGTTGGCAAGGAGATCTCCCTGGAGAGTAGATGGAGATGGAGCTGTAGCAGGCACAGAGCCAGGACTTTTTAGCATGGGTCGGATCTGGTGGAGCTCAACCATAAAGTCCCACCTCTGCAGCTGCCTATCTCTCTCAGAGGCTTTGGCCCCAGCTAAACTGCAGGGAGAAAGCAAGGCCTGCTTACCCGCAGGACTGGGACATGTCTATCCTGTAGGCATGCCTGTCCACCAGCCTCTTACATGGCCCCTGCCTGGCTTCCTGGGAGAAGCATGTATACATTGTAGTTTCTGCTACCCAACCTGGATGCTTGGCTCCACCTGAATGCATTCTGGCAGCCCAGAAATCCCTCAGATCCCTCACCACACTTGGAACCTGGCCCTAAGCATCAGGAAGAGGGAGTCATAAGCAAGTCGTGGCACTCCAGTGCTGTGGCCTGTGGTTCAGGAGTGTCAAGCTGGGATCTGTGCTGGGCAGTTGAATGGGGGAGGAACCCACACTCTTCAGAAACTGAGAGGCCAGATTCACACAGGTTCACAGGCTGGCGTGGGCCCTAGGCACACCTCCTTCCACAGGGCTGTTATGGTAAAGATGCAGGGTATTTTTCTAGAAGACATCTCCCTGAGGAAGCCCCACAGCTTGAAACACCTAACAACAATGACAATAATGATAATGATAGTAATAGGCCGGGCGCGGTGGCTGACGCCTGTAATCCCAGCACTTTGGTAAGCGGAGGCGGGTGGATCACGAGGTCAGGAGATCGAGACCATCCTGGATAACACGGTGAAACCCTGTCTCTACTAAAAATACAAAAAAATAGTCAGGCGTGGTGGCGGGCGCCTGTAGTCCCAGCTAGCCGGGAGGCTGAGACAGGAGAATGGCATGAACCCAGGAGGCAGAGCTTGCAGTGAGCTGAGATCCTGCCACTGCACTCCAGTCTCTGGGCGACAGAGCAAGACTCTGTCTCAAAAAAAAAAAAAAAAAAAAAAAAAAAAAAGGAGATAATGATAGTAATAATAATGGGCATAGTGCCAGTGATTGGAAGTGAGTCTCTCAAGACTCATGAACAGACCTGTACCACAGAACATAGTTGCAAATAAAGAAGATACACAAAGGAACTGCATGGTAAAGAACCTATCTACATCCCACTGCTCTCAAGTGCTATCTACTGGATCGCAGTAGAGATTACACCACCAAAAATCACTTTACTAATTCTTCCCCTGTGAAACCAAGAGCAAGAATTCAACAACAAAGACACTGTACAGAGTCCTAGTCCTCTGAAAACCTTCAAAAAAAGAAAGCCAATAGACTATACTCAATTTATACCCCAATTAGAGGTATACCAGTTCTCTCAGATGAGAAAGAATTGGCTCAAAATCTCTGGCAATGCAAAAAGCCAGAGTGTCTCCTTCAAGAGAGCCCACTAGTGCCCCAGTGATGGTTTTTAACAGTCTGAATTGTCTAAAATGACAGACATGGAAAAAAGAGCAGGGAAACTCATTTAGATTGAGAAGAAAGTTGAAACTTAACCCAAGGAAGCCAAGCAATCCGGTTAAATGATTCAAAACCTGAAAGATAAAATAGCAATCTTAAGAAATATCTAAACTAAAAAAATTCTTGAGCTGAAAGATTTACTGTGAGGATTTTATAATAAAATCAGAAGTATTTCCAGCAGAATAGACTAAACTGAGAAAAGAATCTCAGAGCTCAAACACTGTTTTATTGAATCAACATAGTCAGACAAAAATAAAGATAAAAGAATTAAGAAAAATCAACATCCCCATTGAGAAATATGAGATTACTTAGAGAACAAATCTACAATTTATCAACATTTCTGAGAGAGAAGGAAAGAGAATAGGCAAGTTGGAAAATATGTATGAAGATATAGTTCATGAAAGTACCTCTAATCTCACTAGCGAGGTTGCCATTCAAATCCAAGAGAACCCCAGTCAGCCCCTAGTCAGATACAATAATATATGACAGTCTGTATTAGTCAGTTCTCACATTGCTATAAAGAAATACTTGATACTGGGTAATTTATAATGAAAAGAAGTTTGGTTGGCTCACAATTCTGCAGGCTGCAGCGGAAGCATGGCAGCATCAGCTTGGCTTATGGGGAGCCCTCAGGAAACTAACAACCATGGAAGAAGGAAGAGGGGGAGCAAGGCATCTTACATGGAAGAACAGGAGCAACACAGAGAGCGGGGAGGTGCTACCCATTCTTAAACAGCCAGATCTCATGAGAACGTTATCGCAAGACAGCACAAGGGGCTGGTGTTAAACCATTCACAAGGATCTATCCCCATTATCCAATCACCTCTCAGCAGGCCCCACCTCCAACATTGAAGATTACAGTTCCACATGTGATTGGGGCAGAATCACAGATCCAAACCATATTGCTATTTCCATGTCACATAGTCATCAGATTCACCAAAGTCAGTGCAAAAAAAAATTTAAGATCAGTTAGAGAGAAAGGGCAGGTTACTCACAGAGTGAATTCCATCAGACTAGCAGCAGACCTCTCAGCAGACTCCTTGCAACCAGAAGAGGTTAGGGGCCTATCTGCAGAGTTTTTAAAGGAAAAAAAATTAACCAATAATTTTATATCCCTCTAAACTAAGCTTCATAGGTGAAAGAGGAAAAAAAAAATTCCTTTGACAAGCAAATGCTGACGTGATACATTTAAACTAGACCAGCCTTACAAGAGGTCTTTAAGGTAGTGCTAAACATGGATTCAAGTGAATGATATCTGCTACCAAAAAAGCTCACTTAAGCACATAGCCCACAGGCACTATAAAGCAATAATGCAATCAACTCTACATAACAACCAGCTAACAACATGATGGTGAATTCAAAATCACACATATCAATACTCACCTAACATGTAAGTAAGCTAAACACCACAGTTAAAAGACACAAAGTGGCATCCTGGATAAAAAGACAGTACCCATCCATCTGTTGCTTTCAAGACACACCCTTTGCCTCAGAGTAAAAGGGTGGAGTGTATTCTACCATGCAAACGAAACAAAAACAAGCAGCAGTCACTATTCTTATATTAGATAAAACAAATTTAAACCAAAAAAAAAAAAAAAAACACTAAGAGGGACAAGAAGAGCATTTTGATAAAGGGTGCAATCTAACAAGAAGCCTTAACTATCTTAAATATATATGTGATTACCACTGGAGCATCCAAATTCATAAAATGACTTCTTCTTTGCCTACCAATGAAAAGAAGAATAACAAGGGCATATTGATAAAGGATAAAATCCTGTGAGAAGCCTTAAATATCTTAAATATATATACACTTAATATTGGAGCACCCAGATTTACAAAATGACTTTTTCTTTCCCCACAAAAAGGCTTAGACAACATCACAATAGTAGTAAGAGACTTCAACACCCTACTTACAGCATTAGACATATCACTGAGGCCAAAAAAAAAAAAAACTAACAGGAAAACTCTGGAGTTAAACTCCACACTTGACCAATTGGACCTAATAGACATCTATTGAAAACTCCATCGAACAACCACAGAATGTACATTTTTCTCATCTGCACAAAAAAAAATTCTAAGTTCAACCACGTGCTCAGTGATAAATAAAGCCTGAATAGATTAAGGAAAAATGAAATCTCACCAAGCACACTGTTGGAGCACAGTACAATAAAAAATACAAATGCATACCAAGATCTCTCAAAACTACAGAAATACATGAAAATTAAACAACTTACTCCTGAATAAATCCTTTGTAAACATCAAAGTAAGGCAGAAATATAAAAATTACTTGAAATTGATAGAAATAGGAACACAACTTACCAAAATTTCTAAGATGCAGCCAAAGCAGTGTTAAGAGGAAACTTTATAGCCCTAAATGCCTTTATCAAGAAGTTAGAAATGTCTCAAATTAACGATGTAACTTTGCACCTAAAGGAACTTGAAAAAAAGAACCAACCAACCCCAAAGCTAGCATGAGAGAAGACATAACAGCAATTAGAGAAGAATTTAATGAAGTTGAGATGCAAAAATGTATACAACAGTCCAAGAAAACAAAAAATTGGTTCTTCAAAAAAAATTGATAAGCTCCTAGCCAAATTAACAAATATAAAAAAGAAAGAGAAGATCCAAATAAGCGCAATAAAAATGACAGGTTATATTAAAATGGATCAGATAGAGATACAAAAGATCCTCAGCGAGTACTATGAACAGCTCTGCACGCAAATTAGAAAATCTGGAGAAAATGAATAAATTCCAGGAAGCACACAGTCTCCCAAGATGGAATCAGAAAGAGATCAAAACTCTAAGTAGACTAATATCAACTTCTGACATTGAGTCAGTACTAAAGAACCTACCAACAACAACAACAACAACAAAAAGGCCTGAAACAGGTAGATTGGCTGCTGAGTTTTACCAGACATACTAAGAAGAAATGATATCAATCCTACTAAAATTATTTCAAAATATCGAGGCGGTGGGGCTCCTTCCTAACTCATTCTTTGAAACCAGCAGTAGCATGATATGAAAATCTGGCAGAGACACTGTGAAAAAACAAAACTTCAGACCAAGATCCCTCATGAACAGAAAATGTAAAAATCCTCAACAAAATACTAGCAAACCAAATTCAGCACCACATCAGAAAGGTAATACACCATGGTCAAGTAGGCTTTATTCCTGGGATGCAAGCTGGTTCAACATATGCAAACCAATAAATGTGATTCACCAGCTAAATAGAATCAAAAGTAAAAACCATATGATTTTCTAAACAGATACACAAAGGTCTTCTTAATAAAATCCAACACTACTTCATGGTAAAAATCCTCAATAGACTAGGCATCCAAGGAACATACCTTAAAATAATAAGAGTCATCTATGGGAAACCCACAGTCAACATCATACTCAATAGGTTAAAAACTTAAAACTATTTCTATGAGAACTGAAACAAGACAAGGATGCTCACTCACAGCACTCCTATTCAGCTTAGTACTGGAAGTCCTATGCAGAGCAATCAGGCAAGAGAAAGAAAAAGTAACGAAACAGGAAAAGAAGTCAAACTATCTCTCTTCGCTGAAAATATGATC